>NC_000003.12:157341937-157644967 GCF_000001405.40 Homo sapiens
GAAGGAGAAATAAAATCCTTTACAGACAAGCAAATGCTGAGAGATTTTGTCACCACCAGGCCTGCCCTACAAGAGCTCCTGAAGGAAGCACTAAACCTGGAAACAAACAACTGCTACCAGCCACTGCAAAAACATGCCAAATTGTAAAGACCATCGAGGCTAGGAAGAAACTGCATCAACTAACGAGCAAAATAACCAGCTAACATCATAATGACAGGATCAAATTCACACATAACAATACTAACCTTAAATGTAAATGGGCTAAATGTTCCAATTAAAAGACACAGACTGGCAAATTGGATAAAGAGTCAAGACCCATCAGTGTGCTGTATTCAGGAAGCACATCTCATGTGCAGAGACACACATAGGCTCAAAATAAAGGGATGGAGGAAGATCTACCAAGCAAATGGAAAACAAAAAAAAGGCAGGGGTTGCAATCCTAGTCTCTGATAAAACAGACTTTAAACCAACAAAGATCAAAAGAGACAAAGGAGGCCATTACATAATGCTAAAGGGATCAATTCAACAAGAAGAGCTAACTATCCTAAATATACATGCATCCAATACATGAGCACTCAGGTTCATAAAGCAAGTCCTGAGTGACCTACAAATAGACTTAGACTCCCACACAATAATAATGGGACACTTTAACACTCCACTGTCAACATTAGACAGATAAACGAGACAGAAAGTTAACAAGGATATCCAAGAATTGAACTCAGCTCTGCACCAAGTGGACTAATAGACATCTACAGAATTCTCCACCCCAAATCCAACAGAATATACATTCTTCTCAGAACCACATCACACTTATTCCAAAATTGACCACATAGTTGGAAGTAAAGCACTCCTCAGCAAATGTAAAAGAACAGAAATTATAACAAACTGTCTCTCAGACCACAGTGCAATCAAACTGGAACTCAGGATTATGAAACTCACTAAAAACCACTCAACTTCATGGAAACTGAACAACCTGCTCCTGAATGACTACTGGGTACACAACGAAATGAAGGCAGAAATAAAGATGTTTTTTGAAACCAATGAGAACAAAGACATGACATACCAGAATCTCTGGGACACATTTAAAGCAGTGTGCAGAGGGAAATTTACAGCACGAAATGCCCACAAGAGAAAGCAGGAAAGATCTAAAATTGACACCCTAACATCACAATTAAAAGAACTAGAGAAGCAAGAGCAAATACATTCAAAACCTAGCAGAAGGCAAGAAATAACTAAGATCAGAGCAGAACTGAAGGAGATAGAGACACAAAAAACCCTTCAAAAAATCAATGAATCCAGGAGCTGGTTTTTTGAAAAGATCAACAAAATTGATAGACCACTAGCAAGACTAATAAAGAAAAAACAGAGAAGAATCAAATAGAAGCAATAAAAAATGATAAAGGGGATATCATCACCAATCCCACAGAAATACAAACTACCATCAGAGAATACTATAAACACCTCTACGCAAATAAACTAGAAAATATAGAAGAAATGGATAAATTCCTGGACACATACACCCTCCCAAGACTAAACCAGGAAGGAGTTGAATCCCTCAATAGACCAATAACAGGCTCTGAAATTGAGGCAATAATTAATAGCCTACCAACCAAAAAAAGTCCAGGACCAGACGGATTCACAGCCGAATTCTACCAGAGGTACAAGGAGGAGCTGGTACCATTCCTTCTGAAACTATTCCAATCAATAGAAAAAGAGGGAATCTGCCCTAACTCATTTTATGAGGCCAGCATCATCCTGTTACCAAAGCCTGGCAGAGACACAACAAAAAAAGAGAATTTTAGACCAATATCCCTGATGAACATCGACGCAAAAATCCTCAATAAAATACTGGCAAACCGAATCCAGCAGCACATCAAAAAGCTTATCCACCATGATCAAGTGGGTTTCATCCCTGGGATGCAAGGCTGATTCAACATACGCAAATCAATAAATGTAATCCAGAATATAAACAGAACCAATGACAAAAACCACATGATTATCTCAATAGATGCAGAAAAGGCCTTCAACAAAATTCAACAGCCCTTCATGTGAAAAACTCTCAATAAATTAGGTATTGATGGGACGTATCTCAAAATAATAAGAGCTATTTATGACAAACCCACAGCCAATAGCATACTGAATGGGCAAAAACTGGAAACATTCCCTTTGAAAACTGGCACAAGACAGGGATGCTCTCTCTCACCACTCCTATTTAACATAGTGTTGGAAGTTCTGGCCAGGGCAATCAGGCAGGAGAAAGAAATAAAGGGTATTCAATTAGGAAAAGAGGAAGTGAAATTGTCCCTGTTTGCAGATGACATGATTGTATATTTAGAAAACCCCATCATCTCAGCCCAAAATCTCCTTAAGCTGATAAGCAACTTCAGCAAAGTCTCAGCATACAAAATCAATGTGCAAAAATCACAAGCATTCTTATACACCAATAACAGACAAACAGAGAGCCAAATCATGAGTAAACTCCCATTCACAATTGCTTCAAAGAGAATAAAATACCTAGGAATCCAACTTACAAGGGATGTGAAGGACCTCTTCAAGGAGAACTACAAACCACTGCTCAACGAAATAAAAGAGGATACAAACAAATGGAACATTCCATGCTCATGGATAGGAAGAATCAATATCATGAAAATGGCCATACTGCCCAAGGTAATTTATAGATCCAGTGCCATCCCCATCAAGCTACCAATGACTTTCTTCACAGAATTGGAAAAAACTACTTTAAATTTCATATGGAACCAAAAAAGAGCCCGCATTGCCAAGACAGTCCTAAGCCAAAATAACAAAGCTGGAGGCATCACGCTACCTGACTTCAAACAATACTACACGGCTACAATAACCAAAACATCATGGTACTGGTACCAAAACAGAGATATCGACCAACGGAAAAGAACAGAACCCTCAGAAATAATGCCACACATCTACAACCATCTGATCTTTCACAAACCTGACAAAAACCAGAAATGGGGAAAGGATTCCCCTATTTAATAAATGGTGCTGGGAAAACTGGCTAGCCATGTGTAGAAAGCTGAAACTGGATCCCTTCCTTACATCTTATACAAAAATTAATTCAAGATGGATTAAAGATTTAAATGTTAGACCTAAAACCATAAAAACCCTAGAAGAAAACCTAGGCAATACCATTCAGGACATAGGCAGGGGCAACGCCTTCATGTCTAAAACACCAAAAGCAATGGCAACAAAAGCCAAAATTGACAAATGGGACCTAAATAAACTAAAGAGTTTCTGCACAGCAAAAGAAACTACCATCAGAGTGAACAGGCAACCTACAAAATGGGAGAAAATTTTTGCAATCTACTCATCTGACAAAGGGCTAATATCCAGAATCTACAAAGAACTCAAACAAATTTACAAGAAAAAAACAACCCCATCAAAATCAAAAAGTGGGCGAAGGATATGAACAGACACTTCTCAAAAGAAGACATTTATGTAGCCAACAGACACATGGAAAAATGTTCATCATCACTGGCCATCAGAGAAAGGCAAATCAAAACCACAATGAGATATCATCTCACACCAGTTAGAATGGCAATAATTAAAAAGTCAGGAAACAACACATGCTGGAGAGGATGTGGAGAAATAGGAACACTTTTACACTGTTGATGGGACTATAAACTAGTTCAACCATTGTGGAAGTCAGTGTGGTGATTCCTCAAGGATCTAGAACTAGAAATACCATTTGACCCAGCCATCCCATTGCTGGGTATATACCCAAAGGATTATAAATCATGCTGCTATAAAGACACATGCACACGTATGTTCATTGCGGCACTATTCACAATAGCAAAGACTTGGAACCAACCCAAATGTCCATAAATGATATACTGGATTAAGAAAATGTGGCATATATACACCATGGAATACTATGCAGCCATAAAAAAGGATGAGTTCATGTCCTTTGTAGGGACATGGATGAAGCTGGAAACCATCATTCTCAGCAACTATCCCAAGGACAAAAAACCAAACACTGCGTGTTCTCACTCATAGGTGGGAATTGAACAATGAGAACACTTGGACACAGGAAGGGGAACATCACACACCCGGGCCTGTCGTGGGGTGGGGGAGGGGGGAGGGATAGCATTAGGAGATATACCTAATGTAAATGATGAGTTAATGGGTGCAGCACACCAACATGGCACATGTATACATAAGTAACAAACCTGCACGTTGTACACATGTACCCTAGAACTTAATTAAAAAAAAGTCAGTAAGGTCATCATTATGGCAGTCTGGGTATAGGCCTCTTCTTAATATCTCCAAAGGGCATTTCTTGATAAGATTTCTATTATCAGCAAAATATCTTATAGGAATCAGAAGATCTTACAAAGTATACCCTGGTAGATAAAGCAAAAATGAATTTGAAATATGTGGATTACATTTCCTTAAAAATGTGCTTGAGTTCAAAAGTTAGCAATAGTAATGCTTAACTAAAAGCATTTGGGAATTTCTTAAGCCCCAAATGTTTGAAAGACCAGTTTCTAAGTTGAAATTAGATGGCTTCTCTTACCCACTAAGGAATTTTAATTTATATTAAACATATTCCTAGATAATACTTTCACTGACCAGGGATGGTAATATGTCAGTGTTTTACTTCTTGTTTTGGAAATGTCCTCATATTTTAGTGCCTTAAATACTTTTTTTTTTCTTTTGAGACAAGATCTCACTTCATTGCCCAGGCTGGAGTGTGGTGGTGCAATCACACTTCACTGCAGCCTCAACCTCCTGGCTCAAGCAATCTTCCCACCTCAGCCTCCCAAGTAGCTGGGACCATCAGCACGTGCCACCATGACTAGCTGGATTTTTTAAAAATTTATTTTTGGTAGAGACAGGGTCTCTTCTGTGTTGCCCAAGCTGATCTAGAGCTCCTGGGCTCAAGCTATCCTATTGCCTCAGCCTCCCAACATGCTGAGATTACAGGTGTGAGCCACCGTGCCTAGCCTAAATTTTGAATTAAATCCTTTTATTTATATAGTTATTGAATTGCTTTATTATTTGCTGTTGCAAATAAATTCAAAATACACAATAGTCCAGGGAATGCAAAGTTAAACATAAAATTTCTAGAAACAATAACATCTTAAGCATTCAATGTACATTTGATACTTGAATTACTAAGAAACTGTACAATAGAAATACTGTAGGAATACAAAGGATATCTATATTTGTCTTGTTTCTTTTACAGTTTGCTCACCTGTTTATAACAGTTTAAAAACTGTTAAAAACCAACAAAAAAAAAACCCATGGTGTACCTGTAAATATGAACTAATGTGACTGTAAAATAAAAATTCAGTAGAAAGACATGATTGAGACATAGGAATAGTCTTAACTGTCTACATTTCCTGGGGAAAAAACTCATGTTTATTTAAGCGTATTCAAGGTTATTTTTCAAATAAATAGAAGAAAATCATGTAGATTCAGAGAGATGTAGAGAGAAGATGGCCCAAAGTCCAATGCTACCAGCGCCTGCTACATGAAACATGGGCCATCACACAGCTGAGGTGGAGCAAGAGGGCTAGTGAGGGATGCCTGGCACTCTTTCTCCCAACAGGAGAGGACCACAGCAATGGATAAACAGCTAAGATTTGACTGGAGTGTGGAAGGGAGAGCAGGCAAGTGCAGCGGGGGAGTAGAGATGCACATGTGGTGATTGGAAGCCCAGGAGGGCAGCGTGGAGGCACCAGGCCTCTGCAGCCCCCTCTTCCTTTTATGGATTGGATCTGCCTAGAATCAGGTGGGACTTCCCATTTCCAGGAAAAGGTAAGCAGAAGATCCGCATCATCCCCTATTGCCACCAAAACACCTACAGTCCTCACTACTGGAGAATCCTACAGTCCTCTCAAACCCTAAGCCCAGTTTGTAGAACTGCCAGGAATTCACATAGCTGCATTGCTCTGATTAGGAACACAAAGTGTATACTCTCCATCCGCTACCCACCCTCTGTGAGCCAAGCTGCTGCCGCTGGGCGCCACGTTGAGACCAGACATCTCTGGAGTGCGCCCTCCTCTGGGGGTCAGTGGCCACTGCACCTGTCCCACACTGGGGGTCCATCTTCATTCCACCTAGCCACAGCTGTGTGGAGCCTGGGCTGGGGATTCGCTGTGATTCTGGTCTTGCGTAGCAGGGAAACCACCTCATGCTCTGCACTTCCAGCCAAAGGAACAGTGTGGCAATCCCGTTCATGGAGAACCCTGCCTTGAGCTGACTAAACCACTGTGTGCCTGCCCCCAAGCAGGAGGGGCATGGGGGTGCAGATGGCTCTTCAATATAATAATTTCCTTTCCTTAGGATAAATGCCCAGTAGTGGGATTGCTGGATCGTATGGTAGTTCTATTTGTAGATATTGAGGGACCTCCACACTGTTCTCTTTAGTGGTTATACTAGTTTATATTCCCAACAACGTGTAAGAGTACTCTTTTCTCTGCATCCTCACCAGCATTTGTTATTTTTTTTTTCTTTTTGATAATAGCCACTGTAACTGGGGTGAGGCAATACCTCATTGTGGTTTTGGTTTGCATTTCTTTGATGATTAGTGATGTTGAACATTTTTTATATACTTGTTGGTCATATGTGTGTCTTCTTTTGAGAAATATCTGTTCAGATCATTTCCCCATTTTTAAATCAGATTGTTAGATCAACAGTCCTGGAAATGGGAAGTCCCTCCTGATTCTAGGCAGATCCAATCCATAAAAGGAAGAGGGGGCTGCAGAGGCCTGGTGCCTCCACGCTGCCCTCCTGGGCTTCCAATCACCACATGTGCATCTCTACTCCCCTGCTGCACTTCCGTGCTCTCCCTTCCACACTCCAGTCAAATTTTAGCTATTTATCCATTGCTGTGGTCCTCTGACCCCTTGGGCCAGCAGGTTGGCCACATAGGCACCCACACTCAAGGTCTGAAAAATGGCCCTGCAGCACCCCCTTGCAGCCTTCACCACTGAATTCTACTGAACCTTTAAAGAAGAATTAATACCAATTTTTCTCAAAATACTTCAAAAAAATTAAAGCAGAGGAAATTATTCCTAACTCATTCTGTGAGGCCAGCATATCCCTGATACCAAAACCAGACAAGGACTCAGCAAGAAAATAAAACTACAAGCCATTATCCCAGATGAACATAGCACTACAGGCCAATATCCCTGATGAAGATAGATGGAAAAATCTTCAATAAAATCTAACAAATCAAATCTAACAACACCTCAAAATGATAATACACCATGATTAAGTGATATTTATTGCAGGAATGCAAAATGGTTCAATATATGCAAATCAATAAATGTCATAAATTATATCAATAGAATTAAGAACAAAAACCAGATGATTATTTCAATAGATGCAGGAAAAACATTTGAGAAAATTCAATGTCCGTTCATGATAAAAACTCTCAACAAACTAGGCATCAATGGAACATACTTCAAAATAATAAAAGCCATATATGACGAACCCACAGTTAATGTCTTACTGAATGGAGAAAAACTGAAAGCATTTTCTTTAAGAACTGGAACAGGATTAGGATGCCTACTCTCCCCAATCTTATTCAACCTAGTACTGGAAGTCTTAGAGCAAATGGGTAAGAGAAAGAAAGAAAGAAAGGGTATCCACATTGGAAAGGAGGAAGTCAAATAGTCCTCTGTGCAGATGACATGATCATATATATAGAAAAACCTAAAGATGCTACCAAAAAACTCTAAGAATTAATAAATGAACTCAGTAAAGTTGCAGAATACAAAAAAATCATTAGTGTTTCTATACACAAACAATGAATTAGCTGAAAAAGAAATCAAGAAGGCAATGCAATGTACAATAGCTATTAATACAAACCACCACCACCTACGAATCAATTTAACCAAAGAGGTGGAAGACTTCTACAAGGAAAACTACAAAACACTGATGAAAGAAATTTAGGGGGATACAAACAAATGGAAAGACATCCCATGCTCATCAGAAGAATTAATATCATTAAAATGACCATACTAGCCAAGGCAGTCTACAGATTCAACGGAGTCACCATCAAAATGCCTATGACATTCTTCACATAAATAGAAAAAAAATCCTAGACTTTGCATGGAACCATAAAAGACCCCAAATAGCCATAGCAATTCTGGGCAAAAAGAACAAAGCTGGAGCATCACATTACCAGACTTCAAAAAATACTACAAAGCTGTAGTAACCAAAACAACATGGTACTGTCATAGAAACAGACACGTAGACCAATGGAACAGAATAGAGAACCTAGAAATTAATCCACATATCTGCGGCCAATTAATTTTTGACAAAATGCCAAGAAAACTCATTGGAAAAAGGATAGTCTCTTCAATAAATGATGCTGCAAAAACTGGATATCCATATGCAGAAGAATGAAACTGGACTCCTACCTCTTATCCTATACAAAAATCAACTCACAATGAATCAAAGACCTAAGTGTAAAACTGGAAACTATACAACTACTAGAAGAAAACATAAGGAAAATGCTTCAAAACACTTGTCTGGGGAAAGATGTTATGAATAAGACTTCTAAAGCACAGGCAACAAAAGCAAAAATAAACAAATGGGATTATTTCAAACTAAAAAGCTTCTGCACAGCAAAGGAAATCAATCAACAGAATGAAAAGACAACCTACAAAATAGGAATAAATATTTGCAAACTATTCATACAACAGGATATTAACATCAAGAATATACAAGGAATTCAAATATCTTAACAGCAAAAAAATCTAACAATCTGATTTAAAAATGGGGAAATGATCTGAACAGATATTTCTCAAAAGAAGACATACATATGACCGACAAATATATGAAAAAATGTTCAACATCACTAATCATCAAAGAAATGCAAACCAAAACCACAATGAGGTATTGCCTCACCCCAGTTACAGTGGCTATTATCAAAAAGAAAAAAAATAACAAATGCTGGTGAGGATGCAGAGAAAAGAGTACTCTTACATGCTGTTCGGAATACAAACTAGTACAACCAGTATAGAGAACAGTATGGAGGTCCCTCAATATCTACAAATAGAACTACCATATGACACAGCAATCCCACTACTGGGCATTTATCCTAAGGAAAGGAAATTATTATATTGAAGAGACATTTGCGCCCCCATGCTTATTGCAGCACTATTCACAATAGTTAAGATACGGAATCAACCCGGGTCCCCCAAAACAAATGAATGGATAAAGAAAAGGTGGTATATATGGCCAGGTGAGGTGGCTCATGCCTGTAATCCCATCACTTTGGGAGGCCAAGGTGGGCAGATCACCTGAGGTCAGGAGTTCAAGACCAGCCTGGCCAACATGGTAAAACCCCATTTTTAATAAAAATACAAAAATTAGCCTGGAGTGGTAGCGCACACCTGTAGTCCCAGCTACTTGGGAAGTTGAGGCAGGAGAATCGCTTGAACATTCACGAACATCACTTGAACATCCATGTTGGACAGGCTGGTCTCAAACTCCTGGCCTCAAGCAATCCACCCGCCTTGGCCTCCCAAAGTGCTGGGATTACAGGCGTGAGCCACCGCACTTGGCCCATCTCCTCAATTAATAGGTGATCATTAAATGAAGAGTCCATTAATTCAATCACAAATTCATTGTCTTTTCTCTACTACTAGTGTCTACTGGAAATTCTTATTTCTGTAGTAGTGCTTCTTACCTTCAATGTGTTATGAAACACCTGGTTGGAGGTGGCAGTCTTGTGGAACTGTAGATGCTGATTCAATAGGTCTAGGGTAAGCCAGAGAATCTGAATTTCTAACAAGTACCCAGGTGATGTTGATGTTGTTGGTCCATGGACCATATTTCAAGAAGCGAGGATCTGTTGCAGCGTTTTTCAACCATTGCTGATATTTTTGGATTAATTCTTTGTTTTGGGGTGGCGGGCTGACCTGCGCATTGTAGTATATTTAGCAGCATTCCTGGGCTGTATCCACTAGAAGTCAGTAGCACCCACTCCCAAGCTGTGACAATGAAAAATGTCCCTAGACATTATCAAATGGGGGAGACAAAATTACCTCTGGTTTAGAATAATTGCTCTATTGTTATGTTTAATGGTTGTATGTTTGTTGCATAATATAAACACCTATTTTGATGAACTGGCTTTAGTGAGAACAGCATTCATCAGCCAAATAAACAGCTTTCTTCCCCTACTCCCACCAGCACTTAGTACACTTTTATTTATGGACACTGTAGATTTTTAAACCAATATTGTTGCCCTCCTTACTATGACCACTAGGGTGCTCAGAAGTAAATTTCAAACCACATATAGCAATTGTGAATATTTCCAGGGATAAGTTTCTGAAAAATAACTCAACTACTGGATTCATTTTCTTTCTCTATGTTTATTTTCCCCTCTACATTGAGTAAAAATTCTTTTTGCTTTATTATATATTTTTATAGGCTGCTTCACGTATTGTTTGAAATAGATAACTTTCTATTGAGTAAGGTGAACAAAACTGTTAGAATAGAAACAGTCAGGACAGACACAATGCATTAATTTGCTGATCATGGTTGGTTATGTGCTGTTTGATACATATTAATGAATAAATCCAAGCAAATAGTGAGACAAACCTCACAACTATGAACAATCTGGCTTATTTTCTCCCAACTGTAGTAAACTGATGAATGCAGATGTCTAGAGAAAGGACAGGAAATTAATATGAAAGAAAAGTTTTGTTTTTTACTTTACATTGGAGATACAAAATTAGTAATAAAGTTGTTTGAGGCTGATAGCAACAACAACAAAAAAACCTTGGCTGAATAACTAATGTTTTATACTTTGCCAGCTCTGCCATAAGACACTAGGGATTAATTGCATTTAGAGCATAAAGGACCTTAAAAGTTATCCAGCCCAGTGTTTTTCAAGTTTCTTTAAGCTGTGGAATTCTTGGTTTAAACATTCTTCAGGAAGGCTAGTGTGTGAAGCCAGCTACATCAGGGTTGTTCTGTTTGCAGGGCAGGTAAAGGGAGGAAAAAAGGGTCTCTGGAGCCTCTATAGGGAGCAGAGCTTGCAAACCCATGGCTCTGTAATATACTCTTGGGATAAGTGTGAGGAAGTGGTGACCAATGAGATGAAGTAACCTGTTCAAGGAATCAGAATTGCCCTGCAGCAGAGGTGGGACTGGAACCCAATTTAGATAGGACGCTGGGCATCTGGAGTTATTACCTAGTTCCAAGTTACCTGCATCTCTGTTACTGAAGCCAATTATTCTTATTAAAAATTTCCAAACCTTGCAGAAATATTTACATTAAAATGTTCAAATTTCCCCCTCCCTCTCGCTTTCTTCTCTGCCTGCACCCCCAATCTGATTATTTTTCTTTTTATTTTTTTGAGACAGGATCTGGTTCTGTTGCCCAGGCTGGAGTGCAGTGGCGCAATCTTGGCTCAACCTCCACCTCCTGGGCTCAAGTGATTCTCCTATCTCAGCCTCCTGAGAAGCTGCGACCAGAGGCATGCCACCATTCCTAGCTAATTTTTGGATATTTTAATAGAGGTGGGGTTTTGCCATTTTGCGCAGGCTCTTCTTGAAGTCCTGAGCTCAGGCGATCTGCCCACCTTGTCCTCCAAAGTGTTGGGATTACAGATGTGAGCCACTGCACTCAGCCCCAGTGTGATTCTTCAGAGAAAAACAGTGATAGCTGCTTGATGTGTATCCTTCTAGAAGTTTCCCCCCTCCCTCCAAATTTGTACATACATACACATATATGTAAATCCTTTTTTTTCCTGGGTTTTCTTGGCTGGCTCTATTTTTCTCTTTATCATAGCACTTAACGCTTTGTAACATCCTACATATTTTACTTATTTATCATTTCTATTATTTATCATACATCTTTTCCCACTAGAACAGCCTCCATGGAGGCAAGGATATTTGCCTATTTTGATCACTGGTGTTTCGCAAGTCCCTGGAGTGTGCTGGCATGTAGTAGGCACTCAAAAATTTTGTAGAATGAATGGATGAAGAATGAACAAGATGAAGAAGCAGAACAGGAAAGATTTTTAGGGCAGTGAAATTACTCTGTTTGAAACTACAATAACGGACGCAGGTCATTATACATTTGTCAAAACCCATAAAAGGTACAATACCAAAGTAAACCTCAGTGTAAACTATGGACTCTAGATGATAATGTATCACTATGAGTTCATCGATTGCACCAATGTGTCGCTGTGGTGAGGGATGCTGACAGTGGGGGAAGTTGTGTGTGTAGTGGGGCACAGGAGGTAAATGGGAATTCTCTATACTTTCCACTCAATTTTGCTGTGAACCTAAAACTTCTCTAAAAAGTAAAGTTTATTAATTAAAAAAAAAAGAATGAGTGGTCATCTCAAAATTCATGTGTCTAAAACCAAGCTCTTGATTTGTATCTCCCCACACATTCTTCCTCTAGTCTTATCTGTCTCATCCATCCATTGGGTGATTAGGCCCAACCCACCAGCACTGCTGACAGCTTTCCTTTGAAATATATCTGGAGTGAACACTTCTCACCACCTGTAGTCCAACCACCCTAATCTAGGGTGCCACACATAAAGTGTCCTTCTGCCTCATGGCTTTGTATTTACTGTTCCGTCCTTGCTGCTTCTCCTTATTCATGTCTCCATTGCAAAATCACTTCAGTAGAGAGACCTTCCCCTGTTACTCTACCTAAATAGTAATCCCATTCTTTATCCCCCCTCCAACTTGTTTTGTTTCACAGCATCTGTCACTATTTGGCATTATTCTTTCTATATATTTTTTGTTCTTGGTCCATATCATCCCACAGAATAAGTTCCAAGAAGGGAGAGATTTGCTTTTGTTTGCTGCTATATCTTCAGTGCCTAGCAAAACTTAGGGACTCAAATTTTTGTTGAATGAATGAATGAATCTGCTATTCACCTGTAGAATAGCATTTGCTTCCTAAGGAGTCTCTAGCCCCCTCTACAGACTAATCTCCACATTGCAGGTAGGGAGATATGTTTTCAATCTGACTTTTCTCTCAGGATAGAGCCCAGATCCCTGCCTACATTGAACTATCCTCCTCCTCACTTCACTTCACTGCTCCCCAGGGGGCCAACTTCCAGTCCCTGGAGTAGGCTGTGCTCCTTCTTTCCACAGGACAGACGGTTCTCTTCAGCTCCCACACCTCTACTTACTCTTCACATTTCTCAAGAGTTCCTTCTCCAGGGAAGCTACTTTGACCCCCAGATTAGGGCAGATTCCATGTGATAGGTTCTGACAGAACCGTGTTCCTTTTCTGCAGATAAATCATCTCACTTTGTAACTACGTATTATGTAAGTTCCAAGAAAGCAGAGTCCATGTCTATTCTGCACACAGTTGTATCCCCTGCCTACAGCAGCGTGCCTGGTACTGCCAGGTTCTCAAGAAGAGTTGGCTGATGAATGAATGAAGGCATAAATGAGCATGGCAATCTCTGCTGTTGCCAGGCAAGTCTCCAAAGCATATCCAGAGAATGAACCTTTCAGGCATCACTAACAAATCCCTCAAGTTTGAGAGACCAGGGAACTCTAGGGGTGGCTGGCTAAGTTTCTCCCTGCCTGGCCCAACACCAGGTGATTTGAGCACAAATACCAGCTAAGTAGATGACAACATTCTTGTGCGTTGAGGCTTAGAAATCTCACTGGGGAGACACAGTCACCTGTCATTGTCCCTAGCCATGTAAGGCATTACTTCCCAGATTAATATTTCTTCAAACATCTAAACTGAAGTGATCATCTGTAAAAAGTAGTTTTTACTTACATGTATAAACTACAGGGTTTTATATGAGAAACAGAATCACACTCTCAGAGTTTCTTTGACAGTTTTACATTTCCTGCATTTGTGGCTTATTTTAATGCCAGTGTAATATTTTAATGGCTGCGGGATAATTGATGTGGATATTTTCATCTGAAAAATGATGATTTTCTGTAAAGCAAATTACCTTTAAAAGTTTGCTGACTCTCTCACTCTTTTTTTTTTTTTTTTGAGACTGGGTCTCTCTTTGTCACCCAGGCTGAAGGGCAGTGGTGCAGTCACCGCTCACTGCAGCCTCGACCTCTTGGAGTCAAGCGATTCTCTCACCTCAGCCTCCCAAGCAGCTGGGACTACAAGTGCACATCATGGCTGGCTTATTTTTGCATATTTTTTGTAGAGAAGCAGTTTCACCATACTGCCCAGGCTGGCCGTGAACTCCTGGGCTCAAGCAACTCACCCACCTCGGCTTTCCAGTGTTGGGATTATGGGCATGAGCCACCACACCGGGCCAACTGAATCTTTTTATAAGAAAAACAAACAAACAACAACAACAAAAAAACAAAACCCTGTGTTTTATAATTTTTCACCAGTCCCTAATGTGAACAGGGTAAAAATGTAGACATAGGAATTAGCTGTCTTTTACTCAGCTCTTTTTGCCTCAATCCAAGTAGACTCTGTCAGCTTTGGACTCATCTGCTGTAAATATGCACCTCTCTGAAAATGAACTGTAACACAGATCATTTCCTACTAAATTATCAAATACCTGGACTCTCAATTGCTAACTATGTAATTGCCTATGATTTTGGAAAAATATTTAAAAATCCTCCGTCACCTGAAATTTGATGGTTGTTGTGGAGCAAATAGGAGGAAATAATCTACCCTCCTCCACCCCCACCTTTTCCTCTGTCTTATCAAAACCCTTCACCCAGCGATATAATCTCTTTTCAGTTTCCTGGCTACCAACTCTTCATCACCAACAGAGCTAAAAAATATGGATTTACTCTGTTTACTCTGTTTTTAAATGAGATTTGATGACATCCAGGGACCACTCTGTTTCCCTACAGGGCATATACTGCCAGTTTCATAATGAAAGTAAATGGAAGAATAACATTCACTTTACTGAAATTTGGTTTGTGGCAAACTGGATTGGAATGTACTCTTCTGCTGGGGACTGTCAGGGGCTCAGGACCATTTTATACTGCACTGCATCCCTTGGAGTAAAGACAGTCCCCAAACAACAATAATGGATGACTGATAATAATCTCTGAGTATAAGCTTCCCTCAAAAAAGATAAAAGTACTGACTGTGGATATAAGAGTATATTGCTATATACCCTTCTATCTTAATAATAATACATTTCAAAAATATATTTAAAAATATGAAATATGCCACAGAAAACAACTGCTTTTACACCACCCACATCTCCTCATTTTTCTTTTAATGTGGTGACTTTTAGGGTGAGATATATTGAAATATACTCCTGTGCATTTTCGCTCCATTTATGTATTTACTTTTGCCTCTATTTGTTAGCAAGGTCCCTTTAAATCTATTAGAGACACACCTAAGGTGGATACTATATTAGGGGAATTAGGCATTTCAAGGTTTGAGATGACAGATTTCATTTTCAGTCAGATAACTGCTCCTGGATCTCCATACAAAATGTCCTAAGAGTGTGCATGTGCTCAACCAATTTTATTTTGCACTGTTTTCTAGTCAGATGAATATTCATCTCATCTGTAGATAAATAACAGGTTAACTAGACATGCAGACAAACAACATACTCCTTTGTCCATCTGCATTGTAAGAAACTTTTTTTTTTTTTTTGAGATAGAGTCTTGCTCTGTTGCCCAGGCTGGAGTGCAGCAGTGTGATCTCGGCTCACTGCAACCTCTGCCTCCCAGGTTCAAGCGATTCTCCTGCCTCAGCCTCCTGAGTAGCTGGGACTGCAGGCGCGTGCTACCACGCCTGGCTAATTTTTGTATTTTTAGTAGAGATGGGGTTTTGCCATTTTGGCCAGGCTAGTCTCGAACTCCTGACCTCAGGTGATCCGCCTGCCTTGGCCTCCCAAAGTGTTGGGATTATGTAATAGGCATGAGCCACTGCATCCGGCCAGAACACTTTTCTTTAATTATTTATTTAAATGTGCAAAGGAAACCAAGCTTTTTCTTTATTTTAAAGAAGAGCTTTTAAAAATATAATTAATGAGAAATAAAGTTATGTTATGTCTTCTTTTGGAAGTTTGCAACATGTTAAGTCATGGATGCAAGTAGGTGACATCCTTCCCAGTGATTTGTTGTTACACGCCCGAGTCTTGCACCTACTCTTGGCTGAGGATGTACAAGGGCAGTGTTCTGATGTCAACTCATTAGAGCAGTTTGCAGAGAGTCTTTTCAAAAGGATTTGTAAATCTTCATTTCTTCTTGTTATTTGGATGTGTTTCACGGGCTGTTGCAGATGACTGGGATTGGGATATGTGTGGTAGGAGAAAGTAAAGATAGAAACCAGTCGCTGTTATGTCTGCCTTTGTCAACTAAAATTCACTTTTTGGAGAGGTGGGAGCAGGTAAGTAAGGTAATCCAAGAAAAGTCCCAAAGCACCAAGAAAAGTTTGCTAGAAAAGTATTCCCTAGTAAGTGCCCTTCTAACAGGGGCCCAAGAGACCACCTTAATGAATGAGGCTCCAGGAAATTTGGTAACATTTTCCTATTTGCTGTTTTTCTTTCTCAAATTGTGTGAAAAAGATTTAAAATTCTTCTCTGGCTCCAAATTTTACAACTTCAATTCATGGATAAATTATCCTAATCCCATGATTAAACTAATCCATTAAAAAATAAAAAAGAAACCTTCCCCAGAAGCATTAAGTGGATGGGCGTAATCAACATCCCCCAGATGGGACCAACTGGACCAGGAGGATGTGAGCACCCCACAGTCACACCAACACTGAGGTGGACTTGACTACATGCACATTTTCAGTAAGGAGGCTTTATTTGTCATTAACCATGAAAACAATGCCCACTAATTGATATTAATAATTAATCTCATTTTAAGAAAAAAATCAACTTATCACTTTGGGAGGCCGAGATGGGCGGATCACGAGGTCAGGAGATTGAGACCATCCTGGTCAACATGGTGAAACCCCGTCCCTACTAAAAATACAAAAATTAGCTGGCTCTAGTGGCGTGTGCCTGTAATCCCAGCTACTCGGGAGGCTGAGGCAGGAGAATCACTTCAACCAGTGAGTCAGAAGTTGCAGTGAGCCGAGATTGTGCCACAGCACTCCAGCCTGGTGACAGAGTGAGACTCCATCTCAAAAAAGAAAAGAAAAAAACAAAAAAGAAAAATCAACTTGTGTGGGTCTATAAAGAAAGGACTACATTACCAGCTTAAAAATTAGCTTTCTATAAGTCAGCCTTGCTGATACACTCTACAGATGGGATGTATTTTCACCCAATCAGGAAATACTTCAAAGTAACATTGATAGGTTCTTGTAAGCTTTTATATTATTCTTTATAGAACTTCAGTTATGGGCCAGATTTCCAAGGATTTATTACAATATCATGTGTGTGTTTTTTTGACCTCTAATCAGCTTTGTTCACATAAATGAATGCCAATGATTCGGATTTTTAAAATGCCCTTTGGCACATGAATTCAGTTCCTCCAGTCTTGTAAATAAATACAATCAGCCAGTGATATTAGACCATTGCTCTGCTTATGAATACATAACTTTAAGTGGTTGGTAAACCTGCACAAATACTAGAGACCTACAAGGCTCAGAAGTGAATTACTGACCTAGGAATAACAGGCTGTTTCATATCCAAAATGACACTGCCGACCCAAACTTAATAAGACCTGGGGTTTGACATTTTTTTCCAGACACAGTGATAGATTCTTACTGATCTATTTATACTCTATTGCCTGTTCCCAGTGTGATCAATATTATGCAACAATAGATGGCTGACTGGAGTTATGAATGCTATTTGTGACCCTGATTCAACTCATACCGAATTCTGCTATACAGTGACCAGTGAGGTTCCTATTCATTTAACATAGTTTATACTGAAGTATTATGTGGAACCATATGAAATTGATATTTTTATATGTCAAAACAGTCTAATGTCAGTTTTTTCATATGGACCAACCTAACATCAAAAGAATTTCTTTCAAAGGTTGTTTTGTCGTGTTCCTAGCGTATGGACTTTGTAACAGCAGTCCAAAATTTTTCTTAACACTTTGTTGTTATTTCCTGCTGGCTATATGTCCCTTTAACTTTAAATGTTTCAGAAGTGGTTTTTATGCTTCTTCTCTTTGCTTCTTGACTACTATGCATAATTCATCAAGAAAGATCAAATATGTTGCATTTATATAAAAAACACATCAAACATAACACAATTAAGCCTAAATCTTTTTTAAATAAGATTTTAAGGAAAGAAAGGTAATATTGTTGAGCAATCTTAGGATAACAAGCAAAATTGTGTCAGCCAGATGACTGCTGGTGTGTCACTGAATAATTTACAGTACTTCTGAAGTAATAACAATGTGTCCCCTGCAATCAGCCTGAGCTCTTTCTCAGCGGATGTATTACCAGTGAATCATACAAATTTTTGATCCTTCACACATATCTCTGTGCAAGGAATTGCCCAGGAAATTCCGAGAGTATGAATGAATTCCAAAATGTCAACTAAAAAAATACATACTCAGTCCTAGGTTATCTAGGTCATCCCTGGCAGGAAACATCAGTATCAAAAGAAAGTATTCTTTTTTTTTAAGTACAGATGATGAATTTATTCAACATTTTTGGGAAAAAAAAGCAAAGTTAACTAGTTAATTGTCAAACTACGGATGCTTTTTGACTTATGATGGGGTTATGTCCCCATAACCCCATTGTAAGTTGAAAATCTTACATCAAAAATGCATTTAATACACTTAACCTACCGAACATCATAGCCTAGCCTAGCCTACCTTAAATGTGCTCAGAATACATACATTTGTCTACAGTTGGGCAAAACAATCTAACACAAAGCCTATATAATAAAGCTAGTTGTTATGAAGAATTTTGAATCAAAATTCAAAGTATGGTTTCTACTGAATGTATATGGCTTTTGCACGATTGTACAGTCAAAAAATCATAAGCCAAACCACCATAAATCAGGGACCATCTGTAATTTTAACTCCTAAAATAGCTCAAGGCAATAAGAAATATCATTTGTTTTTGACAAGTAGAAGTTTGAGGTAAATCTGCAGGATTTTCTCACACATTTCCACAAGACTAAAACTCATTGCATAGTAAACCTTTAATGCTTTAGATCAACTTTGAAAAATCCCACTATTTTACCTTTATCTTTGCTATTGACTCCCTGTGTCAAACTGGGGAATTCACTTAATCTCTCTTATATTAAATTCTCCAACTTGTGCAATAGATACACAGATTATTAGCAAAGTAGGCAATTGTAAAGTGTTGATTTTGATGGAATTTTATTGATTTTAGCTATTTCCAAGCCCTGGTATACTTATCTAATACTTATATTTGAATATAAGCAATCTTTTATTGTCACCATTAAAATGGCTTTAAAAGTCTTAGGAAGGCTAATAAAGTTAGTGCAAACACTTTTGAAAGTGTCAGATTATAACAGACATGCTAAATAATATTATAATGTTATCACTAAACATTTGAATCCCCCTTTCCCTTTGTTAGCATGAGAACACACTCTTTCCTCTGATTTGAAGTGGGAAAAGGGCTAGAAAGTAGAATATGGAAAAAAGGGCTCTTCTAGTACCTAAACCTGATAGCCAGTGGGCAGATGAATATGAATTGGATTTGCTATTCTTCAACTATTTTTCTTTCTGGAGGCTGAGCTGTCTGGCTTTTTCTATGAGGGCTGTAGCCTACAAGATGGCAGATCATGCCAGAGTGCTAGAACCATCACATAGATCTCAAGGGAAGAACATGGTTGCTGCCTAAGAATTGTTATTGTAAAGATTATGAGCCTGAGAGTGCCTTAAAGCTATCCAGACTTGTTCAACCCACTACTAGAAAAGTGAGTCTGCCCTAGCACTATGGCATTTTAGGACCCGTGTCTCAAACACATTTCCTTTCCTAGGTCCAGGAAGGACTACGGCACAAAATGTAAAGGAGTGTCAGAAATATATAGTAATCAAGATATATAATTTTTTTAGAATTAAAATTAATGCAAATAATGTATGATGAACAAAATATCAAAATTGTAATTAGGGACAGGATTGATATTACTAATTATTCCTTTTGCCTTACGTTCCACTATGACTCAGTAAGACACTGTTACTGATCTTGCTGTCACTTAAAATTTTACTGAGTTTTTTAATTTTTTTATTTTTTTTTTGGGTGGGGGGACAGAGTCCCACTCAATTGCCCAGGCTGGAGTGCAGTGGTGCGATATCGGCTCACTGCAACCTCCACCTCTCGGGCTCAAGCCATTCTCCTGCCTCAGCCTCCCGAGTAGCTAGGATTATAAGCGTCAGCCACCATGGCCTGCTAATTTCTGTATTTGCAGTAGAGACGGGGTTTCACCATGTTGGCCAGGCTGCTCTTGAACTCCTGACCTCAGGCGATCCACCTGCCTCAGCCTCCCAAAGTGCTTGGATTACAGGCATGAGCCACTGCGCCCAGCCTTTACTGAGTTTTATTGGTGCCACCCTAATTTGTGTGCCTGAGGAAGGTCCTGGCCCCTGACATCCTGTTTAAAATTTTTTATTTTTTTACTTTGCCCTTCGTTTTCTGACTAGCTCAACCTCTCACTGGCTTCTTTCTTTTAAGCCACCTCCTGACTATGGTTGTGCCCTTTTCTTTGTGTATGGATGGTCCTGACATAAGATGGTTGAATTTACCATTTTTTGACTTTACAATGGTGTGAAAGTGATACTCATTCAGTAGAAACCATACTTTGAGTTCCTATACAACCATTCTATTTTTCACTTTCAGTACAGCATTCAATAAATTACATGAGATATTCAACAGTTTATTATAAAATATGCTTTGCGTTAGGTAATTTTGCCTAATGTAGGCTAGTGTCCTAAGTGTTCTGGGCATGTTTAACGTAAGCTAGGCTAAGCTGTAATGTTTGGTAAACTAGGTGCATTTTCAACTTATAATGGGTTTTTGGGGACATAGTCTCATCCTAAGTTGAGCATCATCATCTATACTCTAAACTCTAAGAGGTCAGGAATTGTATCTGTTTGGTTTATAGCTGAATCTTGAGTACTTTTAACACAGTGCCTGGAACACAGTAGCTGAATGGAAGCTGATATTCAATGTTATGCATGACTTTCTTGCATGATTATGTGGTTGGGAAATGTCTCTGGCAGAACCCCTACCCCAGAGCCGGCTTCAGGGTCACAGACCTCTTTCCAGGATTTTTGTGAATTCTGGGGACAGGGAACCAGAAATAATATATCTTGAGGTTTGCAAAAATCAAAGAGTCAGTGGACTTATGTGCACCCAAGTAGATTCAAATGGGAATCAAGATGATCAACCTTTTCTTGGGAAAAAAAAAAAAAAAACTAACATAATGTAAGGTATTTAAAAAAAATGATCTATTTTGCAAAAGATCCAGAAAAGAGTATGCTAATTTACCTGATTTGAGCTTTTTGTTTATTTGCAGTGACTCCTGAAGTTTCTCAGGTTTGGGAAGTACACAACACTTACCTTCAATGGTACACTGATCAGGGACTGGAATCTTCTTTCCAATTTCCATGGCATATGCTTTCACTTTGCTGAGGTTTTTTTTTAAGTGCAAGTAGAGCTTATCTTGGTATTCTATAGGACTTGCAGTTGTCTCTGGAGTTTCTTCCTGGGAGTTTTCTTTAACAGTTTCTGACAAATTCTCTGAGTCTATATGTATAATATTTGGGTATGAAACTGAAGACTCCCCCAGCTGTGATCTCTCAGTGTCTGTCTTAAACGGCAGCTTGTCATTTCCTTGGCCAAGTGGGTCTATTTCTGAAAGAGAGATGCTGGCTGGTATGTCTCCCCTGTTTTCATCTTCGCCGTCATCTGAACCCACACCCTTTGTGAGCATAGTGTGGAAAGCCAAACTTTTTGACCTAGAGTTCAAACAAAGGGAAAGTTAAAGAAGTTGTGTTACCATTCACTGACAAGGAAAAGAAATAATAATAATATTGGGACAAAAAGTTACTTCCTCTGGAGTGTGAAACTATTAACAGGCCTGATAAATGTATACCACCAATAAATGATGTAATAAACCAAACCTTTGAAAATCTAAGTCACCTCCAAAAACAAAGTTTAAAAATCAATTTCATGGCAAAACTGGCTGCAAAATAGTAGACTTACATATTTTTCATCTTTGTCTACTTTTGCTTTTGATTTTTCATCAGAAATCAAGAGACAGTATTTTCCATATGGCATATAAGCAATAGATTTGTTTTCCATTCATAGTACCCATTTAAAATAGTGAGTTTCTTTGGATAATGAGAGCATTGTGGATGATATTTCATTCATGTAAGGATGGCACTTTGGGTGGCAATGGGTAAAAGATATATAAAAAACACCCCATAACAGAGTGATAACAAAGCTAATAGCGAACATGAAGTGTATGATTTAAAAAACAAACCAAACGAGTTATACCTGTTAAATCTAATGTTTTTTCTTTCTTCTTTAGAAACTTGGCCCAGACTATATCTTCTGATAGAGCCAGGGGTATTGCTCCCTGCATTTATCTTGTCTTCAAAAGCCTGGATTTTAACTTGGAGTTTTTCATGGTCTTCATTTTCAGTTACTATGAGCTTGGTTTCTTCCAGTTTCTCAGGGAATTCAATTTCAGTGCTGATTTTTCTCCTAAAGGAATATAAATCATTGCATTAGATGCAGGTCATATATACTCTTCAGAACAGTGTTATTCTCTATTTAACTGCCTCTCACTCAGAAGCAAAAGCTTTGCCTGATAATTTTTTTCATTGGTCATTTAACAAGTATTTACTGCAGGCATAGGTCTTTGAAATTGCTTCTACAGCTTGTTCTGCCAGAAATTTAGAAACAGTGGTGTTTATGTGAACTTTGTATTAAAAATGCTTTTTAAGAGTTCAAAGAATAAAAAGCAGTTTTTATGCTCATGTACCATATTCTTTTTTAGAAATTCTTCAAATGTATGTCTTTCACATGAAATGTGTGCCAGATATTTTCTAAAAAATTTACATGTGCTGATATGTTTGTACTGAAATTACAGAATAAGAACATTTCACATGCACTGTATAAACTCATGGTTTTGTTAATTTTTAAAAAATCAGTATAACTCTTATACCTTCCAAGGAGAAATATCTTTCTGAATTTTAAGATGTTGGAAGAAAGAGGTTTTCTGTGAACGATATTAATATAGACCCAAATATCTTTTATAGTAGAGTTTATAAACCACTTTGTGGGTCATTAAAATTACTTCCTTTAAAGCAGGGGCCATGTGTGGTATAATTTTGGATTTCCTCTGAGGGCTAACAGTGCCTTAGCTAGAATAAGCACCTACAAATAAGCTGCAGAAATAGCTTTCTGATGTTCACTGAGGTGCTGAGTAATTATAGGAAAGTAGCATGCATTTATCTTCCCTTATTTATCTTCTAATACTGAGCTGGCCTACAGCTACTTTAATTTTTATTCAACAACCACTATCCATTTTTATAACGTATGGTGTTAGTATTAATTCTTTTCTTAAAAAACAAGGATAAAAGGAATTATTTTTACTTACCACACTTTTGACACCCAATATGTGGGTTTTTTTCTCATACCAACTAATTCTCCAACCCTCTAGACACCAACTGGGTGTCCTACAGTTCAATTCAATCCTAACACTAACGACCTGGAATTAGCCCCAGACTCCACAGATGGCCCCCAGTTCAGATGCCAGTGAGAAGTATGGGGTCCCCAGCTTACACTTCTGTTCAACTTGGCTACAAAGGTTCCTGCACCACCCCACCCCCATGGTTCAATAATTCACTGGAATGACTCATAGGACTCAGGAAAACACTTTAACTTATTATTATTGGGTTTATTATAAAGGATACAACTCAGAAACACCCCAGTAGAAGAGATGCATAGGGCAAGGTATGGGAGAAGGGGCACAGAGCTTCTGTGCCCTTTCTGGGTACGCTGTACTCCCAGCAACTCAATGTGTTCACCAATCTGGAAGTTCTTGGAATTTTAGGGGTTATTATGACGGTTTCATTATTCAGGCATGATTGATTAAATGATTACCATTGGCGGTTAACTCGATCTTCAGCCCCTCTCCCCTCCCCAGAGACTGGGGTTGGGTGAGTTATAGGGTAAGATAGAGAATGGGGCTGAAAGTTCCAACAGTGTAATCATGCCTTGGTCCTTCCTGTGACCAGACCCAATCCTCAAGAAATCTAGGGGTCCCTGCCAACAGTCATCTCATTAGCATATAAAAGACACCCATCAATCTGAGATTCTGAGGGTTTAGGAGCTGTATGCCATGAACTCGGGACAGAGACAAAGTATTTATTTTTTATTACAGTATATAATAATCCCTAGAAATATATTCACCAAGATGGTCTAATGATTTTGTTGGTTTGTCTGTGTGCATTTACTTGGCTGTCTTTAGTATTTTTCCAAGACATTGAGGAAAGGGCCCAGACTTAGAGAAAAATCTTGGCTTTTTCAAACATTATTTTTCCCTAAGGGCCAAAGTGAACCTGGCATAATACCTGAATGAGAGTGAGAGGAAAAACATCCTTAAAAAAACAAGAAAGAAAAAGAAAGAAAGAAAGCACTGCCAGGCACGGTGGCTTATGCTTGTAATCCCAACACTTTGGGAGGCCGAGGTGGGTGGATCATTTGAGGTCAGGAGTTTGAGACCAGCCTGCTCAACATGGTGAAACCCTGTCTCTACTAAAAATACAAAAATTAGCTGGGTGTGGTGTCAGGCACCTGTAATCCCAGCTACTCGGGAGGCTGAGGCGGGAGAATCAATTGAACCTGGGAGGCAGAGGTTGCAGTGAGCAGAGATCGCGCCATTGCACTCCAGCCTGGGTGACAAGAGTGAAACTGTCTCAAAAACAACAACAACAACAACAACAAAAACAAACAACAACAACAACAAAAAACACTACTTTTTAGGAAAAAGCAATGCAGAAGGGCTGGTAACTAATTTTTTCAGTTATAATCTACCCATTCTGGCACCTATATCTGCGGTGGACACTGGTGAAGCACTGCGTTAGCAGGGTTGGATAGTGAAGTTTTTCTGGCTGGCCCAGAGAGGACAGCAGTCCTGGCGTTGAGGGAGGGTTCATGATTATGGGCCCTCAGTGGTCAGAATTCACCTGTAGGTCCAGCCCAGGGACAGCTGCTGATGATTCAAAGTGGGAACCAGCATCTTTTAGGTAACAAGGCAATTGTTTATTGTTTAATAAGCGGTTGCTGATACAATTTAAAACCATTTTTCTTACATAATTTTATAAGTTTTCTATGGCTTTACATAATTTTTATCTACTCATACCATGCATAAATAAAATATACATTGGTAGATTGCAAGAATCAGTATGTGGGAATAGAGGCTAGGCTTGAAAATGTTTTTCTTTCTGACATATATATGATATTGGCTACAGTCAAATAGATGGGAGGCTTTGACATCTTATAGCCAGAAGATTCTAAATGTTTACTCCCATTACAAATGAAACCAAGATAATGCTATCTCTAGATGCTATTTTACAAACCATGATGATTGCCAAGGTTAATTTTAAAAAATCTAATGGACTTACCACACAAGAAATTTTGGGGAGTATTTATTTTCTATCCACATTAGTTCATGTATAGTCATGAAACTAAAATATTTCTCTGGTTCCATGGAACCTAATCACCCTTCAAAATTAAAAGATGCCTTTATTTCAAATATTTCTATAGCTGGGGTCATTAAAACTTAAAAATTTGTAAAGCATAACTTGTAACCCAAAATGTAAGTATTAGATATTGAGCATTATATAAATGTTTTAATGTTTTAATTTTTAAGTTTTTAGAGATGGGGGTCTTGCCATGTTTTCCAGGCTGGCCTCAAACATCTGGGCCCTAGCAGTTCTCCTATCTCAGCCTTCTGAGTAGCTGGGACTACAGGTGTGTGCCGCTGTGCCTGACTATACAGATTTTTAAACTTCAAAACATATGAATTGTTAGAGGAAAATTTCTCATGAATTTATAATTTTTTTCTTTCTGTCTAAAGCTCTGGCTTATATCAGTTACAATAATCACATTTTCTTCAAAAAAACTTCAAATTTCATAGATTATAGAAAATGTCCTAAGATAATTTTATTGGATCAGTTTTTTATTCTTAAAAAAGTTTCATATTTATGGAAATCCTTCTTTTGTTTGTTGTACTCTTTATATCAGTTTCACCATCTATAAAATGCAGATAATAACTGTACTTAACTCACGGGGTTGGTAGAATGATTAAATGACAGAACCAACATGAAGCAGTGTTCCTAACACATAACAAGCAGTCATCACATGTTAGATTTTATTACTGTCAGGCTGTAGGAGGGGATGGCCACTTAAGCCCCTTTCCGTGCCTGTGTCTCCAGTGACCAGATATTGGTTAGCAAGCCCTGCAGCCTGGATGCATCAGAGCTTTAGTAGCTGGAAGCAGCCTTCCTTCATGTTCAAGTTGCTTTATAGCATTACTCTGATGAGATGCTGGGCATGACACTCACTGACCCCAAGAGGGCAGGTTGGGTGCCTCAAGGGTAAGGATTCTCAGTGAAAAACAGGACACTCAGCCAAATCTGAATTTCAGATAAACAATAAGTTTTTTGTTTGTTTGTTTGTTTGTTTGTTTTTTGAAACTGAGTCACGCTCTGTCGCCCAGGCTGGAGTGCAGTGGAGTGATCTTGGCTCACTGCAAGCTCTGCTTCGCGGGTTCATGCCATTCTCCCACCTCAGCCCCCCGAGTAGCTGGGACTACAGGTGCCCGCCACCATGCCCGGCTAATTTTTTGTATTTTTCGTAGAGATGGGGTTTCACCGTGTTAGCCAGGATGGTCTCAATCTCCTGACCTCGTGATCCTCCCGCCTCGGCCACCCAAAGTGCTGGGATTACAGGCGTGAGCCACCGAGCCTGGCTAACAGTAAGTATTTTTAAGTGTAGGTATATCCCTAGTGAAATATACTAAATATATATTATACTTGACTACAATTATTATACTAAAAATACTAAGAAATTATTTGTTATTTAACTGAAATTCAACTGGGTGTCCTGTATTTTTATTTGTTAGACTTGGCAAAGCAACTCTGGGATAAATCCCTGCTGCACTGTGGGCAGGGACCTGTACAACCCATCTGGTCTGGCACAGTGCTTGGCACACACAGGACCTGGAATTTTTGTAGAATAAGTGAACTGAGACCACATTGTTGTCTGAAGTCAGCCTGCCACCCACCTCTAAACAACAACAACCACCACAAAACACAAAAAACAAAACAAACAAATAACAACAACAACAACAAAAACCAAATGAAAAAAAAAAAAAAAAAAAAAAAACCTCCTGAGGTCTACCAGATGCCCATGAGAGACTGGCCACTTCTCCTGGCCCTTCAGGGTTTGGGGATGGCACAGTGCTATTTGGTAAACATGAAATGTGGAGAGAAGCAGGGAGCAAGAGTAGAGGCAAAAAGAGTAATTTGCAAGGGAACAAATATGAAGAATGAAGAAGCAACAATAAAATGTCTGGGATAAAGAAATGCTCTCTAGATCTAAGGCTGATGAGAATTCTCACCGCAAAGACTTTCTCTTCTGCACAATCTCCCTTGGTTTTATGATTTAGATTTGTAGAGCACAGAAGTCAGTGGACTGGGGTGGTAATGAAGTCATTGAGGCAGCCAAGGTCTCCAGATGGGTCAAAGGGAACTTTCTGTTTCTGGCCATCAATCCACCTGGGCATGCCACAGAACTTTGCTGGCAGGGAGGTAGGACAAATTTCAATTCCAATAAATTGGAAGGTCAGGAAATGGTAGATAGAGGGTTTGGGTTTATCATAAACATTCCCTTTCCTTTACTTCTTTTCCTCTTGCTTTTAAAATTTAATATAAAAAGATAGAAGTATTTTGTTCGAAACAAAGTTTTTGAACAAAAAGTTCAAAAACCAAGATCTTTTCCTGAGATAAACTTCTGCTTCCCTCCTAGAGCAAGGAAACACATCACAAATGTGAAAGTGCTGGCAGATCCATGGGTCCTGTATGTGTTTACTCATAGAGTGGTGGGGGCAGGGGCCAGTGGATTGGGCTCACTTAGGGGGTTGTTATTTCTTTTCCATTTGTCACTTTTGACCCCAGAGGTAATTTTACAGAAATCTTTGCCAGAGTTCTATAATCCCCTAAATATTAACTTGGCCTTAACTCAACACACCACATTACAAGAGGTTCAGATAATTTCTAGTCTGAACAGTTTCTGGTCTCTGTTGCCAAAGCAAAGTTTTTAAAAGTACATCTAGGGATTCCCAGGGGGAGGCCTAATTACCTCCCTCTTGTGTGAACGGGGACTTCCCTTAGAAACAAATTGGCCCTTGGGCTGCTCGCTGCTCTCACTAAGCGGGGAGATGAGACTATAAAGCTGGCAGGGGGTGGAAAGATTGGCAGCCTCTCTTCCTGGCTCCTTAAATCAAAGAAAAATAATATTAGTTAATGTTTGATGATCTTGGCCTACAATTCCATGTCCAGGATATGTACTCCTGCAGAGTTAAGCTTGTTAAAGGAGAAGTAGGAGAATGCAATGGACTAAATCCACATTGGAGTCCTGAATTCTTAGAATGCTACGTTCCTTACTCTTCAGTAATCTCTTGGGTCATCAGTCATCATAGAGAAGATCCCCCAACTTCACAGTGCTAGCATCTGTTTTGGGACTGCAATAAATAATGCTGCTGGAACACCTAAGCTGGAATGTTAAGGGAAAGGACAACAATAAGACTCAGTTCTTGGTATCTATTCTGCCTCTGACCTGCTCAGTGGGCAAAAGCAGAGATGGGCAGGTACCTAGTTATGTGGGGATCAGAATGTGATCATGCCAATGGTAGAACTCTGCTAAAATGAAATAACTCCATGGTTTACTTCATTTACACAAAATTTTAAAAGAGTTTTCAAAAGGAGACAGTTGTGGGGGAAACTGACTGAACAGAATCTTATGGGGAAAAGCTTAGGTTCATAACTCCAATTTCATGTTTATTAGTGATGCTATAAAACTCTTAAGGACTCTAAGTTTTATTTTTGTTATATAAAAATGGGATTGATATTACATCATCAGATTGCTGAAAGCATTGTATAAGATACTGGATTTGACAGTGTTGCTCACATAGAATGGGCATGAAAAATTCAAGGCATGGTAAAACCCTGAGTGGCTGCTGCTTAATGTGGACATTTGACACTGAAAGAAGGAGGTTTGCGCAAGTGTTACCAATCCTAGAAGATATGCTTTTCCTGCTCAAAGCCAGGGAGGACTATAAAATCCCTCCTCTTACTGCAGTATCTTAAACAGTGCGTACTAAAAGAGAGGGACTCTCCTACTCCATGAGCATACAAGAACTGGGATATAGAAATGGCCAATTAAAAATAAATCCCTGTACTTGAAATATGAATTCTGAGCAACTGCAGACAGAATTTCCTGAAATTAGAATGAAAATATAAAAGCCATGATACAAGGAAGGGACACTTCTAATTCAGATGCCCAATCATTTGCTCACTTTTCAGTTATTTAACCAACATGGGAGAGAATAAGACACGGAAAAGGGATCAGCAAAAAGTGCAAAGCCCCTGCTTTTCCTACTCAAAGTGAGATCCCTGGACCAGCGGCATCAGCATCACCTTGGAGCTTGTCAGAAGTGCAGAATCTCAGGTTCTGATCCCAGATCTACTGAATCAGAATGTGCACTTTAATACGGTCCCCAGGTGTCCAGTGACACGTTCAAATTTTGAGAAGCGATGGCCCAGACAATGAAATAAGAGAATCTGAAGTGGACCAGGGCAGAGGCCTTTTTCCTCAAGCAAGGCTGCTGAGGGTTTCACTAATTCTGTAGTAAGGTAAGACTTAATCTGTGGATTATTTGGAGTTGGTAGGCTTTGCCTTTTATCCTTTTGGGGATACATTCCGAGGTAAAGGTACATTTTCGGGTTTTGCTGCTGGCAGATACTGGTTCAGATGGACCCCGAATCTTTAGATTCCTGAGACGACTGGGCATATCAGGTGAGCAGTAGCCTTAACAGAAGACGGCCGCCCCATCCTAATGAACTGCCACCCAGATATAACACAAGTTACAAAATCACTCTGTAAATTATAAAGGACTGTAAAAAACGTAGAGTAGGAATATCATCAAAGCACTGTCAATCAAGAGGGAGACCTGTAAGGCAATGTGCTCTTCTTTGTCTAGGCTGACTTTATCGTCTGGGCACAGGAGCAAGCAATAGGGTCTGGCCATGAGGATTAAAGAGCTAAGACATTGTCACTCTTGGCATTTGACACTGGAAGAGCAGGAAAAATGGTTAAAATTTTCCTATTTGATACATCTTCTCATAGTCTTCATCTCAAATATGATACTGTAACCCAATTTTAATTGATAGAAACATAGTTACCCAGAAATGGAGGATATACTTAATCAAAAACACATCAATAACTGACCTGGGGATAGAACTCCTACATAAAATTCTGTGATTCAATTCCTAGTCTACCTAGAATTCAGCCCTTACCTATAGCAAAGTTTATCTAACAGCCTTCAGGCTGCCAACTAATGAAAAGCCTATCTTTTGCTTTATGATGAATATGAATAATATTAAGAACCATTTTTCCTCAACTGTAACCCATCTTAGAGTAGCTGTATCTCAACCATGGCCACACTGGTGTGTGTTCATCACCTTTCATTTATTAAATCTCTTTCCTTTAGGTCCCAGAAGAAAGTTTAGGGAATAAAATATTAGGTATTAAAGAGAGCTCTCAGACTTAGTCTGGGTCCAGCTGTATCCAACATTTAATACGGTAGCTTTTAAACTCACTGTAGTAAAGAACTATTTTTTTTTTAAATTTTCATGTCACAGACCAATATTTTTGTAAAAATAGCAAAAATAAACTACTAGAGAAACGCAATGAATAAAACAAGACATACAACGTCCACTGATCAGGTACTTGGATATTACAGCAATGTTAAATTGCTATAAAAGTTCTAACTTCTTATTTTCTTATTTTTAATATCTGCAATCGCTTCATCACAGTCTGATAAGAAACAGTTTGCAGATGGGCACTGGTCTAGTGGATATGCCAACACCTATTATAATGCACACCTGTAACAAAGTGCTAATGCTACTCATTAACATTTACAGAGGGCTTTCTATGTATAGTCTTCACTGTTCTAAATCTGGTACATGAATTGCTTCTCACACAATCAAGGGAGGCTGACCCTATTAGTAACTCCATTTACAGATGAGGAAACTGAGGCACACTTAAGGTCACTTAGCTAAACCAACATTAAATCCAACTGTTTGCCTCCAGAGCTCTCACTTAACACTCCACTCTGCACACTTCCTCTAAGTAGGTGTGATTCAGGTTACATCTGAATCTACCCCAGGAATAAGTAATACATATTAGGGCACTGGTGATATAGCACGGTAACCAAGAAGAGTTATTACAATCTGATATCTCTGAATAACATCCTGTGGGAATCAGACACCAGAATAGAGTTGATATATAGTCACGGGAGCAACCCTTTGTATTAATTGGAAAAATGAATTTTGGCACCCTCTTTTAACACAAACTAAAAAGGTGTTCAAAACTCAGAAAATGTCATGCAAATGGCAACTTTAAAGTTCAATTATGACAGATACTAAAAAGGAATAGGGAGCATTTGGGGAACCAAAATAGTGAATAGCTAGGTCATCAGGGTCCAGGAAGAAGTGTCTGAGCACCAGCTGGCACCCTGGCCCTCCTCTCACGTGGGTTGTAGAGGGTCAAGGTCCTCTTACCTCTTCTCCCACAAACACCCTTTTTCCTCATTCCCTAGGCTAGAACTTTGGTGTTCTCTGTCTTGCTTGAAATGGGAAGCCAGCGCATGGGTGCCTCATGAAAAGCTTTCTTTTTTTGTGTGCCCTGTGTTTTGAACATTGCTATGTTACAGAAAATGGACCTGGTTCCCCATGAAGCTGATATTACATTGCCCGCACTCCATACTGGGGCTGCCCGAGTCTCTACCCTACTGTGTCCTTACATGGCAGAGCCAGCCTGTCTGAGGTCTCACACTCCCTGGGCCTGCTTCATTGTCTCCAAAGCTGATAACAATGTCTCCTACCTACATCTCGTGCTGATAGATGAATTCCTGAAATGCCTTTAAAGACCTTCACATCACCCTAAATGCTGCGTTAAGGGAGGACAACTGGTGGAGTAAATGAATAACAGCTGGAACATAAATGGTACCACATGTCAGACTTAACCTCTTCAGTAAGAAGACGGGCCCAAAACCGAAGCCTTTCCTTCCTTTTCCATGCACAGAGGAGTAACAACAGCCACAGCTACTGCCACAAATGGCTGTTATGATTTTCTTTTTACACAAGTGATCACCATAGACCTCTCTAGATTGAAAAGAGATACTCGTTTCCTATCAAAACTCTTGTTTCATTCTTAAAATTTACCTTGGTGGGGCAAAATTATAGTCAGCTTTTCCTAAGCAGGGGGCAATGCTGACCAGAATGTCCCATGTTTTTAATTATGGTTCTGAACTGACTCGTGTACCTTCCCTGAACCAACAGCTGCTTTCAAAGAATTAATTTCTCTTTGTACGAACATGTCTTACCTAAAAATGTGGAAGTTCTTGTGAACACTTTAAGACCTTATTTTTCCTTCCATAGAGCATGGGCTGTGAATACTAGCTCTTCAAGTCTGTGGAAGAGTAGAGGGACACAGAAGGACACCTAATACTCCAGGCCAGGATGGCATGTGCTGGGAGGTGGAAAGGTTGTATGAACTGTGGGAGCTCAGAGGAAAGCACAGATCACTATGTGTGATGGTGGGTGGAAAAGGCCTCATGGAGAAGTAGTACCAAACTGGAGTCTTGGTTCTGAATGCCAGCTTTCAATGGGAAGAGAGGCACAAAGAGGGCATTCTAGAAGGTGATGGTAAAGGTTAGTGGGGTACCTCTTTGGGGAGGAATAGGCAAAAGTTACCCTTGACATTCCTTTAATATTCTTTTGAATTATCCATGAAATACTGTGAAAACTGTAACTCTTATCCACATTGAAATTTGAGATTCACTGGACTAGATTAAAAGAAGAAATTAAGAGAAACTTAATGAACTGATGTCTGGGCATTTGTATTACTGGCCCTCCAGGAATTACCATGGACTCACAGCAAGAATTTTACTTTGTTCTTGCCTGTCTGCAAGGTTTACTCTATTACGCTCTACTATGAAGTTTCTATTATCCCGATGCATATGAAAAGACTTTTTGTTGTGAGGATTAAACAAATCAGAGGGGAAAGCTCCTAGCACAGGAGCTACCATGTGGTAAGAGCTGGTTTAAAGCTTGATCAGGCCTACATATGCAGAATTTTTTGCAGAGTTGCAGAGAAGAACTTGGCCCCCTGTTCTCTGCAGTTTGTGTTGTGGACTCAGTGAAGAGCGATTACTTTCAAGGTCTTGGACAATGTCTTGGGGACATGATGTCTAAGCATGTGCATTACTGTTATTTCAGTAGAGTTAGGTTCTGATGTGACTCCCAGGATGTCAAGATGGGAACTCTGGAATGACAGGTTGCAAAGGGCCTCGTAGTTGAAAAGGTTCTTTACAGGCTGTGTTGCTTGAGTATACATTAGGGCCACACAATACATCAAATATGTCTCTTTGCTGTACTCCATTTCTTTGATGTTCATTGCATGGAATGTAGGATAAATGGAATTCTGGAGCCACTCCAAGGAAGACAGATTTCCTGGAGTCATTTTTCTTTGAATATAGTTGAGTTACCCTATTTTCCCTTCATTCTCCTGCATGTGCTATTGTTTTATTTCCTTCCCTCCTTTGTATCATCTCTTTTCACTTATACCAAAGTCAGATTTACACCTATTCAGTCAGTTTTGACTATAATTTCGCTTTCATTATCCCTTTCTGTTTTCAGGCCTGATTCTTAAAGTGAAGAGCAAGCATAAAATCTCATAATCACTACCACCATCACTACCAAAACAACAAAAAAAACGCAACATTCATGTAACTAAGCCAGAGGATTGGAGAAACTATAATCACACACTTTGTCTTAAACTTTTCTTACACAAACAACTTCTTTTTCCCCCATGACTTTCACGGCTTTGGCTGAAGTTTGCAGGCTGGATCTGAGGGAACTGTAACCTTCCTCTACCCTCCTCTGCCCCAGGCCTGTGTCAGGACCCTTTCTCCTTTTTTCCTTGGGTCTCCCCTTCTGCTTTTTGCCATCATCATCCTCTCTCCCTATCTTTTCTCATTTGTCATATTTATCTCCCACTGCTGCTTTCTCTCCACAATTTCCATCCCTCAAAGTTTCCATCCCCAACTGGGGCCTGTGCCTAACCTCCTACTAAGACCACCTGTGACAAATTGCCCCCATTCTGATGGTGCCTGATTATAGCAGCCTCCCTGGCGCCACATTCATTTGGCAAAGGCATCTTCTAGGCAATGATCACTCCACTGCTCAGCTCAGCCAGTTACAGAGGTGCCCAGAGCTCACCCTCTCCCTCCCCAGCTTCAACTGGGCCCTGGCAGACAAATAACTTGATGTTGAAGGGTAGATAGGACTTGCACGGTATTGAAAGGTATAGATCTCTTCTCCAACCTGACACCTTCTCCTTTGCAATGCATAATAGCCCTTGTACCCTTTTGCTTCTTCAGAATTAATTTAAAAAATATAAATGCTTTGCTTGGCTGTCCTGTTATTTAGCCTCTGTTGGTTTATTATTTACATATAAACATTCTTTCTAAAACAGGAGCAGGAAAAGTGCAAGTGGGCTCACCTGGTGCTTCTAACAAAACTCACTTAATTTATTCAGTCATTTGGCACAAGAAAGCCTCCTGTCTGCTTCAGTTTTCCATTCTTTCTAGGATGCTAATTGTTTTTCTTTTGATAATCTTGTAGTTTTGGCCTGAAGTCTAAAATCTGGCCTGCTGGGCTACATGTCAGATTTGTAAATTAGATGACATCTGTTTTGAATTTTATCATCTTTAATTTTCTTTCAAGCTCCCTTCACTTATTCATTTCCCCTTTAATTGTAAGGATCAGATTTTGCTGCATGCTTTAGACAAAAGTGCAGACCTTTCTGCTTTGGGGGCAGGTTAAAATGACTGAAGTTAAATGGTCACAATGAAGGGTATTCAAGGAAAAGATGTTGGGAGAGAAGCCTTAGCAACCATTCCAGAGAGGATGAGCCGTTCAGACAAAAGGCTGGCTGTCCACACGAGGGTTTAGAGATTCCCACTGAATAATTACAATCGATTAGAAGAAGATTGACAGCGAGGGGTTGAACTGAGAGAAGTATTTTCAATTGAGAGAGGTTGAGGTGGGGGATGATGGCAGTCGTGGTAGGAGGTGAGTGGTGACCTTTTCATCTCTTTACATTTCATTTTGCCCTTTCTTTGTTTCCTACTCTCCTGCCCTCTCACCTCAGAAAAATACTAAAAAAAAAAAAAAAGATATTTAAAATGCATTCTCATACATGCAGACTCATATTTTCATAGTGGGACCTTATTTTTTCTTCCTACCTACATATCTCCTAAATTCTTCTTTTCATGGGGAAATTGTTCATTGCTAATTGGGTTGGGCCTTGATATGGTTATGCTTTGTGTCCCCACCCAAATCTCATCTTGAATTATAATCCCCATAATCTCCACGTGTCAAGGGAGAGACTAGGTGGAGGTAATTGAATCATAGGGGCAGTTTCCCCCATGCTGTTTTCGTGATAGTGAGTGAGTTCCCATGAGAGCTGATGGTTTTATAAGGGGCTGTTTCTGCTTTGCTTGGCACGTCTTCTTGCTGCCTTGTGAAGATGGTGTCTTGCTTCCCCTTTGCTGTCTTCCATGATTGTAAGTTTCCTGACGTCTCCCAGCCATGCCGAACTGTGAGTTAATTAAACCTCTATCCTTTATAAATTACTCACTCTCAGGCAGTTCTTTACAACAGTATGAAAATGGACTAATACAGGCCTACTTATTAAAAATATATTTTCCTGTTAAGATGCCTATGTAACACACTTATATAATATTTTTTCTCTTTATATAAAGCTTTTCACATATATAATCTCAGAAATGTCAACTGGCCTCTTGAAACCTTGTGTCCATAGGGAAAATAGAGAATAGGTGAGCACTGGCCAGGACATGGGCCAAACTTTCACTCATGGCACATGTTAGCCATGGCTTGGAGAAGACACACAGTTCAGCTGTGCATACAGCACAGAATGGCTCCCTCAAATACCAGCTGCAGAGACTGTAAACCAAACTTCTGAAACCACGTCATTAAAATTGGCCAACAGCGACTTTGTGGGTGCATATAAATGGCAAATCTTTTTAATGATGCTGGCCTTGACTCTCCTGGATGCTGCCATGTGTTCAGGTCATTGCCAGTTAACTTATGGGTCTATGAAAATGCTATTTTTGAATGGTATATATATATATATATATATATATATATATATATATATATATATATATATAGTAGTGATTCTCAAGTGGGGGAGGTTTTTGTTTCCTTGGGGACATTTAGCAAAACCTGGAGACATTTTTGGTTGTCACAATTGAAAGGGGGTGCTTCTTCTATCATCTAGTGGGTAGAGGCCAGCACATTGCTGGTGAATATTCTATAATGCATATGGCAATCTCACAACTGAGTGTTATCTAGCCCAAATATCAATAATACCAGGGTTAAGAAACCCTTGTAATAGGCATCTGTATATCAAACCAGGTGACAACACATTTTTATATGCTCAATCAAACTCATTGTGTTGAAAGAAAAGGAATTTACCGACTCTACCTCTGTGAATAGTTATTGACTTTGATGACACTATTGGTCAGATTACATTCTCTGTGTGTAGGGGTTAAGAGATCGTCCCAGGTTGGCTTCCCTCCTGCGAACTCCTTTCTTGGTTATCAGCATCATCTCCATTTCTATGCGGTCATTCAAGCTACATATCTCTGGGTGTTCATCCACCCCCCTCTTCTTCTTACTCCACCTCCAATAGGTGATCACTTCCTCATAATTTTGTGTCCTCTAATATAATGATCTGCCCTGACTTCTTAGGCTCTCATCATTTTGTCTAGACCTCTCACTTTGTCTCTTGCCAACTGGCTGCTCCAACCAAATTAATTCAATGCTTCATGATGTTAGTTACTCGTGATTTACTTATTCATTTGGTGAAAATATTTGAGTGCTTACTATCTGTTAATTCCTGTGCTAAGAGCTGTGATCATTCTCTGGATTAAAATCTTTCCAAGCCTCCATGTTGCTTACAGAACAAACCCTTGCTTCTAACACAGCATGAAAGGCCTCTGATAATCTGCCTCTGACCTAACTTTTCAACTTACTTTCCTGCCCTACTGAACAAATTATCTTTCCTCAGTCTGAGCACATATTATTAAGCCCTTGTATCTTTGTATGTGCTATTTTTTTTAATTTGTGGTATCCTTTTTACCCTTATCTGGGGAATTTTCGTTCATTCTGTGCAACTTGACCTAGTGTCTAGAGAAATGCTTGGCACATGGAAGATAATAAATAGGAAATGAACTTAAATTTTACCTTCTCTGTGAAATATTCGACTTTCTGGCTGCTGGTCAGTACATCCCTTTTTCACCATAGCCCATTGTATGCACTTTTAGCACATCACATCCTCTGACTGTGACTCTTGATGGTAAGGATAGTACCTTATATCTCTTAGGACCTCCAGGCTCTACACCATGCTGAACATAAAGTAGACCCAAATGACTAAATGCTCACTACTCTATCAAGATGGCTTCTCATGGAATTCTTGTTTCACACTGGAAATGGCATGCATCATTTGTTATTCCAAAAAACCCACAGAATTTGACACTAGTCTCAAATGGGCCCCACCCTCCTCCATAACTGAGCACCTTCCATTGCCTGTGATCTGAATTATGGAGATGGGGTCGAGTCCATCCTCTGTCATTTAGTCATTGTGTAACATTGGGAAGATATTTAACCAGTATCTGAGCCTCTGTTTCTTCTTCTATAAAGTAGGAGTAAGTGACATCTGCCCTTCTTGCCTTGTAGAATGGTCATGAGGATCAAATGAGATTACATACATAAAGGGCTTTTGTAACTTCTAAAGGTCATAAAGCTTTTTAAGTTTCTCTCTATTCAAACCAGAGCAAAAACAAATAAAACCCCTCCCTCAACCTTGCATGGCCTTGTATATTTTTTCCAAAGACAAGCTTCTTGAAAAGGCCAGTTTGTGCATTGTGTCCACTCTCTCTGCAAGCCCCATCACCCTGTTTTCTGCTAGCCACACCAATGGCAGCTTCCTCACCTCAATCGTCAATAATTTCCTCATGGCCAACACCTATGCACACTTTTCTGCTCTTCCCTCACTTGATCTGGCTCATCTGCCTCTTCCTGAGACATCCTCTGCACTGGGGCCAGGGTGAGCTTCCTAAAATCTGGACTGATTATACCCTGCCATGTACAAAGCTCCACAATCACTCCTCACTGCTTAGAGGGTAAAACTGAACTCCTTAGTCCACTCTGTTGAGCCTATCATCCACTGGTCCCTGCCTACCACTTCATCAGCATCTCCTAATGTTATTTTCCTTGTAACATAACCCTAGTCATACAAAATGACTTCTGTTTCCAGAAAGTGCTTTTTCAAATGCTGCCCAAAAGACAGCCTGGTGAAATCTGGTCATCTTTCACTACTTGGTTCAAAATATCACCTCTTCAGAGGAAACTCTTCTGATAACAACTTCCCACCCCTCTCCCTTTGATGCAGAAGTACATACTCTATCTCTGTATTTTCCATGCCCCTTGAACTCATCTTGATAAGCATAACCTTTCGGCCATTCTGCTATTCTCCCATTATGCACTTAAATATTTATCTCATACTAGTCAGTGAGCTTCTTGAATACAAGAAACCTGCTATTATCTCTCTATATATGTCTAGCTTCCTGATACATAGTAAGCTATGTTTGACTATTCAGTATGACAATTTAAATTGTTAACTGCTTGTTGAGTAAATAAACGGGTGCTATAAAATATTACTTGCACTATGTTCTAATTCTTTTACCATATTTTGTGAACCTTTTAAATTTATTGTTTTGTTACATTCTGGTTTTCACACATTTAGAAGAAAGATTCTGGCAAGTGCCATAATTTATACAGATATTATTCTCTGTTGAGATACAGGTTTTAGCTTCCTTTGGAAGTTAGAGAGGCTTAACTGTCTGCATTCTACCCCCACAGGTGCACAGCAGCTCCCTGAGGTACACAGAAGCTCTTGCTCACCTGCCACTTCCAGCCTTGGTATTTTCCAGTTGTCGGGTAAGGAGTTTAGCAATGGCGGTGAAGCTGTTGCTCATGCGGAAGATGTCTCTGCTCTGAGGGCCCAAGATTGAGGAGAAGGTGTCGGTGATGCTTTTAATCTCCAGCAGGAGAATATGGTGAAACGAATGCTCCATGTTGGCCAGTTGGCTCACCAGGTATGTCAGGCAGCTCCTGGCTCTCTCCTACCAAAAACAATGAAGAAAATAGGTTTATCTTTTAGAAGAAAATCATCCAGGCATGGTGGTCATGCCTGTAATCCCAGCACTTTGGGAGGCTGAGGTGGGTGGATGGCTTGGAACTCCTGATCGAGAACAGGAGTTTGCAACCAGCCTGGGCAACATGGTAACACCCCATCTCAACTTAAAAATACAAAAACTAGCCGGGCACAGTGGCACATGCCTGTAATCCCAGCTACTTGAGAGGCTGAGGCACGAGAATCACTTGAACGCAGGAGGCAGACGGTGCAGTGAGCCAAGATTGTGCCACTGCACTCCAGCCTGGGAGACAGAGGGAGACTCGGTCTCAGAAAAAAAAAATTAATAAATAGAAAAGAAAAAATCAGAGTCCCATGAGCAGCAGATGATAATTCTATAGGGAGCTGACTCAGAGAGCTAGCTCAAGTTGAATAATCAGTTTCATTCATAGTTCCTCTGAGTCTGCTTCTTTGAGATTTTTAATTTATTCCTGATTTCCAGGACAGACTAATATGCAAACATACTCATTAACCTATCTTTCCAGGTCAAAACCTCTCAACCATCATAAATGATGAGACCCCACACATGCACCTCTCACAACTATGTGAGCTGCTAACTCCACCTGCACGGGGCAGGTACGGTCCATGGTCTCAAAGTGAGCCTTGACCCTGGCACACTTAAACCATCTGTCTGTCGGGGTGATGGTTGCATATTCCACTAGTGTGCTAGGTTGATTTCCTTGCTGCAGGTTTTCTCACTGACTTGTTAACTTTAAGCATCTTTCAGTGTATTACAGTTTTTATATGCTTGGCCGATTGAGTAGATTATATTATCTAGGTTTAACCAAGCTAACTTTCACAGTCATTTAAGTTCCTTCAAAGAATGAAAGATTAAGGACAATATGAATAATGTAGGCATGAGCAAATAAGAAAATGGCTTAGCTGACACATCTCTTATACCTATTAAAACTCCTCATTAGCCATATTTTGAGGCAACATGATCTAATCTGACATGACTGGAAGTTAGCCAAAAAATTCAATATTCAAAATTATTGAAAAGGTTATTTGAAATGTAGATTTGTGCCCAATAGAAATAATGATATACCATTAATAAATAACAATTTAAAATATGGCTTATTTCACCTTTAACTTTTCTTTTAAAATCTTATTTTTGTGTATGTCTAAAATTTTTTCTTGTTAGTATAGTGGAACATATGTATAAATATAAATAAATATATACTGGAAGTTGCTGCTCACAATCCTTCTGACTAACTGGTGCACAGATCTAGATTACTCTTCTCGTTAGGAATTCTTATTTACCCTTTGTGCTAGCATTTGAAGCCTTAATTTCCTTCAAGGTGCAACTCTTCCATGCAGCTGTCTCCAGTGACTCCTGTGTAAATTTTTACTGCATTATAGACTCTTTAAAAATCTTAATTTTATTTTATTTCAGTATCTTTTTGAGACAGAGTTTTACTCTGTTGACCAGGCTGGAGTGCAGAGGTGTGATCATGGCTCACTGCAGCCTTGACCTCCTGGGCTCAAGCTATCCTGCTGCCTCAGTCTCCTATGTAGGTGCACCACAGGTGTGTGCCACCACACTCAGCTATTTTTTATTTTTATTTTTTTTTGTAGAGACAGGGTCTCACCGTGTTGCCCAGGCTGGCCTGGGCTCAAGTAATCCTCCTGCCTCAGCCTCCCAAAATGCTAGGATTACAGGCGTGAGCCACCGTGTCCAGCCAAAAATCTTTTTAGTACTTAATTGCATTTGATCATTTGCTTACTCATGCTTTTATTTAATCACCAAATAGGTATGGCATGCCTATAATATGCTTTTACTAGACTCTAGATAACAAAGGTGAATGAAAGGATGCCCTTGCTTTTAAAGAACACACAATCCCCCTCACCTTTTATTTATAATTTCCTAATGGTTACATGTGCCAGTCAAGTCTTCTAAAGGAGCTACTTCTCAGTCATCAGTCATCAACCTGGCACTAAATTGAGCCTGTGGATTCTACACCCAGTGTGTGTGTCTCAATTTACTGATTTAAGAAAACCTTATATATCAAAATATGACCTTATAAATAAAGTATGTTGTTACAAAGGAATTCTGTGCTTTACAATAAATATTTAATACAGAACAAATTTAAGTAGTGAAGTTCCCTCATTTTTGGTACTTGATTTTCAAAGATTCCATGTACAGTTGCACTGGAACATATCTCTTGGGGTAAATGGGGTACTTCTGCCATCAATCCCTTATTTATTTTTTAAACCCCACTAGGGCACAGTGTCCTGTATGGGTATGTGAGACAGAGGCTTGTGCTTTCATGAGCTGGACAGCTAGTTGAAGCTAAAGACATCTATTCATCAAAGAATAATGTTAGATGAATGAAAATAAAAGACCCCTGGAATATGTTCCTGGAGACCCTGTTTCATATTTTGGGTCATACAATTGCCAGGTTGCAGAACAATACTTAAATGCTCTTGGATCCAACAGTTTTTGTTTTTTTTTGCAACATAGACTCATTTATTAATTCAAAGTCTCCATGTGTGAATTCATGATATGCAATGCATCAAGGGACATTTTCTATTCCTGATTTAAAGGTAAAAGCTGGATGTGGGGGGTCCCTACCATATGCCAGACCCCCTTCTAGAAGTCAGGAACATATCACTGAAGAAAAAGCACAAAAATTCCTGCCACAATAATGAGGCAGACAGACAATAAACAAAATATCTTTGTAAAATGTATAGTGTGTTAGATGGAGAAACGTGCCTCAAAGGAAAATGAAGCAGAAGGGGGAGCCAATGGTAAATAGTGTACTTAGGACACATCTCAGAGAGAAGGCGACATTTGAATTTGGCAAGGTTTCAGACTCTAAACTCAACATTCTCAGTAACCTTAGAAAACAATTACCATAAATTTATCCTGCTTGATATAGGGTGGTAGGAAGATACAGGAACTGAATTTTATATGCTGTTTGTCCTACTAAGATGTAATTTAAAATTTGAGGTAACTTCCTTACTTTCAGAAGTAGATTTTTCATTAGAATTTTTAAAAACCGTTTCACAAACATTTCATTTGCTTATGCAATAAGTGTCCCCATGGTTTCATTAAGAATCCTTCTCACTATAAAAATTTGCAAGCCCCTTCTTTAAAGCATGTGTCTTTTAAAAGGTGAAGGTCGTTGTTTGGGTATTTGCCGAAATCAACATAATTCTGAATGATCGCTGGCAGCCAACTGAGTTGAAGGGAAAATTAATCACAGTGCAGGAACAGGAAAAATTATAACTGCTCTGGAACTAAAGTATGAAACCAAGCCAACCTCACATCATTTGTTCTGAAACCTTGGAGCACATCCATGTACCTCACAGGGGTAACAGATGTGATTTTGGATTAGAAAGTGTAATATTAGGGCAGGAAGGGGGTTAGGAGATTCTGATTTCCTTCTCAGCTTCATGATATTTTGCCTCTGAGGGCTAGTGACTGGATTTTCCTGCTTTCAGTCACCCCATTGAGGGGTAGGGTCAGCACCTGTAAGCCTTAATTGTGGGTCTGACCTTATCCCTGCTGACACAAATTCATTGTTTATTATTAAACAAAAATAGCTGGCCCAGAGAGGGCACTTACTCTAAGCACCAAGCATATTCTATACTCTTTTCAGGTATTTACTCATATAATCCTCCAAATAATGCTATAAGTACTAGAATCATTGCCACTTTAACAAGGAGGAAACTGAAGCACAGATAGGAGACTAACTTGCTCAAGGCCACATATGCCCTCCCTGTTTCTACATCTAGACCCTCACTTGCTATACTGCCAGCTCCTCCCATCAAAAAAAAAAAAAAAAACTAAATGACCTATGCACATATTTTTCCACTCCTTTTTCCTACATCTCATTCATCATCAGAGTTATGTGGTCTTTTTTGTTAACTATTTTTAATTTAGTTATATAAATATTATAAATACTCTGTATATACAAAATAGATCAGCAATTCTCAAATCTTTTGGTTTTAGGACCGCTTTACACTCTTGAAAATGATCAAAGATCCCAGAGTTTTTGTTATCTGGTTTATATCTATTGGTATTGGCCATATTGGAAGTTAAAATAGGCAATTTTTAAAATGTATATTTTCATTAAAAAATCACATTTTCAAAAACAAAAAATTTAGTGAGAAGACTGGCATTCCTCTATATTTTTGCAAATTTCTTTAGTAACTTGTTAATAGATGACATCTATATTCTCATATGTTTCTGTATTTGATCTGTTAAATCTGGCCTCATAAAGATTTGAAGTTAGAAAAGGGAAGACTATTTTCAAAATAGCCTTGATAATTGTGAATATTCTTCTTGGACGCTACACCAAAACTCAACAAGTAGTTTCTCAAAGGTTAGTTGTGATATGTGACTTTAATTAACTTTGTATCCTATTACATTAAAATCCACTGGTCTGTCTTGCACTTTGATTAAATCTTTTACCTATGCATGACTTTGAAATATTAAGCATTAGTCATTTGGAAAAATATGGGTTTACTGTGTTAGGCATATCTTCCAAAGTTTGATGCATTTCATTATATAATATAAAAAACATTGCATTCACTATTTTCACCACTGATCTCATCAGAAAAGTCTTTTAAGTATTGGGAAACTTTCAAGTTCACAGTGGCAGATAATAGATTTTCCAAAACTCCAATTTTCATTTGCAAGCTCAAATTGTATCACTGGCAGCAAATACTAGCATCAGTAGTTTTGCTTGAAATGAAAGGCTCACTTCATTCATTTTCTGGATAATGTCTACCAAACAGCCCCAAACAAATAATCATAGATTGTTCATTAGTTGTTACTTCAAGTAAAAATGGTTCCACAAAAAAAAAAAAAAAAAAAAAAAAGTGGTTAGTTTGGCACATAGGCAAATAACACAAGGTTTTTTTTTCTTAAGATAACCACTGAATTTCTGTATTTCAATCAGCAGCATAAGTGCCAAGCCAATGAATCCTTCCCATTTAGCCAGAGAGAAACTTAAGAAGATGTGTACTCAGGATTGAGATTTAATAAAATTAATAATTTCTACTGCTTCATCAGGTTAATTCAGTGGTTTCCAGGGGGAGGCAGTGGGGAAAAGAAAGGGAGAGGAGTGATTTTTTTCCTCCCCAGAGGGCATTTGGAGAATGTCTGGAGACATTTTTGTCACGACTAGGAGAATGGGAGGGCTAGTGGTATCTGGTGGGTAGAGGCCAAACACCCCACAATGCACAAGACAACCACACAACCGAGAGTTGTTTGGTCCAAAATGTCAATATTGCCAAGGCTGAGAAACACTGACTTAGGAGAAACTGGCTCTTTTTTTCTTGTCCTGCAAACGTGTGGTGGTAAAGAATATGACTACGAGTACAGTGTGGTGCCACTGTCTTGTCTTGGTTTGTGCCTAGGCACTTGCAGTTTAAACCACCATTGCTTTGTTCTATTAATGCAAATGTCAACACAGTGAAAATGGTAAATAATGTCTTAGTATTATTGTAAAAATAGCTTTGACCTTACAGATTCCCTGAAAAGGTCTTGGTGTCCATGGACCATGCTGAGTATTGATGAACTCAGGATCAGGAGTCAAATAAATATTTTCTCTAAAGGAACAGACAGTAAATATTTCCAGTTTAGTGGGTCAGATGGTCTCTTGTTGTGGGAAAAGAGCTAAAAGCAATAAGTAAATTAGTGGATGTGGCTGGATTTGGCCCACAGGCAGTAATTTGTTGACCCCTGAACTAGATTATATGTTTGCAAAATTGCATTGGCCATTTTTTTCACTTTTTATTATTTTGTTTTTTTAATACTACTACTCCAGTTTCATAAAGGTGCTCTGCTATCCTTTGTCAGAAAAACAGAACACAACTCAGAAAATGGCCAAACATGAAAATGTGGGGGTCTGGATAATAACAATAGTTTCCATTCACTAAGCATCCACTGTATGTCTGGTACTTGACATATGCATTTTAACTTAATCTTCACAATGACCTTGCAAAATGAGTATCTAGATGAGGATATTGATGTAAAGAGGGATAGTAACTTCACTAAAGTTGCACAGGTATAATATAGCTATAAGTGGCAGAGCCAATATTAAATCAAGATTCATCTGATTCCAGAGTTTGAATGTTTCCACATCACTAGGGCTGATAAAAACCATTTAGGGCAGCTCTGTAGGCTGCAGCCCTCCTTTCTGTACTCCACCTGTGGTAGACGTCACCAGCTGATGATAGCATTCTTTCTTCCCTGCTGAACCCAGAAGTTTCCTGATGTTCTTTCTCAGTGCTGTCCTCCTTGTGAGTGGTTCTCAGCACTGGCTGCACATTAGAATCCCCTGGAAAGCTGTTAAAACTATTCTAATGCCACGTAAATCTCTCCTGCTTCCCAATTCCTGTTCAATTTTATTGAAATGGGTGGAGCTCAGGCATAGGAATTTTTAAACCCCTTGGATGATTCAGATGTGCAGCCAAAGGAGAATCACTGGTCTATGTGGAGTCCTAAATCTCTGAGAATTTGAGAATTTGCTGATGTAGGAAATGTGGATTTGGCCCTATAATCCACATTTTTCTCTCCCCTGTCTTTTATCACTTTACAAATGTAAAAAAATAATAATATATTAGTTGCCTGAATGAAAATATTGCATTTCCCGGGCATTTGTATTTTACACCATTTGATTTAAACACAATCTTTCTTCATAGTTCAACTCTTTGAAGTCTCTACACACATCAAAGATACACTTGCAAGGGCCATTAGAAATGTAAAGCAAATGAGTTTTTTGTTAATGTTCTCTCAATGGAACTTTGCCAGAGTGACTCCAGGCTTTTCTTAGGAGCCTTCAAAAGCCTGAGTGTGGCCAGTGATGCTTAACTGCCTGGGGGCGTATTTATTCCATGAGAGTCTCTTTCTTAATTGAAGAGACTTAGCTCCAGACCAAGAGTTGAAGGGTTTGTACTAGACTCTCCTCCCACCCCAATGCTTCTTTGGCTGTGAGAAACTCTGGTACTGGGGGAGCAATTCTTTGCCCCAAGATTTTCCCAGTTTTAGAACTGCAAGCCTCTTGTCCCTTGTCCTGGGAAACTCCTTAATCATGGGCAAATCAGGACAGTTGACCACCCTCCTCTGGAGAATGTAGGCAGGTAGAAAATTCAACTCAGAGGACTCTGTTCAATAGACTCATATTGCAGGTGAATATGATGATATATCACTCTATATGCTTCCCTATACAGATACAGTTGGCCCTCCATATTGGAGGGTTCTACATCCACAAATACAACCAATTGCAGGTCAAAATATTTGGAAAAAATAGAAAACAATATAACGATAAAAATAATACAAATAGAAACACAGAATAACAACTATTTACATAGCATTTACATTGTATTAGGTATTATAAGTAATCTAGAGATGATTTAAAGCACACAGGAAGATGTGCATATGTTGTATGCAAGTCCTGTGCCACTTTATATAAGTGATTTGAGTATCCTTGGATTTTGGTATCCACGGGGGTTCTGGAACCAATTTTCCTCAGATATTGAGGGATGACCATATATAATATGTTGATTCTTGTTATTTGGGAATAACAAGTAGCTATGTTCCATAAAATTACAACCCTGAATTAGACAATACTGAAGTATTGCTTCTAGAGGAAATTCAGGGTTAGTTTCCTGCAAGCCTCTGGTTACATTTTTGTTAACTGATTCATACATAACATTGTTATATGTGTGTTTCTGTTTAAAGCTATTTAATATATACTGTTGATTCATTAAATTTGAACCCATGGCCAACAGCAAGGTAATTTATGCCTGAACAAAACTTATCCAACATATGTATTTTCTCCATGAGGCATATCACAGTCTTCTTGTGGTTAGGAACACTAGAGAGCACTTTAGTACTATACTTGGGGGACACTTTAAACAGTGAAATCACCAAAAACAAACAAAAAAAAGCATGAAGATAAGAAAAATGTGGCAATAAAGAGGCCATGAAAAGAATAGATACTTGTTTACAGTATGAGAGCTGAACCAAGACAGCAGGGCATCACTTTGTTCAACCTCAGCTGGGGACAACTGAAGTTTTTTGCTACTCTGTGCACATCTGTGAATGACTTTGTAACCCCAAATCAATACTATAGTGCTTTCAAAGACATTTTTAGCAAGTAGGTAAATTTGAAAATATAAAATCACAGAGCTGGATGGATGGATAGGTAAATAGATGGATAGGTAAGCAGATAGATAGATAGATAGATAGATAGATAGATAGATAGATAGATAGATAGATAGATAGATAGATAGAAATGCGTACATAGATGGACCAATCCATTGATGGATTTCAGATCTTTGTGGATCTTCTGTAAAAGGAAAAAGATTTTCCAAAGCATTAGGGGATGAATTTCTATGAAACTCCTTGCAGTCATGCCCAGAGAGATGCAAGATCAGCTTTACTGAGGTCAGCTGAAATTTTATTTGATTTTAGGTCTTCAGCATATTTTCCAGTTTATCTTCCCTTCTACTTGGCTACCATGGGCAGATTTTCTTATTGCCTTTGCACTAATTGGGCTTTTCTTTCATTAGCAAATTACTAATCATCCTAATCCATGTGAGCATTGTTTTCCATCCACATATTAATTCTTCTCTCCATTACATATTGTTTTATAAATGTGACCCAACTCAGGTGTGCAGATTGAAGACTGGGGACAGTCATTTGCTTTTCACTTGCAACCTGGTTGTTTATAGAAGAATATGAAAAGTGTGGGTAGCACTGGCATATGCTGAAATACTTTTACTTTCTTGGTTCTCACAATAAAAGACAAAAAAAGTTTGAACAATGTAATTTTTAAAAAGAAAAGATCCATTTGGTTTGGGACAATGAGTTAGGGTTACGATTATAATTCCAATCCCATAGAATGAGAATCCAATCCCAATCTCATAGAATGAGAATTGTAATTTTAAGAAAGTCAAAGGAGGAACTTTTCTACTAATCCTTTTTCAAATGGATCCTGATGTGCTTGGTAAGACATTTATTAAGTAGTGTTAAGTGGAGATATTGAAACTTGTTTTATTTTTGGAGTTGGTTATGAATTGGTTATTTGTGACCATTTTTTAAAAAACACCTCATTTTGTTTTGTTTTGTTTTGTTTTCTAAGATGGCAGATTAGAGGATTTTCAGAGTGCCTCAGCCATTTGGAAATAGCAAGATAGTACATAAAGATCAGCTCTGTGAGCTTTAATTCAAGAAGGAGAATGGGACTCCACCAGAATCATGAAGGATACCCCAGATCCTGGAGAGGAAAATGCTGGAATAAAGCCCCCATGACAGCATCTGGCTGATAAAAGCTGAAACATGTTTCTGGCCAGCCCACCAAGCTGTGGGTGGTGACCTGTTCCCATTTGCCAGACTAGGGGAAAAGAGCTGCGACCCTTCTGGAGGCCCAGACCTCAGGACTCCCTGAGCCAGAGCTGTGACACGCTGTAACATCCCCTCGGGGCTCCATGGTTGCTGGCATCTCCAAGTTTTTGGGCACCACCACATTCCTCTTGTCCAGATGCCAGCGCCCAAAGCGGAAGCTGCTTGAGGCATGCCTGGTCCAGCCACAGCCTTGCATGGAGCTTGCAACTCTGCTGATGCCTGGAGCTGCCTGCCACAGCAGCTGGTGCACCTGGCTTGCTGCGGCCAGATCTTGTACTTTGTCACTCACACACCCCTTGCCGTTCCACGCCTGTCTCACCTGTGGTGGGCATGGGGTCTGGGCCAGTAGTGTGAGTCAAGCACAGCCTGCCAGGCTGAGTGGGCAGAGCCAGCCCAATGGTCACAAGGAAAACTTGGGCAGAGGTGCCACTGGCCATAGAGGTTTCCAGCTGCCAAAGCAGCACCAAAAGAATCCTGTGTCATCAGTACATGAGAGGCAGAGAGCCTCCTTTGTGACTCATTTTTCCACTGGGGATCCAAGCCACCCAAGCTGAGGGAGAGCAGTTTGTTTCTTTCAAGCCCTAGAGCTAACTTGGGGAGAGGCTCTTGGAGATATTCTGAGGGAAAGACAATGGGAAAAACTGCACTTTCCCAGACCTGGGACTGATGGCGGGATGCCATTTTTAATCCAGGTACATATAAAGTCAGCCATTACCAGCGGCATGGCTGCACAGACACTGTGCAGTCCAAAGACTCAGGTCAGAGTCTTTGGGAAATATGGGATTATGTAAAGTGACATACCAATCAGACATTCCTGATAAAGAAGGAGAAAAAGTAAAACACCTGGAAAATATATTTGAGGGAATAATTCACAAAAACTTTCCTAATCTTGCTAGAGAGGTAGGCATCTACACATAAGAAATCCAGAGAATGCCTGTGAGATACCATACAAAATGAACATCACCAAGGAATGTAACTACCAGATTGTCCAAAGTCAATGCTAAAGAGAAAAATCTTAAAGGCAGCTAGAGAAAAAGGGCAGGTCACATACAAAGGCAATCCCATCACGCTAACAGACTTCTTAACAGAAACAAGCAAGGAGAGATTGGGGGCCTATTTTAGCACTCTTAAAGAAAAGAAATTTCAACCAAGAATTTCATACCCCGCCATACTAAAGCTTCATAAATGAAGGAGAAATAAAATATTGTCCAGACAAGGAAGCTGTAAGAGAATTTGTTAACACTAGATCAGCCTTAGAAGAGATCCTTAAGGGAGTTCTAAACATGAAATGAAAGAATGATACCTGCTAAATAATAAAACAAAAACACACTTAAGTACATAGCCTGCAACCACACAATAGAAACAACAAAGCAACCAGCTAACAACTTCATGATAGTATCAAAACCTCATATATCAATATCAACCTTGAATGTAAATGGTTGTATTAGTCCATTTTCACAATCATGGCAGAAGGAGCAAGTCATGTCTTACATGGATGGCAGCAGGCAAAGAGAGAGCACGTATGTAGGGGAATTCCTCTTTTTAAAACCATCAGATCTCATAAGACTTATTCACTATCACGAGAACAGCATGGGAAAGATATGCCCCCATGATTCAATTACCTCCCACCGGGTCCCTCCCACCACATGTGGGAATTCAATATAAGATTTCAGCGGTGACATAGCCAAACTATATCAATGGTCTACATCAGGGGTGTACAATCATTTGGCTTCCCTGGGCCACATCGGAAGAAGAAGAATTGTCTTGGGCCACACACAAACTATGCTAACACTAATAATAGCTGATGATCTAAAAAAAAAATCACAAAATATCTCATAATGTTTTAAGAAAGTTTATGAATTTGTGTTGGGCTGCATTCAAAGCTGTCCTGGGCCTCATGTGGCCTACAGGTTGTGGATTGGACAAGCTTGGTCTAAATGGTGCATTTAAAAGGCACAGCATCTTATTTAACCACTTTGAGCCTAAGCTTCATCTGTAGATTGGAGCTAACAGTTCGGCGGCAGATACTTTTGATTGCCTATCACTAATTGTATCTCACCCTATCCCCTTCTTTCTTATTGGTATAACCCCCAGCCTGCTATAAAGTGAAAATAGCTATTCTATTTCTCAGGCTCCTTTTAAACTAGGGCATGGGTATGTGATTTAATCCTGGGCAACTGGACCTGATGTGAAGTTTTCTGGGGTAGAAGACTACTGAAAAATGTTTTCCTCCCAGATAAAAAGAGATGGAAGAACACATTCCTGTTCCTTAACCAGACATTGTTGTACCTATATGCACTACCTGGATCTGGGCAGTTATCTTTGCAAGTGTGAGGGTATGTTTATGGGACCAATTCAAATATAATGATGATGGTAGAGAGAGAATAGAAAGAAGCTTATCAAGAGTTCTTGATGATGTTGTGGAACTTCTGAACAAACCTGGGACCCACCCTGTTTTCCAGGCTTCTTGTTATAGGAGATAATAAATATTTTTCTTCTGAATCAGCTTTAGTTGCAAATGCTATTACCAAATTCATCTTAGCTGACACAACTTCTTCATGATGTTGTGAGGAACAATGAAAAAATAATTGTAAAGTATCTAGCATAGAGTAGGTGACAAAACAATGCTATCAATGAATTGTTATTATTAGTATTATTTTTAGTATGATCTGATGATGCCAGAAATATCAATGAATTTAAAAATAAGTTACTTAGTACAGCCTGAATGTTTTATTATAAAGATTACTGTTTTCAATATCAGGTATACTATTTGGCACATAGCAAATATTCAATGATTGTATTTTTCTTTGACATTATGGAATATATGCTACATACGAAATAATATATATAAATATATGTAATGTAACAGGAAATTATCAATAACATTGGCAGCATCTGTGAGCCCCTTCCTACCCCATCTCTCTTTCTTCTTCATACTTCCCTTGCAGAGAAACCAATATCAGGTTTTAAAAGCCATTTTTAACCAGCGGTCATCACTCTGGAGGAGGTAAATTTCTATATACTGCAGGTATATGATTGTTTTTCCTATTCTATTGGAAGACTTTTGTTACCTCCGGTTTTGTTGTTTGTTCAGAGCTTGAGATATTAAGCCTTAAAATAAAATCTCAAATACTCTCATTGGCTGGTGGGTTTAGAGCCACTTTAGAAAATCCAGAACCACAACTGAGACAAAGCTACTAAAACCCTGCTAGCACCACCTTTCTGTTAGATTCAGCTGATCTGTCTGAGTGATGGGTTAAGTTTCTCCATCCCAGAGATATTATCCGGCATTTGGGTTTCAAGAGGCTTTCTTACTGCATGCAAAGTAGAATTGATGGGTAAGGGACTAGCAAGGAAAGTGTCGACTGTTCAAAATGTCAATACATGTGAAAGATTTTCTTTGGATAAACATTAATATGGCAAATTTTACCTTCGAGGAATGAAAAGGTAGTAGTACCATGTAAAGCCTTCCTAGCTGTGCCTTATTTGTCTGAGAAGGCAAGTGCAATAATATAGTTGTTTATAAAGTGGGTTCAGAAGCTTTTTCCTAAGTTTGAATCTGGCACTGTAGCTAACCAGACATGGACCTTGGGCAAGTTATTTAACCTTGCATGGCTCAGTTTATTAAAAGGGGTTAATCACAGTATCTGTCTCATAGAGGAGTCATGTGTTAGTCCATTCTTGCATTGCTATAAAGAATACTCGAGACTGGGTAATTTATAAGAGGTTTAATTGGTTCATGGTTCTGCAGGCTGTTCATGAAGCATAGTTCTGCAATCTGCTTCTGTGGGAAGCCTCAGGGAGCTTTACTCATGGCAGAAGGCAAAGCAGGAGTAGGCAGATCACATGGTGAATGCAGAACAAGGGTGGGAAGGTGCCACACACTTAAACAACCAGATCTCATGAGAACTTACTATCTTGAGAGCAGCATACCTCACTCTGAAACTAAGACCTCTAAGCCAGCAGAACATAATGTCATGGGAATATGAAGCAAAAATGTTGCTAGTGGCTCACTAGGGGTAATTGTGAGTGGTGTCCCTTCTACTTTCACCCATTGATTCCTGGACCTATGAATCCTACCTATGGGAGAAACAGTACCATATACTAGATGCTGATTCAGAGCATATACAGCCTTCTGGGGAACTTTTCCCTAGCCCTGCAAAGTATTGTCACCTGGTTGGCATTGTAATTATGACTTCAAATAGCCATTCTATTGTTCTCTCAAGCCAGCTGCTTCAGGATCAAGGGGAGCATGGTAAGACCAGTGAACGCCATGATCACGAATGCATTGCCGCATTTCTGTCTGTAGAGTGAGTTCCTTGGTCAAAAGCAATGCTATGTGTAATACCATGGCAGTCGACAAGGCAGTTCTGCAAGTCCATGGATGGTACTCTTGGCAGAAGAATTGCATGTAGGAAAGGCAAATCCATATCCTGAGTAAGAATATTCCAGTAAGAACAAATCCTGTCCCTTCCATAATGGAAGTGGTCCAATGTAATCAACCTGCCACAGGTAGCTGGCTGAACACCCCAAGGAACAGTGCCATATAGAGGGCTCATTGCTGGTCTCTGCTGCTGGCAGACAGGGCAGTCAGCGATGGCAGTAGCCAGATCAGCCTTTGTGAGTGGACGTCCATGTTGCTGAGCCCATGAATAACCTCCTTCTCTGACACCATGGCAACTGTGTTCATAAGTCCATTGTGTGATGACAGGAGTGGTTGGGGAAAGAGCCTGAATGGTGTCAACAGAGTGGGTCATCATATCCACTTGATTATTAAAATCCTCCTCTCCAAGGTCATCCTTTGCTGAGTGTACACAGGGGACACAAATATCTTCAGTTTTTGGCCACTCAGGTCCATCCACATATCTCTTCCCAAAAATTTCTTTGTCACCAATTTTCTTTTTTTTTAACTTTTATTTTAGGTTTGGGGGTGCAAGTGAAGGTTTGTCACATAGGTAAACACATATCATGAGGGTTTGTTGTACATATTATTTCATCACCCAGGTATTAAGCCCAGTACCCAATAGTTATCTTTTCTGCTCCTCTCCCTCTTCCCACCCTCCCGCCTCAAGTAGACTCCAGTGTTTGTTGTTTCCTTCTCTGTGTCACCAATTTTCTTTTAAATTTAATTGTATTTTAACTTCTGGGATACATGTGCAGGATGTGCGGGTTTGTTACATAGGTAAATGTGTGCCATAGTGTCTGGCTGCACCTATCAACCCATCACTAGGTATTAAGTCTTGCATGCATTATCTATTCTTTCTGATGCTCTCTCTTGCCCCATCCCCGCTGCAGGCCCCAGTGTGTGTTGTTCCCCACCCTGTGTCCATGTGTTCTCATTGTTCAGCTCCCACTTTTAAGTGAGAACATGTGGTGTTTGATTTTCTGTTCCTGTTTTAGTTTGCTGAGGATAATGACTTCCAGCTCCATCCATGTTCCTGCAAAGGAAAAGGACATGATCTCATTCCTTTTTATGGCTGAATACTATTCCATGGTGTATATGTACCACATTTTCTTTATCCAGTCTATCATTGATGGGCATTTGTGTTGATTCCATGTCTTTGCTATTGTGAATAGTGCTGCAGTGAACATCCTAGTGCATGTATCTTTACAACAGAATGATTTATATTCCTTTGTGTATATACCCAGTAATGAGATTGCTGGGTCAAATAGTATTTCTGCCTCCTAGGTCTGTAAGGAATCGCCACACTGGCTTCTACAATGGGTAAACTAATTTACATTCCCACCAATAGTGTAAAAGCATTCCTATTTCTCCACAGCCTTGCCAGCATCTGTTGTTTCTTGACTTTTTAATAATTGCCATTCTGACTGGTGTGAGATGATATCTCATTGTGGTTTTGATCCGCATTTCTTTAATGATCAGTGATGTTGAGCTTTTTTTCGTATGTTTGTTGATCACATGTATGTCTTCTTTTGAGAAGTGGCTATTCATGTTCTTTGTCCACTTTTTAATTGGGTTGTTTGTTTTTTTTTCTTGTAAATTTGTTTAAGTTCCTTGTAGATTCTAGGTATTAGACTTTTGTCAGACGGATAGATTGCAAAAATCTCCCATTCTGTAGATTATCTGTTCACTCTGATGATAGTTTATTTTGCTGTGCAGAAGCTCTTTAATTAGATCCCATTTGTCAATTTTTGCTTTTGTTGCAACTGCTTTTGACATTTTCATCATGAAATCTTTGCCCATGACTATGTCCTGACTGATATTACCTAGATTTTCTTCTAGGGTTTTGATCATTTTGGGTTTTACATTTAAGTCTTTAATCCATCTTGAGTTAATTTTTGTATAAGGAAAGGATCCAGTTTCAATTTTCTACATATGGCTAGCCACTTCTCCCAGCACCATTTATTAAATAGGGAATCCTTTCCCCATTGCTTGCTTTTTGTCAGGTTTGTTGGAGGTCAGATGGTTGTAGATGCGTGGTCTTATTTCTGAGATCTCTATTCTGTTCCATTGGTCTATGTGTCTGTTTTTGTACTGGTACTCTGCTGTTTTGTTACTGTAGTCTTGTAGTACAGTTTGAAGTTGGATGGCGTGATTCCTCCAGCTTTATTCTTTTTGTTTAGGATTGTCTTGGCTATACGGGCTCTTTTTTGGTTCCATATGAATTTTAAAGTAGTTTTTTCTAATTCTGTGAAGAATGTTAATGGTAGTTTAGTGGGAATAGCATTGAATCTATAGGCAGTATGGCCATTTTCACGATATTGATTCTTCCTATCAATGAGTATGGTATGTTTTTTCATTTGTTTGTGTCCTCTCTGATTTCCTTGAACAGTGGTTTGTAGTTCTCTTTGAAGAGGGCCTTCACTTCCCTTGTTAACTGTATTCCTAGGTATTTTATTCTCTTTGTAGCAATTGTGAATGGGACTTCATTCATGATTTGGCTCTCTGCTTGTCTATTGTTCTGTGTCATCAATTTTCTAATCATATTCCTTCCAAGTCCCTGATCATCCAGCCAAACCATTGGCTACAGCCCATGTATATACCTGCATGTCTGGCTACATCTTCTTCTAAGCAGAGCGCACAACCACATGCATTGCTTGAAGTTCTCCCCACTGGGAAGATTTTCCTTTACCACTGTCCTTCAGGCATGTCCCAGAGAGGTCCTATAGTGCTGCAGCTGTCTACTTTTGGTTGGTGCCACATATCATGCAGAGCCATTTGTAAACCATGCCCTCGTCTCTTCCTCTGTCAACCAATCACAGGAAACTCCCCATAAGGCCATAGGTACAGGCTGGGAGACAGAAGGCAGGGTAGCAGGAGTGGAGACCATGGGCATTTAAGCTACTTCTTCATGTAACTTATTTGTGTTCTCACAACCTGCTCAACCCTGATCACGTACATACCACTTCTCTTTGATGATGGAATACTGCAGTGCACACCCAATTTTGTCTTGATGGGTCAGAAAGCACCCAGTTCATGATAGCCAGTTCAGGTCACATACAAATTTGGTGATCTGTAGTCAAATATTCAGTTTCTACCAAGGCCCAGTAGCAGGCCAAAGCTGTCTCTCAAAAGGAGTTGTCGACCAGGAGCGGTGGCTCAAGCCTGTAATCCCAGCACTTTGGGAGGCCGAGGCGTGTGGATCACGAGGTCAGGAGATCGAGACTATCCTGGCCAATATGGTGAAACACCATCTCTACTAAAAATACAAAAATTAGCTGGGCATGGTGGTGCGCAACTGTAGTCTCAGCTACTTAGGGGGCTGAGGCAGAAGAATTGTTTGAACCTGGGAGGTGGAGGTTGCAGTGAGCCAAGATCACGCCACTGCATTCCAGCCTGGCAACAGAGTGAGACTCTGTCTCAAAGAAAAAAAAAAAAAGGAGTTATCTGCAGAAGATGATAGAGCCTTGCTCTAGAATCCTAAAGGGCGGGCTCAACTATGATTCACCTATGAGGACCTCCCAAAGGCTCCCGACAGCATCCCTATTTGCCACTGATACCTCACGCACCACTAGATCTGCTGAGTCATATGGCCCCAGAGGTACAGCAGCTTGCACAGTAGTTTAGACCTGTTGCAGAGACTTCTGGTCTGGGCCCCACTCAAAACTAGATGCCTTTCAGGTCACTCAACAAATGGGCCAGCACACCCCAAAACAATACTTTACCAGCCATCTAGGCATCCCTCAATCCAGTCAAGTTGACACCTAATACTGACCATCATAGATTGTGAGACTTCAGTGAGTTAAAAAAAAGTGAGTTAAAAAATGCCTGGCATACAGAAATGTTAAATCAACATTAGTTATTATTACTTGAGTATCAAAAATCTTAAACATGAATGCAGAAAGATTTGAATTATCACAAAAATGAAAACAAGCAATTTTAGAAGCTATATAGCCCTTTAATTTTTCCCAGTTAATTTATATTGAGAATTGATAATGGTTGGGAAGTTCTAGAAATGTCCAAGACCCCAAAACCAACTCAATATAAGCAAATGTGAGCCAGTGTTTTGGTAACTTGCAAAAAACTTTACCTAGAATTGAAATATCTTCAACATTTCACCAAGAAAGCCAATTTCTCCTTTAAAAGCAGTTACGTGATTACATCAAAACACTATACAACTTAAACTTTTCTTTGTGACCTGAACCCAAATTTAGCTCATTATTTTAGATATCTAGATATCTATATCATTTTCTATTTGTAATTATTCCTCAGTCTTTTTCAGTCTTTTCCTGTTTCTGAAGTAAAAATATTGCAGTCTTCAATTCTTCAAAAATTTGCTGTTATTGAAGTACGGAAGCCAGTAAAGGTCAAGCTATCTAGTAATCTTTAAATTCCAAGATATTTTTACAATTAAAAAATTTCATTCTTTAAAAAGTATGCCACGCAGACAAGAAAATGCTATTTTAGCCTTAAAATATTAGCATAAAATACATGTAAAATTCTTGCCAAGAAAGTAGACATCAAATGTTAATCATATTCAAAAGCTAAGAGTCAATAATCTTTTAACAGAACATCAAGAGGCAAGCTGCCTGAAATATTTTTTTTTGTGGAACAAAGCAGAAAATAAATAAATAAAAACCTTGTTAATCTCTCTCTTAGGTAGATAATTCTCCAACTTTGAGCCGATTTTTAGAATAGCATTACAAAAGTCACTTTCTTCAATTCTTTCTTTTATTTTTTGATTGTGTCTCAATTTTTCTGTATATCAGCTTGGGGTAATTGAATATATTTTTCTACCCATTGATTATAAAAACCCTATTAGAATTTAAACATATTTACATATTTTAAATGATCATTTTGTCAATTGTAAAAGGAATAAGTTTCCATTCTTCATTATTTTTGATTCAGGAACACGCACTTTTTGTGGGCTCATGGGAGAGTAATAAATCACGCTTAGTAAAACAAAGCTGTCTGGGCAAAACAATTTTTTAAAATAAATCCCAGTAATAAAAGTTGAGAAATAGCTGATGAAAACAGATGTATTCTTTGTTTTATATGAATCTTAAATTTTGTAACATGTTAAAAATTAAGGATAAGTTGGATTTAGTTCAGGTCTATGCATTTGGCACAGAATGCTAAAGTAAACCCCACCCTTGAGAAAAAAAGCAAGGTATAATTTTTTAATTATGAAACAATTATGGCTAAAGTTAAGTGTGGAACTTAGTATATCTTTCCCAAAAAGATGTTTGAATGAAATTGACTTAGGATTTAAAATAGAAATCAGAGGATATGAGAGGTAGCTTAACTTTATGCTATGCTATTTGAGACAATAAATTATGGTCTTTAGTTTGAATTTTTTAAAGGGCAGAAAACTTGACATGGTCTGCTGTCAAATAAGTTTTTTTCAATTTCAAATTATTTTTCCCTAAATGGCATTCAATGTGGCCATGTATGTGTTTAAAAACCCAAATCCCCCTCCATTTGTGCTAAGAGTTTATTTTCCAGCATTTTTTTTGTTGCACTGACCCCAAATAATTACAGAATCTTAAAGCTTATGGAAGTCTATCTAATTTTAGCTTCAAACATAGTATTATTTTATGAATTGATAAAAGATTTAGAGGTTCTATAGTTTGGATTTACTCTCTAAAAACTAGGGGCTTGGGAACTTAGCCTCTTAAAGTTAAATCTTTTGTGTGGGCTCAAGGGACCCAGAATGAATTATACTTAGCCACATTTTCTTCTCCCACCATGCCATAGTCCCCTCATGTAAATGACCTCTCACTGATAATCCTGAACAATGGCCCCACTATTTCTTTTGCTTCAATTAAACAAACTTTTTGAAAGACCACTGGGGACTTTAGAATTGAAAAATTTCTAGAGAACTCAAAGAAACAGCCCATCTTTAATTACACAATATCTGTTTAGTAAATGAGGTGCAATCTCCGAGTGAAAGAGAAAAGTAACCACAGGCCTTCTGGCCCAATCATGGAAATCATTTTGAAGAATGATGCCTATTATGGGTCCAAAAAGAAAGAAAATAGAAATAAAAAGAGAAAGGCTGATTGTATTTGAACTTTTTGCCAGGAAAAAAGTATATGCTTTTAGCTCATTAGAAAAAGGAACAATATGGTAAGATTTAACTCAGTTGAACTATACATCAGCTACAATTGAACTTTCCATAATTTACTCATTACATGACATAATTTACTCATTAGATAATTAGATGCAAGGTGCCTATTTTTCTTTGCACCTACTTATTTTCAAAACAAATAGCCAGGATGTTTTATTCATGGTAGTTGAGATGTAACACCCAAAATACAGGTTAGACAGAAAGATTTGGGTATATTTCATTACTTATAGAGAAGAATAAAATGGAAAAATGCATTTTGCAAAAGTGTAAACCTTGCCTTGGATTGGTGATTTCCTTAGCTAGGGAAAGTTTGATGTAGTAATAATTTCTCTGGTACCTTACCCACCAAACCTTCTAACACTCCCTATTTTAGTTCAAGGATTTTTCCTTAATTTTTTTTTTTTTTGGTTTCGCAGCAACTGTGATTCCTTGTGAACTGCCTTAACTGCTTTCTAGAAGTAAGCAGAGAATGAACAAGTGAATAAATGAATGGAAGCAAATTTCAGTTAATAGAATGGGGTTGTGAAGATACCCCTAGTTAGGATGTCTGCAGAAGAAAAAGTCCGAAATATGCTTGCCTGGAGAAAACCATCAGTTTCCAAATTTGTTTCCACTCATTTGTAGCTCCCCTTTATGTAAATGGTGGAAATAGAGTAAAACAGTTTAGGACTTTTAGATAGGGTTATGTTGAGATCTTAACAATGGTTTAATCTTGCCATTTTTCAATAGAAGAACAGAAGAGTCACTTCACTGTATCTATAGTGCCTATTATGTACATTGTATGGGATGCTCAAATCCATGCATCTTGCCTTTGAGGTTATTCTCACTTCATAAGATGAGGGAAGGTAGAATTGTTTCCTTCAGGGAACATTTGTAACTTTTGCTGTTGCCCCTCTATCACTCTCTTACCCCCTAGCTTTATTTTGTATTTACTAGCCAAGAAGGAGGAGTTGGTAGACAAACAGTGCTTTAGAAATGTGTAGCTGTCATGGAGAAGGTGGGCTCTGGAAACTCTTCTGGATGAAGAAAGGAAGATTTGAATGAGATAGGAGCCCTTATTGTGGGAGAATGCTGCCTAAAGCGGAAGGAAGTTTGCCCTCTTAAAGCAGAAGGCAGCAGAAGGAAGAGCTGGAGAGAATGTAGACAGGAGTAGGAGTTTAGTCTAATCCAGAGATTTAAAAAATCAACCACACATAGTAAATAGAGATTTCAATGAAGCAAGATGGTTAGAAAGGTTTATTTTCTACTTTTCTGAGTGAATTGTTAGATGTTTAGACCTTTATAGGATCTATACTGCACTGAAGGTTGGGAAACATTACCCAGACCACTTTCATTTACTCATCAACAGTTATGGAAACATTTATTTTCTATTTATCTCATATTTATTAATCTTAAAAAGCAATAAATAATTATTCATTTACTTTATTACTTAGCAAGAAATAAACTGATGTCAAGATACCCTCTCAGTGTAATTTCTTACATGTTATCTACATGAATACACGTAGATGACAGCAACCATCTGGTTAATATTATGATCTATACCTGTGAACATTTTAGTGTGATAGTGTATTGTTGCTAAGCCAACTGTTAGATGCATATTTTCTTAGAGGGCTTCAGCTCTGTTCATGTAAACCAGTACCAAGTTCCTAAGCCCTACTCACTACAAAATAAATTCAGGCTTTACTTTTTTGATAAATAATGAAGAAGGCTGAAATGTAAATATAATTTCAAGACAGTATAGTTAGTCATGGCTTTGCAACAAAATTCATCTACTTCCAATTACTCTCCTCATATATTTTGAGAGTACAATTGTTACACGATTTTACATCATAGTGATAATACCTCTGTGTCAAATCCTATAGGGAGTTCTGGGAATGCTTTCAGATCCTACTTGAGCTACAAAAAAAAATCAAATAACATTAAAAAATAAAAACAAGAACTTAAGCAATAGAAAAGACTTGTACATACCCACCTGTGATATTCCGTGTAAACCATTATTTAGGAACACCCTCTCCCTTTATACAGGAGTGGGGATGGAGTGAGGAATTCTAAGAATATTACACAAAAGTGTCAATGCATCACAATTTTTGCCTATTAAAGGATCTTTTTTTTCTTTTATTTTATTGTGATACTGGAATATAGTGGCACAATCATAGCTCACTGCCTTGAACTCCTGGGCTCGAGTGAGTAAAGTATCATTTCTAAGTGAATAAAAAAGCCCCTTTTTATAGCAGAGGGATTGGATTTTATTTAACTTTGCACTTGCATACAGTGCCTTGCATACAGCAGGTGTGTGATAAATATTCATAAACTGTATTGTAGGTAATGCATGATATTTCCTGACTTCATGTATATACTGACATTGTCAAAGATTATGACTGTTAAAGGTTACTGATTATTTACATAAAAACAAGTGGGTCTTGCAAAGAAAATTGGGTATAGCTGTGTGTGTGTCTGGAAACATATATGCATCAAGCAGGTAGTATATATGCGGGCATGTCTAGACTCCCTCAGGTTCTATAGCAGATAAATCCTGTAGGGCCTGGATCCTCAGGAGCAGTACTACTTACACTTTCATGTGCATACACACCACCTGGGCATCTTGTTCAATTATGGATTCTGATTTAAGTTTCTGAGTAACACTCAATGCTGCTGGTCCGGACACTTTGGGGACCACATGGGATGGAGACCGACAGATCCTGAAAAACCAGTATCCATAACTGTTGACTGGAACCCAATGTCTCTAGTTTTCCTGACCTCCTCAAACACAACCTGCCATGTCATCAGATGCCATCTACTAGTACAAGACACTGATGGTCAGCCAAGTTTCAGTCTCTATGGAACAGTTAGTTGGCAAGTACCTGTGAGCCACCTGCTATGAGCTAATTACTTGAGGGGGGGTTATGCCAGGGCCACGAGGAGGTATAAGGTATGGTTCCTTCCTTCAGAGTGCTTATGGTGGGTTGGGAGTGTGTGTATTCATGCACTAAATAAATGAAAAGCAAATGCAACCAGAAAACCATCAGATGCTAAACTCTGTGTTATAGATGTATGTTCTCAAATATTCACAGCAGGGCAGATTGCAATGGCTTGGGAAAGTCCTAGAAATGTCTTTGTCTTGGATTGGGGTTTCCAGAAACAGACAGACCCTGAGATGATTTAAGTGCAAATCATTTATTTGAAAACTTCAGGAAACCAATAGGGGAACAGAAGAGTGAGAAAGAGAAGGGAAACAGCTCAAAAAGTAGCCTGGGAAATTCTAGGGAGAGTTTATTTCATTTGAGGGGTAAAGGAGTTTTGGAAGTTTACAAAACACCAACTCCCATCACTGGTTGTAGGATGCCATGGGACAGCATTCATTCCTCACATGCATACGCCATGTGTCTTAGCAGAATGGCTTGTGAAGTTGGGGAAGCCATAGGCAAAGAAATGCAAATACTGGCTGTTGGAAATAGTTGGAAGTCAAGTGATTTCAGTCTGAGGGCTACAGGCAGGGCAAGGACCTGCTATCATCTTAAAAGAGCAGCAGGAGTTGAGCTGGAATTAGCAACTGCTTCGTCCTCTTCAACTCACCTGCTGCCAATGCCCAGTTGTCCTTTCTGGTGAATCTGAGATTTGTTCACTTGTTAGGCTCATGGCTAGAAAGGGCACTTACTAAGTGGTGGCTTCCTGTCTTTCTTGAGGCAGGCACCTACTTCCCTCACAGACACCAGTGTAGGAAAGTCAGATCGTCCTCCTCTGGAAGGAGGAAGATCAAGTCTGCGGGGACCAGGCTGCCGATTTCTGGAGTTTGATCCTGGTCTTGCAGACACTCCTTCTATGTGCAGCCATGTTATGGGACTTGCCAAACTGTCCCAGCTCACAGGGAACTGCAGGTCTTCTGTGGATTTGGTCAGTTGGCCCAAATTACAGTTAATAATTACAAGACATTGTTGAAAATTTTTGCAACATGTAACTTTTGTAACCATTATTTACTACTCTACATTTGCAAGTATTTTGGGAACTGTTTGTCCTTTCGCCAGCTCTTTAGTTTCTTGGGAACGCTAAGGTACATAGGATTACATTTACTTATCCGCACTATGAAGGGAAATAAAGTACTGTTCCTAGAATCAGCTGAGAGAAGGAAGAAAACAGGAACTATCTGCTAATCAATATGGAATTTTCATAATCTGACCCCAGCCCACTGTCCAGCCGCATCTCTCCCCCTCCCCTCCATTATTCATCCTATGCTCCAAGCACTTGAAATGCTTCATGGTTTCTAGAAGACTCACAGCCTTTTCCTGGCTGACTGCCACTGAATGCGGTGACTTCCCCATGGATACCTTCTTCCTATTCCCCTGACATAACCCTATCATCTTACAAGCCAAACTTATAATGCTCTCCTAAAACTCCCCCACATGGGGTTAGTTTCTTCCTTCCTGGTCCAGTTCAAAATTCAGTAACAGCAAGTACCAAATTAAATTCCAATTATCTGTCTTTACATCTTCCTCATCCCCAGTTGTGAGATCCTCTAGGGCAGGGACCATGTCTTTCTCTCCTCTGTGTCCCCATCACCAGTACTGGGTCTTACAGTTAGAAAGAATCAGCAGCTCCACCCTATATCACTGAGGGAGAGAGGATATGCAACATCAATACTCTTATTTGAAAGTATATTTTGTATGTACTCAAAGTTTGCCTTTGTTTTCCTTATACTTTGTAAGAGGTTTATTACTAATATTATTTACAGTTAACATGTACCCTTTTTAACAATACAAACAAAAATAAAAGCTATTTTCATTTTGGAAAAAAATCCTTCCCCAATTCATGACAGTTTTATAATATTAAGTAGCAGCCACTGGCACCAACCAAGGTTTAAGAAAATGTATCCCCAAAGTCATTGAACCTACCAATGTTTTAACTAAGTTTATCATCCCTGGGGAAATTGTGCTTTTAAGTCACAGGTCCTTCCTCTTGTAGAACGGACCCCAGATTTTTTTTAGTCTTGATTTGTAATTTAAAGGTGTAAATCATCCACCCAGCTCCCATTTCTCAGGATGTTATTCAACAGCCAGGATGAGGACAGTAATGTGGCTCTCAGCTGCCTTTGTCATTCTTTTCCTTTTCCTCCTGAAAGTGTTTTTGTAGGCCTGCCGGATGTCACAGAAATGCAACCTGGGCAAGATGTGTGTCACTTCTTTACTTGAAAAGTGTCCATGACTCTGAGCCCAGAGAGGATGTAATGAACACGCCCTGGTGCTTGGCCAGCATATTCCAGCTAGTTAGAAAAACAAGGCAGAGGGCACAGGATTTAACACACACGATGGCAGTGGCTGCACTCAGGGGCATGCTATTTGATTCTTCACAGATGCGGGCTATTGGTCTGTAGTGAAGGAAAAACAAGTGGCCATAGCATCCTTCCACGTGCTATGAGATCATTTGTAAAAAAAATTTTAAAGCATCTTGTCTCTGTTTCTACCACTAGGTCTACTGCCTTGTAGGTCTGGCACAGAGGAGGGGCATGGTAATGAAGTGCATGCTACATACTGGTATGTGCTTTCCAATAAGACCAGACCCTAAAGTAAAGTAAAGATGACTATTAAACTAAAATTTGTTTCAGTTCACTTATTTGAGGCTTAAATAGATGGAAAGATACATGAATTCAAGTTGGCCTCCCAAAAAAAAAAAAAAAATCAATGCCATTCCTAAAGTGTTCTCTTTTCCAAGTTGACCCATGTTAGGAAAGAGGGCTATAATAACGATAATACCTAACAAGTGAGCAGAGACCACTTGCGTGGCTAAGAGAGTCTAATTAGGGAAGGAAATAATGAAAAAGTAAAACCCTCTAAAGTGGAAACAAACATTCTATTTTGGTCCTCTGTGGACGAGAAACATCAACCTAGTTTGGGTTTAACTTAAACCACTTCATATTTAGTTTAAGAGTTTTTAAAAAATTGCTGCAAACTTATTTGAGCTGTTTATATAGCTGGGGAGGTGGGGACCACCTACCCTTTATGGAAAGCAATGTACTTCCAGTGGCCCAAGAAAACAAGGCCTATTTTAAATTATGAAGGTTTACAAAATGAGGTTTATTATTTTTGTTATCCTTATTTCTCCCACGAATGGTGGTCTGCGATACAAATGTAAAACAGATATACATTCCACCCCGAGGAATAAAAATTTACATACACCAGTTATTTCCTAAAAAAGAAAAATTGTGTAGCCAGCTATGCTTTCCACCTTTAATGTACATGTGGTTGTCTACGGTGCCTCATTCCAATTCTGTCTCCTGATTTTGACTGGTCCCACATATGCCTACCCATTCAGCTGCTTTCCTTGGAGAAGCAGAGGCAAGGTAAGCCATTTCCCTAGTTTTCACCTCCCTAATTTCAGTCTGTTAGGGTCAAGTTTTAGCCTGTATACAAATAAGTGCAATGAGAAAGACTTGGACAATGCTGAGTAAAGTAATAAAGTGCTGGCATTTATCAAATGTTTACTATTTGCTAAATACTGTTCCACATGGGTTAACTCATTAAATCCTCACAACAAACCTAAGAGGTGAATAATATTCCCATTTTACAGATGAGGAAACTGAGTCAAGAGAGGTGATGTAAGTTGCCCATAGCTGGTGAGTGGCTGAGTCAGGACTGAAATCAAGGCAGGCTGACTCTAAGCACACCCTCTTAGTCACCGTGTTACTTTTGCCCTCATCGTAAGCAAATCCATTCATGTAATGGATTCTTGCACAGAGAGTTCCTTGGTGGTGATCACTGCTCAGTCTACAGTGGTGAGTGCTCCTTCTTGGAGCTGTACTTCAACCAATTTGCAGCCTGCTGAGGCCTCGTATATGAAAATCTCTTTATAATCTACTCAGTATCATCTTTCATTTATGTCACCTCCTAGCAGCCATTATGGATGGCCTTGGCTCATCACATGTTTGTTGTATAATGACTCCATATTCCCCTGTCAACTTTATTCTCATCTTTCACCTGCTAGATATCAGAGATAGATTGTATAAGCTCAGAAGTATACAGCCCTCTCCACACTAATATTTCCTCCTCCTCTCTCTTAAGTTATAATTATGTCATCTAGAATAAGTAGACAGACTTGATGGAATCAAAGTTCAAGTGAGAAATCAACCCTCAAATTCTTAATTACCAGTATTCTCAAGTACTCATTCAGTCTTATGGCCACAGATGAATTCAGATGGATTTGATAATATTTATTTCCCCTGGAAGCTGAGAGGTATAGGGAGGAGAAAAAGACATTAACCTGCAAATTGCAACACGACATAATTGAGATACAACCATGACACATTTAAGGTACAACCAAATTACTATGGAAGTATAGACTGGGAGTGACTAACTTTGCCTAAGGGGACTGGGAAGAACTCACAGAAGAGGCAACATTTGAGCTGGGTCAGGTAAGATAAGTAGGAGAAGAGGGTAAAAGCTATCCAGGCAGAATAAGCTGTGAAGGTCTCAACGTATGTCAGAGTAAAGGGTGTGCAGGGAAGGGTGTAAAATCCTGAGTAGTCAGAATGTAGGGGAATGAAGTAGACTGGACAGGTAAGAGGTGAAGCTACAGAAGGAAGCTGGGGCCATGCCAAGGAGTTTGCATAATAACCCATAGGCAGTGGATGAGACCACAGAAGACTTTGTGTGAGGAAGTACACTCACACTTGTATTTTTCCCTCTCTCGTTGGCCTCTCCAGCTAGACAGGTTTCGTTTATTATATTGCTGCTGTTACTTTGTTGTTGTTAGTTGAAATCCATCAAGCATTTTTTTTTAATATGCCAGGAACTGTGTTAAGTGTTTTATATAAACTGCTGGATGGTTGTTTGGGGAATGAACCCTTAGGTGCTACTAAGAAGTCATTTCTGCTCTTGTCTGAAAGGTTTCCACTGCAACCTTCTCATTTGAGAAAGACAAAATGACCCATGTATTTTTGCTGTGTTTTGGACATATTTAATCAAATACTATTTCTTATTTATGAATTTACTTCAACTGAGCATACCAGAGAAATGGAGCAAATCCTGGCATTATAAAGAACTGGATAGATCTTTACTGAAAGGTGCACCTCAAGGGCAACAATTGATCGGTTCTCCCAGAAGCAAATTTCTCTACCCTGGAAGTGTTCTGTGAGTCATTCATGGCCTCCACAGTGACACAAGCACTATATGATTATTAAACATGGCTTTATTTAAGTTTGGGCAAAAAGATTTCTGAGTTAATCTGGGAGATAGAGAAAATAAGAATCTGTAGGATTTTGGTTTTTGTTTTATATATACAACTCTTCTCTGCCGAATGTAATATAGATGGAAAAATTGTGATGCTGCTATCAAGCTGTTGAAAACAGTCTGCTCACCCAGATGGGCACTCATTTGAAAGACAGGCACACCCTGTCATTTCCCAGTAGCCAGCCCTGCAGTTCTTACACCTGGCTTTATGCAAGCACAGAAGGTGAGGCATAAGCCAATCAATAACTTGTGTGATTCCAGGCCGTCTCTACCCCCATGGCCAAATTCTGGACTGAAGATTGCAAACCCACAGGAGACTCTGCTCTTCTTAAAGATCAAACCATGGAGTTTGCTGGAAACCAGAAAACAAAGGAGGTATGCTCTGATAAGTCATAGATTGTATATTATATGCTCTGATCAGTCAGTATGCTCTGATCAGTCAGAGATTGTACATTACAAAAGTTGGAGCAGGATCTCAAAGTTGGATTGGCTTTTCTGTATTTCCAAAATCTTTTAAATCCTGGAAATAAAATTATCTGACAGTTTGAACCCCTAAACCCAACAGACAGGACCACTTTGGTGTCAAAGAGAAAAATTTCAAATGGAGTCAATTTTTAGATGAGACCAGAATAGGATAAGGGAGACGATCCTAAGGCTAGAGGTCACAAGGGTCCTGTGGCTGTCTTACAAGCACCCCCAAAATCCCCATGCCTTATATGGTCCCATGTTTCATTGTCTCCCCATAGACCAAGCTTTCCACATAGAAAGTGGTGGGGCTTTTCCAGGGCAGTTTTTGCCTTTCTTTCTTTGTTGACATTTCCTTTCACTTTGGTACCCAAGACCCCATACTGGGCATCTGCCTTCATGCCCACCTCTCAATGTACCTCAGGAACTTCTTGTTTCTTTTTGGAAAGAGGCTGGGTAGAGATATACACACATGCACATCTTGCCTATTGTCTTTGGTCTTTAGAAATATTGCTCCACAAGGTTTTATTTAGAAAGTTGGACAAATTTACTCAAATTACTCTGTTACTAGCTGCTTAGATTACTACACTTATTCTTGGGACATCTGAAATTTAGCATTCTTTATGGCTAAAATAACTTTCTTACAGTAATATTTCAGGCATTACAAATAATCAAGAAAGAGCATTATTTCTGAGCAAAGGAGCCTGCCTGACATTTATAGGTAATTTTATTAGACTGATCCTAAATAAAATGGAAAAATGGAATCAAATAATATCAGAGCATACGGGAGGTAATCCAGTGTAAAGCCATTAATTTTTGAGGAGAGAAAACAGATCCACAAATGTGAAATGAATTGACCACCTGCAACAGCAACAGCTGTTTGTTCTTCATCATTCTTTCTACCTTTGTCCCCTGTTTAACTGGGCATGGGACCACCCAAATCCAGGTGACATGCTCCAGTCTGCCTTGCAGCTACACGTGGTCATATTCAGCTTTAGTCTATTTAGCTAATGGATTGTAAACAAAAGGTTGTGTTTGATGGCCTGGAAGATTCCTTCTCCCCTTCCCCCTTCCTGCTGGCTGAAAGACTGATGCAATGGGTGGAGACAGTGTCATCTTGGACCATGAGACAGAAGCTATTGCTTTCTGGTGCACTCAGGAATGGTAGAGCAATAAGGTAGAAGGAGCCTGGGTCTCTGAAACATGGCACTCTAGAGAGATTGCCTTCTAGACTTCGTTATGTGTAAGAGAATCAGATATCTGTCTTTGTTTAAGTTATTGTGGTTTTGGATTTTTGTGTTACTCTTAGCCAATGCTACTCTAAGCTGCTATATCAATAGTCTAGAAAATTATTAAATTAATTAGCAATGGCTTGATGGAGGAGGGCAGGATGATGGGTGATGGGCAAGGCCTGATTCTAAATCTAAGAGAGAAAGCACCTTAAATATTCTCTGTCTGGAGTTCCCAAATACTGATCCACAAATAGCTGCGTCAGAATTACCCTGGCACAGGTTCCCGTAAATCCAGACTTCTGGTACTCTTTTCAGGAGATTATGACTTAGTAGGCATTCTATGGGATCCAAGACTGACATTATTTAAAAGCTCCTCACGTAATCCTGATATCCAGATATACTTGGTAATTATCTGATCTACAATTGTTCTCTGCTATGGGTCCCAGGAAGGGGGGTGAATCAGAACCACCAGAAAGATTTGTTTGTTTTGGGGGAAAAAGCAAACAAATTTGAACTGTGAAATAATTTATTCCTCAGGCTATTTAGATCCACCTCTCCTTCTCCTGGTACCCACTGAGAGTCATACAAGTGTCACCAAATGAACTGTTCTCTTTCAGGTTAGCCTTTGATATGGTTTGGATCTGTGTTGCCACCCAAATCTCATGTTGATTTGTAATCCTCAATGTTGGAGGTGAGGCCTGGTGGGAGGTGACTCGATCACGAGGGTGGATTTCCCCCTTGCTGCTGCTCTCATGATAGTGAGTGAGTGCTCATGAGATGTGGGGTAGCACCTCACCCCTCTCTCTTCCTCCTGCTCTGGCCATGAGGTGCCTTCTTCCCCTTTGCCTTCCACCATGATTGTAGGTTTTCCTGAGGCCTCCCCAAAAGCTGAGCAGATGCCAGCATCATGCTTCCTGTTGCAGCCTTTGGAAGTGCAAGCCAATTAAACCTCTTTTCTTTATAAATTACCCAGTCCCAGGTATTTCCTTATAACAGTGCAAGAATAGATGGATACAGCCTTAGTTCAGACAAACTGACAGTTACTTAATTGCATATGGTTATACTGCATGTGGCTACTGTTTTTTGTTTTTCACAGATTACATCTTCCATGGGAGTTTAGTCAACACCAGTGTGCATTACTATACATTAATGAATCATTTGTGACAAAAAGAATTACCATTAAATTGCAGAAAGAGTTCACTTTTTAAAGATTTGATGGCCTCACACCTCAGAGGTTGAATTTTTTGGTTCTTGCAAAGATCTGCAAGGTCAGCAGATTCAGTTAAACAGCTGTCAGGCAAAGTTGGCCTAATAACACTCAGGCATACCAGTGGGTTCTCTTGGCAGAAAAGGTGACAAGCAAGGGAAAGCATTAACAGAAGGCAGAGTGTGGTGAGGCATTCCCAACAGCAGTGCATAGAAAGGGATTATACTAAGAGTACATCTACACCAGAGAAATCCCCTTTGAAGATCCATCCTCACATTGACAGGTGCAGGCTTGGGAACTCAGTTCTCCCGCCCTCCTCTGGGAAGCTAGAGGAGAAAGAGCCTCACCCAGGAGGAAGCCAGGCAGGACTCAAGGGGTTCACTATAATTCTCAGAAGAAATATAATCAAACAGCACCAAAGATGCATTTTAAGACAAAATTCGAAAATGGATTCTGAAGATACCAAAGATCTAATTCTAACTGGGTTACTCACTCAATCTGAGTTTGGGTAAGTCACATAATGTTTCTGTTTTTAATTTTGTCTTATGCAGAATCAAGGGATTGAACTCAATGAACTATGAAATTCCTTTTAAAAGTTGGACAATTTTATACTTATTGAATAGCTAATTATATTATATATAAATGGGTTCAAGGAAAAGCTCTCAGTCAATTATAGATTTGTTTTTATTTTAATATATAAAAATCCTAAATCCCAACATGAAATCATCAGAGAGACATGCATGTCTTTGAAACCTGAATTTCTGAAAACTTTCTTAATCCCCATAAACTCTGATGGCATCCTGTTGTCCCTACTGAAAGATGCCATTATGCAAATATTTAGCCTAGTACTTTTAAACATCCACAAACGTTTATTTCACTCTCCCAAATAACATTCAGAGGACTGAAAACATTCTGAACCCAGGCACTTATTGACATGATAGCTATGGGCTCTCATTAAAGGGTAGTCTATGAAATCTAATTCTGTGCTTACTGATGGTCTCCTGGGTTAAGAGAAATTGCAACCTGAAATGAGATACAGCTCTTTTATTGGTTGTTGTTACTGCAAAGTGGTCTTGAATCTTTCAGTGCTCTCTCCATTTTAACCCTCCTTCTTCAGGTGACACAGCAGCAATAAAAGACTCACTTCCTAAACCTTCCACATAACCCTGCTACTTGATTCAGAGGCCATTGTCCATGTAAAAGGACTGAAAGAGAAATTGGGACTCCCAGAAATCCCAGGACAAATTTGTATGTCATAGAACTCCCAGAAATCCCAGGACAAATTTGTATGTCAAAGAGAAATTGGAACTCCCAGAAATTCCAGGACAAATTTGCACGTCATAATAATCCAACCTATTAAATAGGTTGGATTAAGTGCCAGTGCAATTCAGGGGAATGGAGAGAAAAAAGCCAAACTTACTTCATCCACATGCCCAACAGCTCCATAAATCCTTGCCATCTGTCCAGTGAGGTAGGGGAATCTCTCACCAATCTCTTTCAGCATTGGAAGAAAACTGTTCAAAGCCACTGGCTCATAGACTGCTATCTCTATGAGGATGTTTAGGATGATGTCATTATGGGTTGAATCCTTCAAATGCCCAATTAGGAAAGGAATACACTTCTGAACTACCTATAAAGAGAGAGGAGAGGAGGAGGGAAGAAAGAAGGAAGAAAGAGAAAAGTTAATTAAATTGGAATTAATTTTGAAAGCAAACTTTTTTTGCATTAAACCTGAACTCAACACATTCTGGGATTATTACCCTCCTTGGTACTCAGGCAAATCTCCCAAGTTTAGAATTTAAAATTTACAATAAAATCTTCAGAGCCTTTAGTTCCTTTTCCTTTTAATCTGTGATTTGCTGTTGAAGAGTGAAGTTTAAAATAATGCTTCAGTGTTACTATTCATAAATCAAGTTTTGATGTGTTATTTCCTCATTGGGAATGCTACATTTCCTCCAACCACCATGAAAGCTGCAATTTAAAGGACAATTTAAGTAGGTAGGAGATCTTTGTTGACTTTAATCAAAGCCTTCAAAATGGAGAAATCCAGTTTAGAAATGTTTAATAAATAAAAATAAGAAAGCAGAAAAGATCTCCCACATTTTCTTCAATTTTCCATTTTGATCACAAAAATGTAATAATAAGATAAAATTATTAAAGCAAAATGATTTATACCATAGTCACATTATCTTAATATTTTTTCTTGATTCTTAATGCTTATATGAATGTAAAGGTGAAATTTATCTGAGAAAATGGAATTCTTTTGTGGAATAAAGACTCTATGTTAATACATCACATATTGATAATTTGATGAATTGTTTTGTTGGCTAAAATAGAAGAACTAGAAAGGGAAACCTGTGGGAAACTGAACAACAAAAGTGAAACAGATTTGCCCATCCATATTTCTGTTTGTTTGTTTCTTTTGTTTGTGTTTTATTTACTTTATTGATTTGTCATTTTTTGAGTAGGGTAGACTTTAAATGTAGCTTCCAGTATTAAAACCAAATCTGATACACAGCACCATCTGCCCAAAGTTGAACTCATAATCCACCCCCTGCCAAAAACCTGCTTCTCCCACCACCCCTTCTGGCCCTAAGTGCCTCCTTTTCTCATAAATGACACCATTATCCACCTGGCTACTCAAACTAGAAACTGTTTCTCCCTTACCAGCAGCTGTTATCCAAGCAATCATCATGTCCTGTTGATTCCAATGCCCAAGAATCCCACAGATCTGTTCACTCCCTTCTCTTTATATTTATCCATTAATTCACTCATTCACAAATACTGATTGAGTCCTTCCTATTTGCAAGCTGTAGGTGATGGGGATAGCAATAAGTCTGAAAAGATTCACTGTTTAGTAAAGGAGACATTCAGTAAAAGAAATAATCACATCAGAAATGAACAATTATAAATTTTAATAAATCCCATACAGGGAAAATGTAGGGCTCTGTGAAAGACTGTCCTAGGGCTCTAATTTAGGCAAAGGTTCAGGGAAGGCCTCTCTCAGCGGGACATGGAGCTGAGATCACTGACCCAGGCATCCCACACATGGGTTATTCCAACAGCCTCCTAACAGGTCTCCCTGTCTTCAGTCTTGCCCATCCAATCTCTTCTCAGCTTTAGCCACAATGGTGTTTTTTCCTGCCTTAAAACCCTACAGTCACTTGCCCTTTTTTGTATACCTGACTCCTATCCATCTTCCCACATTCAGTCTCTTGCCCACTTGGTCCACCTTCCCGCAGTCCAGTTCCCACTACACATCACACATCAATTATGATGAATTTTTTTTAAAAATTCTTAACTTGCTAAATTTTCTTTTGCAGCTGGGATTTTACTCATGTGATTTATTCTGCCTGGAATTCTTGTTGCCCCTATTTTGCTTGAGTAGCTCCTGATCATTCTTGAGGCCTCAGATGAACTGTTATTTCCTTAAGAAACCTCCCTCAGCTCCTCTCCTCTTCCTTCTCAGTCTATAGTGCCCTTGTGGAAGCTCCCAGTGTACCCTAAGTGGCCCTGAGCAGGTCCTTCACATGCTTCCTTCTTACTGCTGCTCTAGATGCCTTTCAGGCTGGATTGAAAGCTCCACAAGGTAAAGAATCATCCCTATCTTGTACACTATTGGATACCTAATGCCTTATACAGAGCTTATCCACAAGTTGAGTTAATAAGTTTTTGAGCAATAAATCAAAGGAAGGTAAGTGTAATTTATATAGAGTGACATCTGAATAAAACATCTCCCCCACCCTATAGTAGTTAAAGAGTTGTACACAATGTTTAAACATATACTGTCATGTATTACTACAAAACAACTAACAAGAACATAAAAGAAGAAAGTTTCTAGATAACTAAAATTATCCTATATAGAGATTTAAACTTTAGATTCATATCCAGTACTTTTGGAGGAAATAAAGGGCTAGATTCTGGTAAATGGCATATATGAATGCACAGTTCTACAAATGCTGCCTGTGCATTAGGGAGCAATTGTATGTCCTTCAGGAGAAGCCATGCGAGGTCCCTGGCATATATGGCAGAAGTGTCAGCCAGCTGCTCCAGGTCAGGGCAACATACTTAACCTCATGTTTTTAGCAATGAAAAATGCTTGCACATTTCCTGCCCCATTCTATAAAGTTTCATTTGCCAGTCCTTACTCTTCAGGTCCTGTTTCCTGAACACCAAGGTCTTTGTGACATGTGCTTCTAGTCATGTCACTTTTACTTTAAAATTTAAACTCCAGTGATACGTCCCAAGCTACACAGCATGGGTTTTAGCTGTTGTCCTGTAAAGAACAATTAAAAAGGAAAGAAAAAGAAAAAATGAAGGAAGGAAGAGAAATAAAGAAAGAGAGAAAGGAAAGAGAAAAAGGAAAGAAAGAAATAAAGAAAGAAAAGAAAGAGAGAAAGAGAAAGAAAGACAGACAGACAGAAAGAAAGAAAGAGAAAGGAAGGACGGAAGGAGAAAGAGAAAGAAAGAAGAGAGAAAAGGAAAGAAAGAAGCTCAAGGCAAATACATACACCTGGGCATAGTTGAATCCATAGAAAGAGCAAGGGAAGTGAAGCCCTGAACAATGTAAACTAAATAATAACAATTTTACAAATTAAACAAAAGTTGTTTTTTTTTTTACTCTGAATTCCTAATAGCCTAAAGCTTGTTATGATAATGATAGAAAACACAGGTATTTCTTGAAATTTATCCACACATGAGAAACAAGTCTGCTTTGGGCTTTAGATAGATTATTCTTGGATTAGAAGGAATTTTATTTTCCAAACATAGGGCATTTCCTTAGGCTGGTGTCTTCAGTGCTTCCTCATTGGGAGCCGCCTTCCTGACTCAGGGAATGCTGTGCTTTGCTGAGAGCCAAGTAGCCACTAAGAATATAGATTCTGGCTGCAGAGAACAAGCTGACATGGACTTTGTTCAGGCTGTAAACCATGGACAGCTGAAAAAGCTACCAAACTGGCCTTCTTGCCTCAAGTCTCTGTCCCTTCTGTTCAGGCTCCTCACTGCCACCAGAGTCATAGCCCTTAAACTCCGATCTAATTACCTCAGGTCTCTCTTAGAGACTTTCAAAAATTTCTCATGGCCCATGGCCAAAATTCCAATGCTGTGGTATTCCAGATTCCAGTGTCTTTTTTGATGGGCCTATCTGCAGACTCTTCCCCCATGACCCAGCTACATGGCACTGATCACTCACAGTGGCTTGAACACAGAGAGAAATCTCATACTTTCAAATTCGATCTCAAATCTCTACTTCTTGGAAGTCTTCTTTCCAGCCCACCATAACAAATGCAGGACCTGACACTAGGGTACAAGCAGAGGCCCTTACACCACAAATATTCAGCTGCTATATAAAATGTTCTATCCTCCTCCCTGACAAATGTGCCTTTATAACAATCTGTGATGCTTGATTTGAATTTAGAATGTTTGGACTCTGTAGAGAAAACAGGGAGAGATGTCTCTCAGCCCCCATTCCTTGCCCCATCCCTTCTCTTCTATTTCTACCCCTGGCTTTGCCCTGCATGTGAACACCCCAGTCCACATATGCAAGCTCTTCTAGGCCACCTCTCAAGAATATGGGGTCAACTGTCGGCATGGCTTGTTCTCAGGAGAATAGACCCAAGGACGAAGTCTTCACAAGCTCTGGAAGCAGGTTTGAGATACCTGGGAAAGGAATTCCAAGATCTCAGTTACCTGAACTGAGTTTAGTGGGCAAAGGAGTGGATGGGAACTAAGGGTGCAAGTAAAGGAGGGCCCAAACAGAATGCTCTAAACCAAGTAGCCCAGGGTAGGGCAGCAACCCTGAATTCCCTGGTTTTTCCTGAATAGAGTTAGTCACTTCCTCTTCTGTGCTCCCATAGCAGTCTATTCACGAGTTTGGCATTTTGTCATTGAAGATTGATGGATATATCTTCCAGACCATGTGCACCTTGAGGATAGGGCCATCTGAAAACAGTGCCGTAACTTAATTTACAGCAAACAACATTTCAATTCCTCTGTAAAGAATAAAAGTTTTCAAGCAATTAAAGTCTCAGGATACAAAATCAATATGCAAAAATCACTAGCATTCCTATATAACAACAGCAGGGAAGCAAAGAGCCAAATCATGAATAAATTCCCATTCGCAATTGCTGCAAAGAGAATAAAATATCTTGGAATACAGCTAACAAGGGAAGTGAAGGACCTCTTTAAGCAGAACTACAAACCACTGCTCAAGAAAATCGGAGAGGACACAAACAAATGGAAAAAACATTCCATGCTCATAGATAGAAAGAATCAGTATTGTGAAAATGGCCATACTGCCCAAAACAATTTACAGATTCAATGCTACTCTCATTAAACTACCATTGACCTTCACAGAATTAGAAAAGACTATTTTAAAAGTCATTTGGAACCAAAGAAGAGCCCAAATAGCCAAGACGATCCTAAGCAAAAAGAATAAAACTGGAGGCGTTATACTACCCAACTTCATACTAAACTACGAGGCTACAGTAACCAAAACGGCAGAGTACTGGTACAAAAACAGACACATAGACGAATGGAACAGAATAGAGATCTCAGAAATAAGACCACACATCCACAACTATCTGATCTTCAACAAACCTGACAAAAACAAGCGAGGGGGAAAGGATTTTCTATTCAATAAATAGTGCTGGGAGAAGTGGCTAGCCATATGCAGAAGACTGAAATAGGATCCCTTCCTTACGCCTCATAAAAAAATTAACTCAAGATGGATTGAAGACTTAAATGTAAAACCCCAAAAGATCAAAACCCTAAAAGAAAATCGAGGCAATACTATTCAGGACATAGGCACAGGCAAAGATTCATGATGAAAACATCAAAACCAATTGCAACAAAAGCAAAAGACAAATGGGATCTAATTAAAGAGCTTCTGCACAGCAAAAGAAACTATCATCAGAGTGAACATATAATCTACAGAATGGGAGAAGATTTTTGCAATCTATCCATCTGACAAAGGTCTAATATCCAGAATCTACAAGGAACTTAAACATTTACAAGAAAACAAACAAACATCCCCATTAAGAAGTGGGCAAAGAACGTGAATAGCCACTACTCAAAAGAAGACATTCATGTGGCCAGCAGACATATGAAAAAAAACTCAACATCCCTGATCATTAGAGAAATTCAAATCAAAACCACAGTGAGATGCTGTCTCACGCCAGTCAGAATAGTGATTACTAAAAAGTCAAGAAGAAATAGATGCTGGCGAGGTTGTGGAGAAAAAGGAACATTTTTACACTATTGGTGGGAATGTAAATTAGTTCAACCATTTTGGAAGATAGTGTGGTGATTCTTCAAAGACCCAGAACCAGAAATACCATTTGACCCAACAATCTCATTAGTGGGTATATACCCAAAGGAATATAAATCATTCTATTATAAAGATACTTGCATGCATATGTTCATTGCAGCACCATTTGCAATACCAAAGACATGGAATCAACCCAAATACCCATCAATGATAGACTGGATAAAGAAAATATGGCACATATATACCATGGACTACTATGCAGTCATAAAAAGGAACAAGATCATGTCCTTTGCAAGGACATGGATGGAGCTGGAAGCCATTATCCTCAGCAAACTAATGCAGAAACAGAAAACCAAACACCACATGTTCTCATTTATAAGTGGGAGGTGAACGATGAGAATACAAGCATACGATATGGGAGGGGTGGAACAACACACACTGGGACCTGTTGGGGGGCTGGGGGGAGGGAAAGTATCAGGTAGAATAGTTAATGCATGCTTGGCTTAATACCCAGGTGATGGGTTGATCTGTGTAGCAAACCACGATGGCACACATTTAGCTATGTAACAAACCCGCACATCCTGCCCATGTACCCCAGAACTTAAAAGTTGAAGGAGAAAAAAAAAAGAGCAATTATGTACACACACACATACACATACACATGTGCGTGGGCACACACTTCCTCTTCAATTAGTCTTCAGGCCCAATTTTCTCTTTTAATTACTTTGGCTAGCATTAAGAATCTACTAATCTCTAGAAATGGACAAAATGACTGCCATTTTTATTTACTAATTCCTACCATACTGAAAAATATTATATATTCCAAAAACCATAGTTCTGCTCTAAATTTCAGAACAGTCTACATATTCCAGCACTCTGTCTTCTTAATGTTCTGCAAATGACTTCTTATTTTAAATGAATACCAAAAGTGACCTCTGAGTATTCTTGGCCTCGATTAGGTGTGTGAATAGGAATGCTCTACACTGTTGAGCAAAAATCCTAGAAAATAATTCTCTCCTCTAGGGAACAGATCACAAAAGCAGCTCCTCTGTGTCTGAACATTCATCACCGGAAGGCTTCCCTTGCCACTTCCTGTCACTCATTGCTGTATGCTTGGGGATAGAAGTTAATGTCCCAGGGATAACAACAGATATGCTTATATGTGTTACTAAACTCTGTTCCTTTCGTTGGCTAGACTACAGCATGGTTTACAGCAGCCAAGATTATAGACTTGATTCTCATAAAGGCCACTTGGAAAGTTGATCACCCAGCCTTTTTCTGTAAATGGATCCTGAGAATTCTCTGGAGGTACCAGTTATAAATTACTAGCCAGGAACTGCCTCCTTCCATCTGGCAAGGATAGTGTCCTGAAAAGTAGGATGCCTAGAGGGCAGTGATGGAGGAAGGGGACCCATCTGCTCAGTTAGCCACATCGTGGAGCTCACAGATATGTGATATGTGGATGTTGAAGCGATGCTACCTTCACAGTCTCATGGACTAGTCAGCTTTATGTAGAGAATTTTTTTTTCAAGGGCCAACTGTTGACCCTCCAGCCCTGGAAAGCCATGCTATCCCAGGTCACAGAAGGTGGGTAGTGAGAAGGGCATTCAGGACACATGAAGCATCCCCGCACATTGCCCCTCCCTAGAGAGCTCACTCAGTTTACCTCCAAGTTACAGAGCATCAGGAATGCTTTAATGCAGGCAGGGAAGCTCTACTTGAATTCCAGTTTCACAAAGTCAAAACCTCCTTAGTTAGCTTCCTATTTCACCTGAAATGAATTAGGCTTAACTTGAAAGCTTCAGTCTGTATTTCTGGTTGTCGCCACTTATTTCCCTTCTCAGTAAACCCTTTCTCCACATTTCCTTCCATCTCCCTTGCTCACTGTCTAATTAAGGAAGGGGTGAGGGAGAAGGTGAATCAGGCAGTTTCTGTATTGTACCACCTGTGGTGACAGACCCTTTGAAATCAAGGGTGTGCTCTAGTTCTAGGGGTGCTGGCAGCAGGAACAGAGCACGAAGAGCCGAGGGAGGCAAGTGGAGAGGCTGCTTTACCATGAAGGTAGGGGTGACAGGAAACGGGACTCCACAATACCCCATTACAACTTCTTCCCCCCAGGTAGGATCCTGGCATGGGTGGGGTCCATCCACATCACTCTAGGTGCTCCCTAAACCCTGGCCTCTTTGTTCTGGGATCCACACTCAGCACCCACAATACCTAGCAGAATGTGAGTTCACCCTCTCCTCATTTTGTTTACTCTCCTTCTTTTGTCTAGCCACCCTCCAACTGCCCTTTCTCCCTCACCTTCTCCTGTATCTTCTGGAACTCTCATTTGCTTCACAAGCCACAGCCTTGATTCTTTAGTGTGTTGAGGTCAAAAGATTTCATTGGTTGGAATTAGACTGGGTTTGTGTTGCAGCTTGGCCTGATCTATCTGGCTTTGGGAAAGTGACCCAGCTAGTGTGAGGCCCAGATGGTTTTAGGATGGTTTTAGGGAAGGTAGTATGACTCTGATGGTCAGTGGGGGACATGAAAGTTGAAAGGCTGATAAAGATGAAGTGCATGTGAAAAGCCACCTCACCCACCAAGTCACCCTTTGGTACCACCACTGTTCTTAAAAACCTCTCCAAACATTGGCTTCTCTATTTATAAAACAAAAAGCTTGTTGTGGGAAATAAATGAGATGTCTGTGATACACCTATATAGTGCCTGGTATATGGTATGAGCTCAGTCACTATTAGTGCCATTGTCTACCCTCCCCTGCCTGCTGGGACCAGCACTGAGGAAACTCCTCCTCTTGTAGCCTTCTCTACAGTGGAAGTGGAAGCTGCCCAGTTATTTCCCCAGTTGGGGACCTCTGCTCTAGGTGATCGAGTAATCCTTCAACTCCACTCCTCACCCCAAACTCTACTGCAGTTTTGCTCATCCTTTCTGTCCTCAATCCTTTCCAAAATTGGTTCTCTCATTTGTGCTCTGGAATACATTCCCCATCTTCCTCCAGCACCTTGTTCTGTCTCCTATTTCCTCTCACATCTTCAATCCCTTTATTCTTATTGTGTCTTTAACTCTCCTTGTTTTTTCTAAACTTCCTGAATTGGCAGTCCATACTCACATGATCCTTTCCTAACCTTCCCTTCCATATGCAATCCACAATAAATGACTGACTTCTCCCACCCTGCCTCAATGATGCTGCCTTTTATAAAAAAGATAACAACTGGTGAGCCCCAATTGCCAAATCCAAGGTCAATGCCTGTCTCTTGTCTTTTTTACTTCTCTAGACCTTGACCCTGTTGAGCCACTTTTTCCCCTTTGGAGAATACAGCATGACTTTTCCTCGTTCTTCATGTCTTCACTATTTTTGTCTCTTGTTAATTTGTTCATTTCTTAATTCAATAACTTTTTATTAGAATCCTACTATGTAACCCAGCACTACACCAGGGAGTGCATATGAATATGTAGATAAGAGTCCTATGTACCTTAAGGAGTTTATAGTGCACTGAAAGAAACAGTCGTGCAAAAATAACAACATATTGCTCTATGTGCAAAAGGGACAGTGCATACCAGTAACACAGAATTCCCCAGTCCTCTGCCTGAGCTCTAGCCTTGCTCCTCAAAATGTTGTCCCTTGAAGCAATAGCAGCAGCACCATATGGGTATTTGTAAAAAGACACAGTTGGGGTACCCAATTGTGTCTACTGAACCTACTGAACCAAAATCCCTGGGAGTGAGGCTCAGGCATTGGTCATCCTTGTTGGTCTCATCTCCTGAAGCTTCCTGTGAATTCTGCTCTCCAATATTCAAGATTCCCAGCTCTGAATCATCTGCATAAAAGTATGCATTCTTCAGGATATGGCCTGATGTCACACCCTTTGTGGGACTTCATGGCATCTATTTTCCTCTAAAGTAGAATTCATTACCCCCATCTCTGTTTATGCCATTTGCAAAGAATTTATCACCTTGTTTAATTTGATTCTATGTTTATTGTCAGTTTGGTTCTATGAATGTTTATTGAGCACTATCAGATACTATGGAAAAGTCTAAGATACAGAGGAAAGAAGAAATCATTTCTTGTCAAAGGAGCTTGCAGTCTATTGTGGCTAATTATGCATATAACTATTCTTTCTTGCCTTTCTTTGAGTAATTTGTATGTTGAATACAAATGTTCCAGTCTTCACTTAAGCATTGATTTTTTTTTCAAGTGGTGGATAGTGAAACTATAAAGAAATGGGACAACCATAATTGAATAACCTTGGACTAACAATTCATATTCACTGTGCACACATGTTGGTTGATATGGTTTGGCTCTGTGTCCTCTCCCAAATCGCATGTTGAATTGTACTCCCATAATTCCCACATGTTGTGGGAGGGACCTGGTGGGAGATAATTTGAATAATGGGGGAAGTTTCCCCCAAACTGTTCTCATGGTAGAGAATAAGTCTCACGAGATCTGATGGTTTTATCAGGGGTTTCCACTTTTGCATATTCCTCATTTTCTCTTACTGCCACCATGTAAGAAGTGCCTTTTGCCTCCTGCCATGATTCTGAGGCCTCCCTAGCCATGTGGAACTGTAAGTCGAATTAAACCTCTTTTTCTTCCCAGTCTTGGGTATGTCTTTATCAGCAGCATGAAAATGGACTAATACAGTAAATTGGTACCAGTAGAGTGGGGCGTTGCTGAAAAGATACCTGAAACTGTGGACGTGACTTTGGAACTGGGTAACAGGCAGAGGTTGGAACAGTTTGGAGGGCTCAGAAGAAAACAGGAAAATGTGGGAAAATTTGGAACTTCCTAGAGACTTGTTGAATAGCTTTGACCAAAACCCTGATAGGGATATAGACAATAAGGTCCAGGCTGAGGTGGTCTCAGATGGAGATGAGAAACTTGTTGCAAACTACAGCAAAGGTGACGCTTGTTATGTTTTAGCAAAGAGACTGGTAGCATTTTGCCCCTGCCCTAGGGATTTCTGGAACTTTGAACTTGAGAGAGATTATTAAGGGTATCTGGCAAATAAATTTCTAAGCAGCAAAGCATTCAAGAGGTGACTTGGGTGCTGTTAAGGACATTCAGTTTTATAAGGGAAGCAGAGCATAAAAGTTTGGAAAATTTGCAGCCAACAATGTGAAAGAAAAGAAAAACCCATTTTCTGAGGAGAAATTCAAGCCGGATGCAGAAATTTACATAAGTAACAAGGAGTCAAATGTTAATCCCCAAGACAATGGGGAAAATGTGTCCAGGGAATTTCAGAGGTCTTCATGGCAGCCCCTCCCATCACAGGCCCAGAGATCTAGGAAGAAAAAATGGTTTCATGGGCAAGGCCCAGGGCCCCCACGCTGTGTGCAGTCTAGGGACTTGGTTCCCTGTGTCCCAGACACTCCCACAATGACTGAAAGGGGCCAAAGTACAGCTCGGGCCATGACTTCAGAAGGTGTAAACCCCAAGCCTTTACAACTTCCATGTGGTGTTGATCCTGTGGGTGCACAAAAGTCAAGAATTGAGGTTTGGGAACCTCTGCCTAGATTTCAGAGGCTGTATGGAAATGCCTGGATGTCCAGACAGAAGTTTGCTGCAGGGGTAGGGCTTTCATGGAGAACCTCTCCTAAGGCAGTGCAGAAGGGAAACGTGGGGTCAGAGCCTCCACACAGAGTCCCTACTGGGGCACCAGCCTGTGAAAGCAGCCAGGAGGGAGGCTGTACCTTGAAAAGTCACAGGGGTGGAGCTGCCCAAGACCATGGGAACCCTTGCATCAGTGTGACTCGGATGCGAGACATGGAGTCAATGGAGATCATTTCGGAGCTTTAATATTTGACTGCCCTCCTGGATTTCAGACTTGCGTGGGACCTGTAGCCCCTGGATTTGGCCAATTTCTCCCATTTGGAACAGCTGTATTTACCCAATGCCTGTATCTAGGAAGTAACCAACTTGCTTTTGATTTTACAGGCTCATAAGCAGAAGGCACTTGCCTTGTCTTAGATAAGATTTTGGACTGTGGATTTTTGTGTTAATGCTGAAATGAGTTAAAACTTTGGGGGACTGCTGAGAAGGCATGGTTGGTTTTGAAATGTGAGGACATGAGATTTGGATGGGCCAGGGATGTAATGTTATGGTTTGGCTCAGTGTCCCCACCAAAATCTCATCTTGAATTGTACTCCCACAATGCCCAAATGTTATGGGAGGGACGCAGTGGGAGATAATTTGAATTATGAGGGTGGTTTCTCCCATACTGTTCTCATGGTAGTGAATAAGTCTCATGAGATCTGATGGTTTTATCAGGGGTTTCTGCTTTTGCATGGGGTTCCTCATTTTCTCTTCCTGCCACCATGTAAGGAGTGCCTTTTGCCTCCCGCCATGATTCTGAGGCCTCCCCAGCCATGTGGAACTGTAAGTCAAATTAAACCTCTTTTTCTTCCCAGTCTTGGGTATATCTTTATCAGCAGCATGAAAATGGACTAATACATTGGTACCCTCCAGAATCCATTTCAAATTCCCTCTTCCTGGCAGCCTCTAGTTTCTGTCTGTGTATCCTCCAGTTCAACAGAAGCTCTAGGGGTAGAGCATGCATCCAAAACAGACAGAATATCAAGACTTCTGTTGGATGTTGGTGGCAGTGATAGATGTAGGAGAAGCATAGTGCGAAGAGAGCCCCTAGCACCTATTTGGAGATGACAGGGAGAAAGCCTGTGGAAAATGGGAGCCTAGAAGTCAAATCTGAGAAATCAAAATAGAGAAATTGTTTGTTCACATTATTTTTGAACCAAACCTCATCTGATTTTTTCCCATCACATTAGCTATAAATTCCTTTCCTTGATGAAACTACTGTGGTTTGGGTGTTCTATTACTGATAATCGTAAACATCCTAATTGTTAAAATCTTCTACTTGAATCCAAAGAACAATAACTGATTTGCTATCTGAAAAATGAACCTTTGCTGTCACTATAGGCTGATTAATTCACAAATAAAGTTAAGTGTAGGTCTTTCTCTTGGTCTTACCTGAGAAACTACAGATTCCTAGAACTGCATGACGACATTAAACTTTCTTTAACAACATTCTACAATAGCCACAGATTCGCAAATCTGTTGCTTTTTTTTTTTTTTTTTTTGAGACAGAGTCTCACTCTGTCACCCAGGCTGGAGTGCAGTGGCTCAATCTCAGCTCACTGCAACCTCTGCCACCCAGGTTCAAGCAATTCTCCTGCCTCAGCCTCCCAAGTAGATGGGATTACAGGCTCCCGCCACTGCACCTGGCTAATTTTTCTTTTTTCTTTTCTTTTTTTTTTTTTGAGATAGAGTCTTGCTCTGTTGCCCAGGCTGGAGCGCAGTGCTGCAATCTTGGCTCACTGCAACCTTCGTCTCCCAAGTTCAAGCGATTCTCCTGCCTCAGCCTCCTGAGTAGCTGGGATAACATTCACGCACCACCATGCCCAGCTAGCTTTTGTATTTTTAGTAGAAACAGGGTTTCACGGTGTTGGTCCTGTTGGTTGAACTCCTGACCTCGTGATCTGCCTGCCTCAGCCTCCCAAAGTGCTGGGATTACAGGCGTGAGCCACCACACCCAGCCTAATTTTTGTATTTTTAGTAGAGACAGGGTTTCACCATCTTGGCCAGGCTGGTCTTGAACTCCTGACCTTGTGATCCACCAGCCTCGACCTCCCAAAGTGCTGGCATTACAGGCGTGAGCCACTGCACCTGGCCCATTTGTTGCTTTTCATTACTGTATCTGTCTGGTTAATATTTATTTATTTATTTTTAAGGCAAGGTCTCACTCTGTCACCCAGGCTGGAGTGCAGTGGCATGATTTTGGCTCACTGTAGCCTCAACTTCCCTGGCTCAGGTGATTCTCCCACCTCAGCCTCCTGAGTCGCTGGGACTACAGGTGCCTCCTCCATGCCCTGCTAATTTTTGTATTTTTTGTATAGACAGAGTTTCACCATGTTGTCCAGGCTGGCCTCAAACTACTGGCCTCAAGTGATTCACCCACCTCAGCCTCCCAAAATGTTGAAATTACAGGCAGGAGCCACCATGCTCTGCCTGTGATGGTTAATTTTATGTGTCAACTTGACTGGGTCATGGGGCACCCAGATATTTGATTAAACATTATTTCTGGGTATGTCTGTGAGGATTATTTCAGATGAGATTAGCATTTGAATGGGTAGACTGAATAAAGCAGATTGCCCCTGCAATATGGGTGGGCCTCATCCAATTAACTGAGGGCCCGAATAGAACAAAAAGGTGGAGGAAGGGAGAATTTACTCTCTCTGCCTGATTTTGTGAGCTGGAACATTGGTCTTCTCCTGTCCTCAGACTGTAACTTATGCCATCAGCTCTCCAATTCTCAGGCTTTCAGACTTGAATTGAAACTATGCCACTGGTTTTCCTTGGCATCTAGCTCGCAGATGACAGATGGGACTTCTTAGCCTCCATAATTTCATGAGCCAGTTTCTCATTATACAAACAGAGTAAGTAGATGAGCGCTTTCACTTAAAAAAATGGGCATTTGTAAATGTATGAGACAGGAAATCCTAAGCACATACGCTGTTCACACACAAAGAAACATGCCTGGTTGTGTGCACCATGACATATACAATGTACTTTTTACCTCGAGTTGTTTTTTCTTTGCTGCTACATGCAAAAGCCGTAGTAGATGGTACTGTTCTGGCTGTTCCAGCTGAGACATCAAGGCCAGGAGTTCTGTCAGGTGTCTATTAATTGGCTGAGGCTGCTTTTCATACACAGCAGGTAACACTCTCAACAACATGGTGTTACCTGTTGAGGGAACAATAAAGGGAATGATGACTTTATCAGGCCATGAGCAACAGAAATAACATTATTACCAATGTAATAATATTTGCACTTACACATTAAATAGCACAGACTGATGGCCAATTCTTTTGCTAAAAATAACATGGTACCTTATTCTGAGATTAAAATGTGATTTAATCCGATTCCACAAAAGGAAATATTTTATGATATAATCAGCACCATTAACTAATGAAAAATTTTGCTAAGTAATGCACCATGGGGATAGAGGAACTTTGACAGTAATCAGACCACACCCTTGAGAAGGAAACAGTTCCAATAAAGAATTCCTGATGATAAACAAAATTTAAACGATGTTTAAATGAAAACTAAGCAGTGCTGTAATCATGGACCTAAATGAAACTGAACAACAAAAAAAGTGCAAAGGAATGAATTCACATTCCTGGAAGACACAGAATCATAATTTAGACAACTCACATACAGAAACTATGCCTTATTTTATGAATAGTTTAAGAAGTAGTAATGCAAATTTAAATCCCCAATTTCTGCACTATTTCAAGGGAAGTTTAGCCTCAGCTGATTTGTCACACATAATTTCCTCAAAGATATGTATAGACAACTAGATTTATAATGGCAAAACCTCAAGAAAACTATTACATAACGTATAGAAACTTATCTGCAATCAACATATGGGCAACATCTGCTTATCACTCTATGGTATAGATTTTTTTTCTCAAAATCCTCACAAGTACTTAAATGTCTCAGGGGAATTGGTTTCTAGGGATTTTTTGAACAAGAATTTTTTTGACTCTACTTTTACTTTAAATTTGGCTTTGTATATAGAAGCCATACACAGAAAGAATCAAATAAGAAGGAATTACACATATATGGACCTTCATTAAATGGTAGGAACATGCCTATATATAAAAGACAATTTAGATATGATCATTAAAGAAAGAAGGCCAGAATTTTCAGAATATCAATATCTAAATTTAACGAAAGCGTGATTCTGGATAAAACTGAATGAATTGAATGAATTTGGGAGATAATAAAAAATGAGAATTGTTTTTTCCACATGTAGTTCATAGAATAAGTCTAAAACAGGTTTTATCATGTTCCCCAGAATACAAGTTGTTGGAAATATTTAGAGTTTTCTTTTAAAAGGTTGTGTTCGTCAGTATTTATTTTCAATAGTTTAATTTTCAACAATTTGTTTTGTTTTCTGTTTATTTTACTATGAGCGTCTCCTTAAAAGATCAGGAATTTTTTAATGCAATACCCAATTTGTAAAGCCCAAGTTAGATTATAGAACTTAGTTATGAGGACATACTGATCAACTGCTAAAAATGGTCACATTAAAAGGGACTGTAGTTGCAGTCTAAGACAGGAAACTGTTGCATGGCATTTCGGTACAAAACTCACTACAGAGGCCCTGGGAGCCTTGAAGGGAAAAACCCCAGATTAGTCATTTTTCAGCTGACTTGAATTTCAATCAAATAATACAAAAAACAAATGCAGAACTTTTGCAGAAATCTTATAAATTCCATTAGTCAATAATACCTTCTTTTAAATTATGAAATAGTTCAAGTCATCAAACAAATGTAGGCAATAATATAAGGAACATTGGTGTGCCTACCAACCAGATTTGTCAAAACTTAACCTTATATGATAATTGCTTTTCATCCCATTTGTTTCCTTTTCTCCCCAGAGGCAACCATCATCCTAAAGGGAGTATTTATGATCTCCATAAGTATTTTTACACTTTAATTACATGCGTATGTATCAATAAACATTATATAGTATTGTTTTGGATGCTTTAAAATTTTATGTGAATACCATCATACTCTACACATCCCTTCGCAACATATTTTTTTCCTATTCAACATTTTGTAGGAGTTATATCTCCAAGAAGCTCTCCTTCATTTACTCTCACAGCCATGTGTTATTCCAGTGTATAAATATGCAACAACTTATTCATATACTCTCTGTGATTGAAAGACATTATGTTGTCATTATTATTCATTGCCTTAATCAATAATGCTGAAATAACTGTCTCTTTGTGCAAAAATGAGAGATATTTCTTAGGGTAGTGCTTCTGAGTCTAATGTGCTTAGAAGTCACCTGGGCATATCTTTAAAACACAGATGTTGATTCAACAGGTTGGAGGTAGGGTTTGAGCGTCTGAATTTCTAACAAGCTCTCAGGTGACACTGATGGTCCATTGACCAAATAGTTAGTTAAGTGGCAAAGCACTGAGTATGTCCCTAGGAGTTGACTTTGTAGATGTTCCAAAATTTCTTTGTGAAGCAGTTGTATTCATTTTCTATAGCTGTTATTAGAAATTATCTCAAAATTAGTGGCCTAAAATAACACAAATTTATTATCTTATATTTCTGTAGTTCAGAAGTCTGACATAAGTCTCCCTAAGTTAAAATCAATGTGTGCCCAGGGCTGGGTTCCTTCCTGGATGCTCTAGGAGAGAATTTGTTTCCTTGGCTTAACCAGTGATATGCTTTGGCTCCGTGTCCCCACCTAAATCTCATCTTGAATTGTAATCCTCACGTGTCAAGGGAGGGACCTGGTGGGAGGAGGTTGGATCATAAGGGTAGTTTTATCCATGCTGTTTTCATGATAGTGAGGGAGTTCTCATGAGATCTGATGGTTTAAAAGTGGCAGTTTCCGCTGTACTCTCCCTCACTCCTGCTGCCATGTAAGACGTGCCTTGTTTCCCCTTTGCTTTCCGCCAGGATTGTAAGTTTCCTGAGGCCTCCTCAGCCACGTGGAACTGAGTCAATTAAACCTCTTTTCTCCATAAATTACCCAGTCTCAGGTAGTATCTTTATAGCAGTGTGAAAACAGACAGATACATCCAGCTTTTAGAGGCTGCCTGAATTTCTTGGTTTGTGGCCCCTTTCTCCATCTTCACAGCCAGCAACATGGCATCTCTCTGATCCCTGTTCCTTCATCTCATCTCTCCCCTTGATTCTCTCTTCTGCTTCCCTTTTCCACTTTTAAGGACCCTTGTGATTGTATTGGGTTTAACTGAATAATCTAGGATTATCTCCCTATCTTATTTAGCAACCTTAATTCTATCTGAAATGCATATTACATAACATGTTCACAGGTTCCGGGGATTAGAACATGGACATCTTTGGGGGACCAGTATTCTGCCTACCACCAAGATTATGACAATCTACTCCCACCAGCAGCATGAGTGTTTCTGTTGGTCCACATTCTTGCCAACATTTGGTTGTGACAGACATCAGTGTTTGCTAATCTGATGGGATGTATCTAATATTTTTGCTTTAATTTTCATTTCCCAATTACTTGTTATATATTATATATAACAAATTATATATATACATATATATATAATTGTTTCTGAGATGGAGTCTCACACTGTTGTCTGGGCTGGAGTGCAGTGGCGTGATCTTGGCTCACTGCAACCTCCGCTTCATGGGTTCAAGTGATTCTCCTGCCTCAGCCTCCCAAATAGCTGGGATTACAGGTGCCTGCCAACACACCCAGCTAATTTTTTTGTATTTTTAGTAGAGATGGAGTTTCACTATGTTGGCCAGGCTGGTCTCAAACTCCTGACCTTGTGATCTGCCCGCCTCAGCCTCTCAAAGTGCTGGGATTACAGGCGTGAGCCACCACACCCAGCCCTTTTCATATATTTATAGGTGATTTCCTCACTTGTGATTTGGCCATTCACATTCTTTGCCTATATGCTATTAGGATGTTGCCATTTTTTCTTATTAATTTTTAGAAGTTCCTTAATTATTCTGAGCTACTGAATGAATTTTTGATTTATTGATTTAAAATTATATTCTTAATATAGTCAACTGTTTTCATTTTTTTACTTCATGGTTTAGGTTTTTTTGTTAGAAATTTTTCTGTATTCCAGGGTCATAAAAATATTCTCCTATATTTTCTCTTAAAGGCATTATGGTTTTGCTTTCTTGTAGTTGTCTTCAATCTGTCTGGAAATGACTTTGGTACATAGGAGGAAGAAGTTTAATTATATGTTTTTCTTTGTATACAAATAATTTTTTCTATTGAGTAGTCAATTGTTACTCTTCTGATTTGCCACACCTCTTTCATATATTAGGTTTTCCATATGTGTTTGGGTCTGTTTCTGGGCATTTATCCATCTCTTCATCAAGTCTACATTTTCTTAATTACAATAATTTTATAATAAATCATTATATCCCATAGGACCTACTTCCTGACCTCCTACTTCTTCAAGCTCTTCTTGGCTACTCTATACAAATTTTAGTATCAGTCTGTCAACATCCTTGAAAAACCAGACTGGGACTTCTTTTTCATATTGAACATATTGACTAATTTGGCATAACTGACATCTTCGTAAAACTGAGTCTTCTCATTTAAGGAGATAATTTATCTTTCTGTCTATGTAGATCTTTTTATGTTTTTAAATAAGGTGTTATAATTAGCTTTGTCTTATGTTAAATTGTTGCTTAGGTATCCCATAGCTATTTTTGCTACTGTAAATGAAAACTTTATTTGCAAAGGCATTTTCAATTTATCTGCTGGTATTAATAAAGCAATAGATTTTTGTATGTTGATCTTATATCCAACAAAAGTTGCTCAGTTCTTATTAATATGTCTTTTGAGTCTCTTAGATTTTTCTTTATGTAGATGATCCACTCATGATAAATAATAACAACTTCATTTCTTTCCATCCTAATCCTTATGTTTCTTCTCCTTATGTCCTTATGTCCTACTTTATGGGCAGGGACTTCCAATACACACTTTGATGAATAGAGTCACTGTCCACGGGTATCCTTGTGTTAATCCTGCTTTTCAAAAGTATGTTTCCAAGGATTTACAATTACATATGTATCTGTTTCTATAGGTTTTGGTATTTATGTTTTTTTCAGTTTAAGTAAGTTCCTGTCTGCTTTCTAGTTTGATTATTTTGAGTGCTGAATTTTATCAAACATTCTTCTCATCTATTGATATGATGATTCTTCTCCTTTAAACTGTTAATGTAATAAGTTAACAGCTATTCTAACATTTAATCAATCTTGCAGTCTTGGAATAAACTCAACTTGCTTATGATATATTTTTATGCACATTGCTGTGCATAATGTGTATTTTTATGCATATTGCTGTGTTTGGCTAATACTTTATTTAGAGCTGTTGCATCAACATTCTTAATGAGAGAGATTGCAGTTTTCCTTTCTTGTATTGTCCTTTTCTCTTTTTGGTATCATACTTAGTAGACATGTAAAATGAATTTAGCACATTCCTGAACACTCTATTCTCAGAAGCAGTTTGTACAAAACGGGGATTATGTGTTCCTTGAATGTTTGGTAGAACTTGTCCATCAAACCATCTGGGCAGTACTCTATATACTTCATTATATCAAGCTTTAAGTTATGTAGTTTAAGTTTCTGTATCCTTTGGCAGGCTTTTTTTTCGCATTTGAATGATCAGTTATGATATATGTGAACTTATCAGCTTTGTTAAAATCTCCCTCCATGATTATGGATTTGCCCATTTCTCCTTATAATTCTGTCAACCTTTGGTTTATATTTTTTGAAACTATATTACTAGATAATTCAGAGATATCTTCCTGTTAAAGTATTTCTTTGTATCATAATTTAACTATCCTCTTTTGCCTAAGTCTATTTTTTACTGATATTACTACTGCTATGCTAGCTTTTTTGAATAATACTTGCTTGGTGTGTTCTCTTCCTCCCCTCCAATTTAAAGCTTTTAACTTTTAACATTTCTACTTTATGTTTTATGCATAGCTTTTGTAAGTGATGTATAGCTGGATTTTTAAAATATTTCTTCTCTCTCTCTCTCCTTTTCTTTTTTTCAGGGTCTCTTTCTGTCGCCCAGGCTGGAACGCAGTGGTGTGATCACAGCTCACTGCAGCCTCCACTTCCCAGGCTCAAGTGATCCTCCTGCCTCAGCCTCCTGAGTAGCTGAGACTACAGGTGCATATCACCACACCAGATTAATTTTTAAATTTTTTGTGCAGATGAGGGTCTTGCTATGTTGATCAGGCTGGTCTCAAACTCCTGGCTTCAAGTGATCCTCCTACTTTGGCCTCCCAAAGTACTGGGATTCTGAACGTGAGCCCCGACTAAAATATTTCTATATGACAAATAGAAATATTTGTCTCTTAACTGGAAAATGTGTTTCATTAATATTTATGGTAATTATTGGTATATTTTGATTTAATTTTAGCAAATAATATTGTACTTTTAACTTATCCTTCTCTGTGCTTTTCTTTCCTCCTTCATTAATTTTTTTTTCATAGATCAAGTCTTTCTTTAAAAATTCCCCCTGCACCTTCTATTCGGATGCCTATGTCCATTTGGTAGTTGTCCTTAAACTTATAACAAATATTTTTGAGCAAAGCAAAATTAATTAATTTCTTTTTCGTCCTCCTGAACAATGAAATGATTTTAGAATCCTATTACTGAACATAAAAGCAGCACATTTTAGATTATTTCCTTATATCTGTCTTCCAGTTCATTAATATTCTTTTCAGCTTTGCCTAATTTGCCACTTAATCCATGCCTTGAGCTTTTAAAATTTTCAATTAACTTTTTTTTTTAATTCTAGAAGTTTTATTTGGTTCTTTAAAAAAAATCACCTAGCCTTTTTCTTTTTGACAATGTCTTATTCTTTTCTCATATTTCCAATTCCTTCTTTTAGAGCTTCAGTAGTTTTAAACATATTTATTTTCTAGTTTTTTGGCTGATATTTCAACTAAATGCAGTTCTTGGGGAGAGGTGTCTAATCCTTTTTGGTTTCTGCTGATTCTCATTTATAGTGGTTTGCTTCCTCATATGTTCAAATATCATTGTGAATTCTTTTTTGTTTTCACAGTGGCAGATAGTATATATTTGAATTCTAAACATATCTGAGGGCAGGCCCAATTTCACAAACTCAAAGGGACCTTGTAGAGTTCAAAGAGAGACATGATTGCTTCCTACCTCTTTGTGCTAGGGCAGAGTGGGATTGTACCTACTGAAATACAGTAGGTAACCCTGTGAGGGTCCTGGCTTTCATGAGGATCTCCCTTCTAACTCTCCACCTTTGGCCTAAGCTTTGCTTCCACATGGTCATCAACATTTGGTGGTTATAGAACTAATAACCCCTATCTCACTTCACTCCTATGCCAGAGGGGCCCTAGCATCAGCTCATGGGATTGTTGTTTTTGCTTTCCTCTCTATCTTTGGCTCCGGGATTTTCCCCTTACTTTAATGGGAGCTCATCTGTACCTTTTAAGTTTTTATTAATATCATGTGAACACAGACCTGTATATATTGTTAGAAGCAGAAATCTCTAAGTTTACTTTTAAAACATGATCCTTGCCTCGAAACCTTGTAGAATAATATAATGTCCACATAATACCAAGTTATGAAAAGAAACATACCTAAATAACTAAATAAGTATATTCCTTTTTTCCCCCAGCTTTTTTTCCCCATTCTAGGTTTACCCAGTTGTACTGTGTTGTTTGTCATAGGCCGGGTGAGGTGGCTCACGTCTGTAATCCTAGCAATTTGGGAGGCGAAGGCGGGTGGATCGCCTGAGGTCAGGAGTTCGAGACCAGCCTGGCTAACATGGTGAAACCCTGTCTCTACTAAAAATACAAAAATTAACTGGGTGTGGTGGCGGGTGCCTGTAATTCCAGCTACTTGGGAAGCTGAGGTAGGAGAATCGCTTGAACCCAGGATGCGGAGGTTGCAGTGAGCCGAGATCACACCATTGCACTCCAGCCTGGGCAACAAGAGCGAAATTCAGTCTCAAAAAAAAAAATTATCTATAAAAGTATAGGTGCAACTCCTCAAGTATTAAAGACAAGATAGCTCGGATTGGACTTGACTTTCAGAGCCATAACTATTCTTAATATGTTGGTTTATCTTGGAATCAGACCATTTTCAGTTTCAACCTGTAAAACAGTGTACAAAGGAAACATGGAAAGTTTTCTATATATAAAGGGTTGTGAAATAATAACAGCTCACAGAAAATGCTGAAATGATGATTTGCTTCAGTACCCTCTGAAATTTCTCCCCTACCACCCCTCCTTCATCCCCATTGCTATCAATTCAAATTACAACAGCTAATTCTCAGGAGAACAGTAGAAGCCCAGTTTCTCTCCTCTTTCCCCTCTGACCCTCCTCCAATTAATCTGACTGCAGCGTAAACCTTTGCGGTTTAATATTGTGCAACTTCCACATTTCCCTCGCTCTCCCACCCAGCCCCCTCCCCCACCAAATTCAGGGGAACTCCCGTTACCGCAGTGCCACCAGCATTACTCATTCATCCCCATTCAGGCTTTCCTCAGCATTTATTAAGGACTCTCTGCTCCAGCCTCTCACTCTCACTCTCCTCCGCTCAAACTCAGCTCACTTGAGAGTCTCCTCCCGCCAGCTGTGGAAAGAACTTTGCGTCTCTCCAGCAATGCATCTCCTTGCGATTCTGTTTTGTGCTCTCTGGTCTGCAGTGTTGGCCGAGAACTCGGATGATTATGATCTCATGTATGTGAATTTGGACAACGAAATAGACAATGGACTCCATCCCACTGAGGACCGTAAGTTCACTTTAACTGTTTCTCTGCTAACCCTGACTACATATCCACCTCTTGGTCTAAATAACACACATATACTTTGTGGCCAGTGAGACAAGTTAAAAATTTATAGCTTGTTATGCAAAAGTGAGAAGCACTTGAAGAAAGATGGAGGTTTCAAAGTTATTTCTGTAACGTACATAATGGGTTGAATCATATCAAATCGTCAATATTTGACTGTTTTGAGCTACATAACCGGCGATTTCATAGGGTACAACTTAATCTATACCTGAATGAATGATTTCTGTCGTTTCTGAGACATTTACATGCTGTTTTTCGGAGGTGTCCTTAAAGGGAAGGGGAATGCCAGGAACGGGCTGCAACTTGGCACCACCGAGGGAGGTCAGCTTTTACAAAGCACATCCAAGGCAGGCCTGGGCGGGCTGCTAACGTGTGTGTATCCCGTACTCTAGCCACGCCGTGCGCCTGCGGTCAGGAGCACTCGGAATGGGACAAGCTCTTCATCATGCTGGAGAACTCGCAGATGAGAGAGCGCATGCTGCTGCAAGCCACGGACGACGTCCTGCGGGGCGAGCTGCAGAGGCTGCGGGAGGAGCTGGGCCGGCTCGCGGAAAGCCTGGCGAGGCCGTGCGCGCCGGGGGCTCCCGCAGAGGCCAGGCTGACCAGTGCTCTGGACGAGCTGCTGCAGGCGACCCGCGACGCGGGCCGCAGGCTGGCGCGTATGGAGGGCGCGGAGGCGCAGCGCCCAGAGGAGGCGGGGCGCGCCCTGGCCGCGGTGCTAGAGGAGCTGCGGCAGACGCGAGCCGACCTGCACGCGGTGCAGGGCTGGGCTGCCCGGAGCTGGCTGCCGGCAGGTAAGGAGGCAAGCGGGGCCGGGACCTCCCACTGCGGCTTTGTTCCGGGAGCGCGCGTAACGGCAAGCCAAGCCAGGCAACCTTCTAGGGGAAGCTTTCATGGGAAGCGCGCGCGCGCGCGCGCACACACACACACACACACACACACACACACACACCCCTATTTCTGCATGCGCGGTCACAGAGCTCAGGCACACCATACAAGGCGGGAAAATTGGCTTTAAAAAAGTATTCCTCAGTCCTAAGGAGCCCTAAAGAGAGTTGTGGAGGTAACCATCACAGTCTTGAAATAGACGTCTAGGGCCCCTTACACCCGATCCGACTAAGCGCTGCAGGAGTCCACTGGCCCGTTATAACCGTGATCCCTCTTGCCGCCCAGCTTCCCTCCGTTAGGGATTTCCACGTCTTCTAATTTTATCCTGCCTCTGTCTTTAGAGGAGCTCTGGTTTCCCGCACTATTTCAGGGCCCAGGCTAACGTTTAGGGATGTTTTCCAGCCCCTCAGCCGGCCCCTCCTCTCCGCCCACCCATTCTCAGCAAGAAACTTGAGGCTAAAGCTAATCTCCCGAAGGGTCAGCGGAATTCTTCAGGGGTCCCCCAGCCCCCGGGGTTTGTGGAATTAGCGCGACAGGGGAGGTCGGAGGGTGTGCGGTTTGGGATTCAGCGTGGAACAGTCAGGTGTAGGAGCCAATCCGTGTAGGGGATCCCAGCTCCACCCCAGGGATTCAGAGAATTGGGGCCAAGCAGGAGAGAGACTGTTCAAACCACAGGCAACTTCTCAAAGTCCCATGTGACACTCCATGAATCTCCAAACAGACATGGGTTCCCAAAATAATACATTCTAAAGATGGTTAAAAGAAAGAAATAGAAGATTTGGAGCCAATCAATACTCCTTTGTATGCCAAAACTTCTAAGAAATGGTGGTGTGACAATCATTTTGGATTGTATTAGAAAATCAGTGTCCTAGGTAAGAAAATATAACTTGCACTTTTCCTGAGAATCCTTCCCTGTATTTCCAAGAAAACAACTTTTGCTGGATGGGGAGGGGGAAGAAGCATGTTTCATTTAAAGTTAAAGAATTTTATGTAATGAGAGCATGTTTCATTTAAAGTTACAGAAACCATATCATATTTCCTAAATATTTGAGGGGTGCTTGTCAGTAAATACTAAATAGGGCTTCAGAGGAGAAAAAGCATAAAATCAAATGTACACTAGATTCTCAATGTGACAGGAGAGAAATTAGAATTCTGCAGCCATTTTAATGGATGAAATGTCTTGTGTTTCGCAAACCACGTAAAGTCATTGTACATATAATGCACCTGAAAAACCGAAGAATTACTCTATTTTTTATCTTCATCTTTGCATATTAGTTAGAGCAGAAGAGGGATGCATTTCTGAATTCTAAGATGTTAATCCTTATTACATCCAATAATACTTTTACCCATATGCTTTGATTTATCTTCTCTTGGTCTCCAGCCAGCTTGGCTCCTAACCATTCTGTTGTTAGCCTCCTAAGAACCTGGTTTTAATTTTGTTTGGTCTTTGATAATCAGAAAAACCTATTAGTTAAAAGCCATTTCATAAGAGAGTTTCTGACATTTTAAAGAGGTATTAAGAGCCTCGTTTTTGGGTATCCCTGGTCCCCAAAAGAGGATCACCAAAAATAGCCAACATGCGGTTCCAGTCCATGAACTTATATAGCCAGCGTAGCCTAGAGGGAAGCTGAGTCTCTGAGATGCAATCCAGGAGTGCTTTGGAATGCAATCCTGACTGCCTGGGCTTATTTAAAGAGGAAATCACTTAATTCGATTGCAGTAGGCACCCTCTTGAACACTACTTTTTTGTTTTTTTCTTTGAGACGGAATCTCGCTCTGTCGCCCAGGCTGGAGTGCAGTGGCGCGATCTCGGCTCACTGCAAGCTCCGCCTCCCGGGTTCACTCCATTCTCCTGCCTCAGCCTCCTGAGTAGCTGGGACTACAGGTGCTCGCCACCTTACCCAGCTAATTTTTTGCATTTTTAGTAGAGACGGGGTTTCACCGTGTTAGCCAGGATGGTCTCGATCTCCTGACCTTGTGATCCACCCGCCTCAGCCTCCCAAAGTGCTGGGATTACAGGTGTGATTGAACACTACTTTATTGAAACTTTATAGAGACTATATCAAATGCCCATGGATATGGTGATTTTTTTCAGTGATTTTTATTTGATTTTAATTAACACAGCTGGAAGAAAAGATGTACCTAGCAATTTCATTTGAAAATAGAATCACTGCCTCATTAAAAATTAATTTTAAAAAATCTTCAAAAGTTCAAATTATTTAGTGAAAAAGTATCAAAGCATGACAGAGCCAGTTTTGTGTTTTAGTATTGTAGTTACTTTTATATGATTATCTGAATGCCAATATTTTATTTGACTATCCCTAACACTAAAGGATAAGGTTCATATTTGTTTAATGTTTTCAGGATAGAGCCTACCCCTGAGCCACTTGTAGGAATCTGACATAGTTTACCACACTTTTACATGGATGTTTGGTTTCTGCAAGTTCTTTCTCTTTACCAGTTATTCTGGAACCATTCTGGGAGTTTGCTTTTCAAAGCTGTCTTATGGCATATCTTCTTTAGGTTGTTATACCTGCCCTAATTTAGGTGTTTTTAAAAAAATACCTACATACACATACACACATATATATACACACACATTTATATACATATATGTATGTATACATACATACATATCCATATGTATATATGTGTGTATATATACGTATACATACATATATATATATTTATGTATATAGATGCAGAGCTCACCTGTTCTTTCCCAGGGACACGTAAAAGGTTTTCGTTTCAGCATCTCCAGCTTCCCAAATGGCTAAGTCGCCTTGAGATGGACAATGGTGGAAACTTACTGAGCTTTCCACCTCAAATTTGAAAGTCCCCCTCCCAAGTGCTCTTTAGCAGAAACATGTTCTCCAACCAGGCCCCTTGAAAGAATGTACTTCTCTTAAAGATTTTCAATTACTGCTTAAATAGTAATTATAAGCATGTGGACAAGGTAGAATTTTTAAACACATTTTTGGTCTATTCAGCTCTTAAGTGCTACATACTTGCTGCTTACAGACTTGCAGAATATTAGGAGCAGAATGGAAGGGCCTTTTTTAGATAACGCTAAAGCCTAGAGGAAATTATGGTGCTCATCCAAAGTTGCATGGCTCATTAGTAGTAACACCATCTGGATTCTAGCCCTCCTAGAGAAATCTAGGGGTTCTATTAATAAGAGGCACTGTAGTGTGCTGATTAAGGGCGTGGCCTCTGTGACCAGACTGCAAAAATTCAAACTCTAGTTTTACTGCTTATCAGCTATGTAAACATAGATAAGTTACTTTTACCTAAGTTTTCTCATCTGTAAAATAGGAATGTAAAAGACTATCTCTTATGGTTGGCATAAGGATTAAAATGACAAACAAAATGATTAGAACAGTATCTGATACATAGTGAATGCCCAATAAGCTTAGTCATCATTATTATACATTGTTGCCTTTCAAAGGTAGTTTTCTAAAAACTCTGCAAAGTTTACAAATATCTGAGAACATTTGGTGTATTAAAATGTATTCTGCAGGCCAGGTGTGGTGGCTCATGCCTGTAATCCCAGCATTTTGGGAGGCTGAGGCAGGCGGATCTTGAGGTCAGGAGTTCAAGACCAACCTGGCCAACATGGTGAAACCCCGTGTCTAAAAAAAAAATACAATAGTTAGCTGGGCGCAGTGGTGTGCACCTGTAGTCCCAGCTACTCCGGAAGCTGAGGCAGGAGAATCGCTTGAACCTGGGAAGCGAAGGTTGCCGTGAGTCGAGATCGCACTACTGCAATCCAGCCTGGGTGACAGAGTGAGACTCTGTCTCAAAAAAAAAAAAAAATGTATTCTGCAATAACATCACTATCCTAGAATTTTGCTGAAAAATGCATGTTGGTAAAGGCTAAATGGAGCGAACTAGGTCTACTGAATTTCACAGGTTTATTATTTTAGGAACTTGGTGGTGGCAAAAAGAGAGAACCAGGTTGGGTTCTGAATTCTTGGAAATTATAGAATTATTGTCTGAAGTTAACTGATAGTGATTCAACTTTTTTAAAAAAAAGCAGTAACAAAGAAAATATGCAAATTGGAAGGGGAGGTAGTTATGGCTTTTATTATTTTGTGGGTTTGGACTAGTTGGCTCTTCTATTTGCGTGCTTTCTCTTCATTTAGATGCTTCATTGGATAAGACAATTGGCTTTCCTTTTTCTCATTTTCTTTGCTCTGCAGAGATTACAGTGGAAGCTTCTTAAGTCGTAATGTAGGGTTTCACATAGCTTTCAATTGTAATAATTAAAATTCTTATGTTAAATAACTAATGCCAGAATAATTCTGAATTAATTTATATTTTCTTTAATATTCTTCTTATTTTCTTGCTACTCTAGGTTGTGAAACAGCTATTTTATTCCCAATGCGTTCCAAGAAGATTTTTGGAAGCGTGCATCCAGTGAGACCAATGAGGCTTGAGTCTTTTAGTGCCTGCATTTGGGTCAAAGCCACAGATGTATTAAACAAAACCATCCTGTTTTCCTATGGCACAAAGAGGAATCCATATGAAATCCAGCTGTATCTCAGCTACCAATCCATAGTGTTTGTGGTGGGTGGAGAGGAGAACAAACTGGTTGCTGAAGCCATGGTTTCCCTGGGAAGGTGGACCCACCTGTGCGGCACCTGGAATTCAGAGGAAGGGCTCACATCCTTGTGGGTAAATGGTGAACTGGCGGCTACCACTGTTGAGATGGCCACAGGTCACATTGTTCCTGAGGGAGGAATCCTGCAGATTGGCCAAGAAAAGAATGGCTGCTGTGTGGGTGGTGGCTTTGATGAAACATTAGCCTTCTCTGGGAGACTCACAGGCTTCAATATCTGGGATAGTGTTCTTAGCAATGAAGAGATAAGAGAGACCGGAGGAGCAGAGTCTTGTCACATCCGGGGGAATATTGTTGGGTGGGGAGTCACAGAGATCCAGCCACATGGAGGAGCTCAGTATGTTTCATAAATGTTGTGAAACTCCACTTGAAGCCAAAGAAAGAAACTCACACTTAAAACACATGCCAGTTGGGAAGGTCTGAAAACTCAGTGCATAATAGGAACACTTGAGACTAATGAAAGAGAGAGTTGAGACCAATCTTTATTTGTACTGGCCAAATACTGAATAAACAGTTGAAGGAAAGACATTGGAAAAAGCTTTTGAGGATAATGTTACTAGACTTTATGCCATGGTGCTTTCAGTTTAATGCTGTGTCTCTGTCAGATAAACTCTCAAATAATTAAAAAGGACTGTATTGTTGAACAGAGGGACAATTGTTTTACTTTTCTTTGGTTAATTTTGTTTTGGCCAGAGATGAATTTTACATTGGAAGAATAACAAAATAAGATTTGTTGTCCATTGTTCATTGTTATTGGTATGTACCTTATTACAAAAAAAAGATGAAAACATATTTATACTACAAGGTGACTTAACAACTATAAATGTAGTTTATGTGTTATAATCGAATGTCACGTTTTTGAGAAGATAGTCATATAAGTTATATTGCAAAAGGGATTTGTATTAATTTAAGACTATTTTTGTAAAGCTCTACTGTAAATAAAATATTTTATAAAACTAGCTCACGTCATTTAATTATAAATTTAAGAGATGTTTTGGAGCAAACTCGTACTTTTCTCTTTTCATTTAAAGTAGGCAATTAGTTTTCAGATACTATTATGTAAACAGCATGGTTAATATTGTTAGGAATGAGCAACTATAGACTTGTTTTAAGTTTGGCTTCCTATAAATCATAAGCAAGAAATATTATCTCTGCCAAGTCAATTCATCTCTGTGGGTTTTAGTTTTCTCAGCTGAGAAATCAAGGAATTGATGAAATAAGAATCTCTAGGACTCTTCCCATTTGACAATTCTAGGAGCTTATACAACTTTCTGTACTGTGTAACATAAAAACAAACACCAAACATGAATTATCACAGTTCCTCAGATACACATGATGCTGCAAGACATGGCTTAGGAATGTTATTTGGGAGACCTAAGAATCTGGAAAAGAACTCCTGCCCTGAAAGCACACCCCATTCTCTTCCTTACTCAGAAGGGAGAGGTCAAGCCCCTTCACACTGTGGATGGGGAGGTAACTTTTCCCCACCACACTAGTATTCTCCTGTAGATTCTATGTGAGGGCTGATAGAAGGGCCTCACAAAGCTGATTCTGAAATGTTGTGGGCCCACAGTGATGATATGTCCTCTGAAAGATAGGGCATGGACAACCACAGGACATTTCCTCTTCATGAGGTTTGGAGAATAGGACCAGGAGTAATTTTGTAACTAACTAGCTAGGTGTCAGACAAGTTACATAACTCCTCTGCTTCTTCTCAGTAAAAGGAGGTGATTGGACTCAGTGCCTTTCAGCAATAAAATTCCATGAATCTAATAATTTTTGAGTATGTTCATCATATAAGTATAGCTTCATTCCACTTGTGAAACCCACAAACGAGGCTAAGCCTCTAAGAAAATCACTTGTAGTTAGGGGCTGATAGGCCAGTCTCAGACTCTTGGAGATCACATAATTCAAGGCTCTAGGCACACTGGGCACATGCAAAGTCCCTGTCTAGCCATTGTCTATATGACTTGAACTCCCAGCTGGAAGAAGGAAAACTAGACCCAAAACTTAAGCAGAAAATTAGGCATGATTTAAATTCCTTTACATGCTGCAACACGAATTATACATGTTTAAGTGATGCCAGATGTTGCAGGCCGAGATAAATGCAAACTCATATGCTGACAGAATTTAATATAAGAAAACTTTTAATTTTTTTAAGTAATTACATGTTTAGGGTGAAGAACAAACAAATAGAAGAAAATAAAATAATACTTGGGTTAAAAAAGTAGAAATTTCATCTGTTAGAGCAGTAAGTCTAGCTAGGAGTTCTAGGGACTTCTAATTGTTCCCAGATATTCATTTTCTCTCTTTCTCTAAATGACAGAATCCTAGCTTTAGTGGAACATGTGACCACTCAGAGTAAATTCTATATTTTTCAACATTACTTGCAGCTTGATGCAGCCATATAACTATGTTCTGACCAACGCTGAAATATTATATGTGATTCTTTTCCTCCTTCTGTCTGATTGGAATATGGTAATGGGCTGGAATTTCAGCAACCATCTTAGACCAGGAGACCCCATGCAACAATACAGAAGAAGCATGGGTTCCTGGTCATTGTGAAGCCATCTAGCCAGCCCTGAGCTGCCTGCCCACGGACTTCTTTTACGTGAGAGAAAAATATACTTTTGTCGTGTTTAATCTTTTAGTTGGTTGATCACTCAATCTAATTTTGATCCAGTAATTTTTATTTTAATTTAAAAAACTACAGCCAGGCGGGGTGGCTCAAGCCTGTAATCCCAGCACTTTGGGAGTCTGAGCCAGGCAGATCAGAAGCTCAGGAGATCGAGACCATCCTGGCCAACATGGTGAAACCCGTTTCTACTAAAAATACAAAAAATGAGCCAGGCATGGTGGTACGCACCTGCAGTCCCAGCTACTCGGGAGGCTGAGGCAGGAGAATCTCTCGAACCTGGGAGATGGAGGTTGCAGTGAGCCCAGATCATGGCACTGCACTCCAGCCTGGCAACAGAGTGAGACTCTGTCTCAAAATAAGTAAATACATAAATTAGCTGGGTGTAGTGGCGTGCGCCTGTAATCCCAGCTACTCAGGAGGGTGAGGCAGGAGAATCTCTTGAACCCGGGAGGCGGAGATTGCAGTGAGCCAAGATCGCACCACTGCACTGCAGCCTGGCAACAGAGCGAGACTTCATCTCAAAAAAGCAAAACAAAACAACAACAACAGCAACAAAAACAACTACGCACTTTATTCTCCCTAAAACACCCATAACCTAAACTTGGAAAATGCATTTTACAAATTCTCAGGAAGTTGGATATCTGACTTAAAAAAACAACAACAACTAAGCAATAACATTTAATGACTTTGAGAATATATAGGTGTTAGCAAAAGGAGGAAATAAGAAATGTGCAAAACTGAGATAAAATATCTAAAGAGAAGTATCAGCATGCTGGCTTATGTTAGCACATTGTCACACATTTTCATTTACCAAATACTTATTGCGACATCACCATATTACAGCATAGTAAAGTAATTGTGCAAGATGACTCAAGCTATTAGGAGGAAAGATGTATGTGTAATAAATATGTAATATATATATATACATATAAATAATATTATTTGTGTGTGTAGAGTGAACAACTGTCCTGGTTTGCCTAAGACTGTCCCATCTTTAGCACTGAAAGTTCCATGTCCTGGGAAGCCCTCAGTCCCACGCAAACTGGAACAGTTTTTCACTCTAGTATGTATGTATATATCTCCAGCAGAGCTAATTTTTTGGCAGAGATAATATATGAACTAAACACAGTTGATATTATTTTCCTTGTCTATTACAATATAAATTGGCTTATAAGTATTAACACCTTTAAAATATATTCAGAACATTCTACTACCAAGCATATAGTGTAGAATTGTAGAGCTTTCTATTTACAATTACTTGATTGACTTCACTTTAACAAAGAATTAGATTTGCAAACAAACAAGAAATTATAATTGATTTTTATTTCATTTCCTGTCAAATCTTAGATTAGAAATCTCTTCCCTGAGTTTTACTAAGGCCAAATGTTTCCAGCATTGTCTTTCAGCCACTTAAGAAATGCACTCCTAAGGTTAAAGTCTTGGTTAAGGTAATTGTATATGTTCATTGATGTATTCTTGGATTCAGTGAACATGAACACTCCTATCGTTGATCCTTGCATCAAGTTTTATAAATCTGGAGTGTAGCAGAAAAGTTTGCTGGGTTTGGGGTCAGAAATCCAGTATTCAAATCCTGGCACCATCACCTACTAACTTAATAACTCTAAGAAATCAGGCCTGTCAAGTAATCTCTATGAGTCTCAAATTAGTCAGGAACTTAGGGATAACAAGACTTGCCTACCTTGTTGAAAGATTAGTAAGCAGATAATTTTCAAAAAAGTGTTTTATAAACCATGAAGTTATATTGAAAATAAGATAGTTATCTTAAAAAATGTTTTTCCAAGTTGTTTTCAGTGGATTGAAACTAAATAAGCAAGCAAACAAAAATACGAACAAATAAATGAATGTAAGGATTCTTTTCCATTGTGGGTAAGTCATTTTCAGAGTTCAGCACACAAATGTCCAAATCTATGCAGGCCTTGTTCTACTTCACAGCAGCATCTACTGGTGAAGTCAAGAAGGTGCAAACTCTGAGTTAGATCAGATCCAAGATTTGGTTAACAATTTAGAAGTCTTTTCCTGTTTTAAGACGTCTCTATTCCTTGATCCATATGTGCATTGTCTTTTCATAACTTTACATTTAATAGTTTTCTATGGGTATAAATATTCAGGTTGAATATTCTTAATAAGATTGCTTAGTAGCTTGTTTCCTAGAATATTTGATTAATAAATTCTTTCCCAACAACTTGTTTTATGGTGAACTTAAAAACCACTTCCTTTAAGAATAATTGTATCATGAATTTTTAATGGTTAAGCATTTCCCTAGAGATTATGAAACTCCATGAGTGGATATGGTTCTGCTTCCAATCTTTTTTTTTTTTTTTTTTGAAATGGAGTCTCACTCTGTCTCCCAGGCTGGAGTGGAGTGGCATGATCTCGGCTCACTGCAACCTCTGCCTCCCAGGTTCAAGTGATTCTTCTGCCTCAGCCTCCTGAGTAGCTGGGACTACAGGTGTGTGCCACCACGCCTGGCTAATTTTTGTATTTTTAGTAGAGATGGGGTTTTACCATGTTGGCCAGCCTGGTCTTGAACTCCTGACAACAAGTGATCTGCCCATCTCAGCCTCCCAAAGTGCTGGAATTACAGGCATGAGCCACAGCGCCTAGCCTGCCTCCAGTCTTTTAATATGGACCTGGTACACAGCAGATACTCAATTGGTGATGACAAAAACAACCAGAACGATGATGATGATGATGATGATGATGATAGAAATCATGGTAACCATTGATGAACTATGGGCCCAGAATTGTACAAAACATAGATATTTTATCTATTTAAGTCTCATACATCCTATATCACATATATTATAACTGTCATATTAAATGGGGGGGGGACAATTTTCTATCTCCATTTTTCTGAGACTGCTCACCAAGCAATGGTTTGAAATTTGTCTCACACAGAGAAAAAATGAGCTGAATTTATCATAATTAACTAGACAGTATTTTCCAGGTCATTGCCAGCAAGTAAAAAAGGAATTTGGACTCTTGATGAGATGTTACATTTTCTTCCCAAAGACTTTCTACTTAAGTTTCCAATCATTTGAAGTCGTTTTGTGACTTGTGCCAGAGGAGCATGTAAAAGGCATATTGATGGTGAGGCATATTTCTTTATTATGATCACTGATTCAGAAATGCAGAAAAAGGGACATTACTACTTTTAGATTAAATAGCAATGGTGTTCATTGCATTATGGAGTTTCACATCAAAATTTTAAAAGGGCTTCCCTATAAACCCTCAGATAATCCACTGCAGTTGTAGGGTCTTCAATAATATTTTCAGCTTCTTGAGTGAAAGATATGCTAACTTGTGCTGCACTAAGCATTGGTTGTGCTTTTATTTATCAGTACTGAAAAGGCATTACAGACCATTTTCATATGGCAAAGAACAAGTTTGGAGACTTATTCGGGAGCACTGGAAAACAACTTTCTTTTCTAAAAAGGTTCTGATGTTACAAAACATCACATTTTACCCCTGATATAATTTAAGCAGAAAACAAATTCATTGCCCAAGTGATATGGTTTGGCTCTGTGTCCCCACCCAAATCTCATCTTGAATTGTACTCCCATAATTCCCACATGTTGTGGGAGGGACCCAGTGGGAGATACTTGAATCATGAGGGTGGTTTCCCCCATACTATTCTCATGGTAGTAAATAAGTCTCATGAGATGTGATGGTTTTATAAGGGGTTTCAGCTTTCACTACCTCCTCATACTCTCTTGCCACCACCATGTAAGAAGTGCCTTTCACCTTCCACCATGATTGTGAGGCCTCCCTAGCCACGTGGAACTGTGAGTCCAATAAACATCTTTCTTTTGGAAATTGCCCAGTCTCAGGTACATCTTTATCAGCAGCATGAAAATGGACTAATACACCAAGTGACATCCTTATCTTATTTTTTAATTCAAGGGGAAACATTAATATTTCCCTAATAAGTATAATTTTAGTTTAGTTGTTTAGTATTAATAGATACCTTTTATCAGAATAAGGATGTTCCCTTTTATTGCTTGTTTGCTGAGAGATTTTTAAAATTTTACTAAAGAAGAGACTTAGATTTGTTTTATGTATTTAGGTCTTATTCCATCTGCTATTAATTTATGCATGCTGTGATGTGGACAATTGTCTCAAAACCATTTATTGAATAGTCTGTCCTTCTCTATTGTCAATATTCCCCTAGCATATACACAGTTTCCATATATGCACAGATTTGTTTCTTGCTTCTCTGTTCTATTCATGGGTTATTTACCTATCTTACACTAGTGCTACACTGTCTTGATTATTATGATTTTATAATATATTGATATCTGGTACGGAAATTACTGCCTCTTCCTCTCCCCCAACAACTCCCATTTTCTTCTCCTTCTGTGAAACTGTCTTGGCTATCTGTTTCACTTTATCTTGTAAATTTAAAAATCAGCTTGTCATCTTTCATGGAAACCTCTGTTGCTATTTTATCAAAATTTCACTAAATTTATTGAAAATTTACATCTTTGCCACATCAAACTCTCCCATCAGTGAACACGGTGTATTTCTCCATTTTCTTATTTAATTGCTTTCAATACACTTTTATAATTTTATTCTCAAAAGCTACATTTCCTGTGGGTATTGTATATTTTTCTACTTTAAATAATATTTTTAATATTATATTTTCAATTTATTATGACTAGTATGTAAGAAAAAAACTAGTTTCTCTAAATTGATCTCACTTCCAGCACTTTACTGAAATTTGTCTTATTTTGTCTTAAAATTGACTGGAGAATATTTACTTTTTTTTTTTTTTTTTTTTTTTTTGAGACAGGGGCTTGTTCTGTCACCCATGCTGGAGTGCAGTGGCACAATTACAGCTTGCTGCAGCTTCAACCTCCTGGGCTCAAGCTATTTTCCCACTTCAGCCTCCAGAGTAGCTGAGACTACAGGTGCACACCACCAAGCCCAGATAAATTCTTTGATTTTTAGTAGGGACGAGGTCTTGCTATGTTCCCGAGGCTGGTCTTGAACTCCTGAGCTCAAGCGATCCTCTCACCTTGGCCTCCCAAAGTTCTGGGATTGCAGGTGCAAGCCACCACACCCAGCCAGAATATTTAAATGTTCTATTGTAGACAATTATCACATTTTTCTAGAGATAATGATTGTTTTGACCCTTCCTTTCTGTTATAACTTTCATTTATTTTTCTTGTCTAGGCTAGGGCTTCTGTGCCACAGTAAATAGAAGTAGATATATTGGTATCCTCATCTCATTCCTGACTTTAAATGAATGCTTCTACTGTTCCACTATATGTATATAGTGAAATATATATATATATTTATATATATAGTGCTCTATCATTATCTATCTATATATCTCCTCTAATCATGTTAAGAAATTTGTCCAAAATTACTAGTTTGAATTTTGTTTTCATGAGCAAAGAGGTACTGAATTTTATGAGATACTTTTTACTAATCACATGATGTTTTTCCTCTTTAGTCTTTTGCAGTGTGGAATTATATCGAATATTAAGCCGTCCTGCATTTGTGGGAGAAACTCAACTAGGTCATTACGCATTTATAAAGTGGGCTTAACATTAGTTTTTCCCTCATAAGATATTGGGAGAGAATTACATAGGTTAAAAGGCCAGTACCTGGTATATAGTAAGCACTCAGCAAATGTTAACTATTATTTACTTTAAGCACTGCTAGAGTCATTTTGCTAAAATTTTTATTTATGATTTATGCATCTATGTTCATAATTAAGATGGACCTGTATTTTTATTTCTCATACTGTCCTTGTCTGGTATTGATATCATGGTATTGATATCCTGGCTATACTAGCCCTGTAGAATAAGGTGGAGAATGTTTTTCTGTTTCAGTTATCTGGGAAAGTTTTAAAGAGATTGTAATGATCTGTTCTTTGTATATTTGTTATAATTTTCCTGTAAAACTAAATTGGTATGTTTTTTAATTTTTTTGTGTGTGAGTTGATTTTAAAATACTGACAGAATTGTCTTATTTGGTATAGAGATATTCAAGTTTTCTATCCCCTTAACTTTTAAGTATGAATCAAGATAACATTCCAATTATACCTTTAATCCTTCCTCCAAGAAGTAAGAAGTAAGACCTTTTACAATTACCACTTACTGGGAGAATTCAGAGAATACAAAACAGACAAAATAACTCTAAACAACTTGAATAAAATAAATGTGTACTTAAACTTAATGTAAAACTAAACATTACTTATATATAACCATTAATAATAAGAGGTAGCAAAAATTGGCTTAGAACTATTGAAATATTTGCCTTCAGGGATAAATACATAGCCCTTGGACAAAGTCTCTCATGATTCACTCATAAGCATAAAAGAGCATTTGGTTTGAAATCAGGCACAGGATGCAAATGGATGCATATAATACAATTGTTAAAAATATGATCAAGGAAATAATAGCAAACAAGTCTAAGAGGCAAACACCCCTGCCACAGCACAAGAGTCTCCTGGCCCTATCTCATCAACTTTTTAATCAGTGTTTTAAAATGAAGACCAGAGTGGCTCTGCTCATAAAATTTATGGGTGACAAGAACCTTGGAAGAGCTGCAGATACACTGAGATAAAAAAACATCTAACAAGATCTTTGCATGCCAAAGCAATGGGTGAATCTCATGAAAGAAAAGTGTAAAGAATTAAAAGTAAGTACTTGCATAAGACAAAAAGCCTGCTAAACACAGAGTATGGCAGAAATTGCTGAATATACTAAGACAATTTATATTTAAAAATTTGGAGATTTCAAATATAAGTCAAGAGAAATCAAAGATGTGATTGTGTGATTGACAAAAAACTGAATTTGATTTTAGGTTACATTAAGGAAAATACAGTATTAATAGGGAGGATAAATCCATTTTAGTCCTCATAAGCAAGCAAATCAGAGCACATGCAGGGGAGGGCAGCCAAGCAGAGCGGGGGTCTGGGTACATCTTGCAAATGGATGCAGAAACAAGTCATCATCTGCTGAGTGAGCAAGCTGAGAGGGAAACTATGAATGTTATGCCTGAGGAGGAAAAGAGGGAAGTGCAAAGGGAAGGAGTGGTGAGATATGAAAGTCGGAGCTAGTTTTTGAAAGTTTGTCATGTGAAAGAGGAACGAGGGTTTATTAGGCCCAAGAAAAGGGCCTTAGTCAAAAGTGGGAGGCCACAAGGGGAGAACCTCTAATTCAACAAAAGGAAGAAATGTCTAGTACTCAATTTTGTCCAGAGATAAAGTGGGTTGTCACAGGAAACAGTGAGTGAGTTCCCTGGCAATAAAGGGATTCAAATATAGGAAGGCAAGTATGATTATCCTCATCACCACCTTAGCTGATATTTATTGAAAGCTGACTATGTTTTGGCATTATCTCATGTCATTGTCTAAACATCTATATGTACATATGAGGAAACAGGCTGGGAAAATAAAAATACAATAGTGTATTTGGCGGTGCTAAGATTACACTGTGAAAGTAGACTTTACAGTGAAATGGTCAGGGTTTGAATCTTGCTTTTAACTCCTCTAAGCTTCAGCTTGCTCACTTACAAAATGATATAGTGGACATTTGTGTTCTTTCATTTCCCACTATTCATTCACCTATTGTTGGCAACAGTCCTGGGTTTCTTTTGGGGATCTACTCCTCCTCTACTCCCAATCTATGTGGCTTTGCTGCAGCCGACTCCCATTCCCTGCTTTGAGGGTGGCTCATGACCTAAGCCTGACCAACTGAAGTACAGTATCCCCTGGAAATAATGATGGATTGGTTCAGAAATGTTCATGTGGCCTGTGTCAGATCAAAGAGAAAAAAAGAGGCTGGATGTGAACTTTCTTTTTCTTAATTGGTATTCATGATGATGTGAGCTGGAAGCTGTAGAGGCCTACACCAATCGCAAAAGTAAAACCCATCCTGAGGAAGCAGAGCTGAGAATTGACTTTTGGGACACCATTGAGCCCTGAATCAACCATCTGGGAAGTCTGGTATGCTCATGGACTTTGCAGGCATGTGTGCCAAGGAGGAGTTGTTGTTGCTCCTCTTTCTCCTTCTCTTCTTCCTCATCATCAAGTCGTTTACATCTGTAGGTTTCTGTTACCTAAAATACTACTAACTGGTAAAATGGGATAATAATAGGACTTCTTTTATGAGGTTCTCGTGGGCATTGAATGATATAATCGGTATAAATGGCTTAATACAGTACCTGGCATCAGAAATGCATGCAGTAAATTTTAGCCATTGTAGCTATTATTAATGTTATTGTAATTATCATCATCATCATTGCATGGATGACCATTCAATGTATTTTATAGAAGTAGAAACATGGGAAAATAAGGATTAGTGTACTGCAAGGCAATGAAGATCTAAAGAGGAGAAAAACTATAAGTAATGAAAAAAGAAACCCCATGATGACTCCTCAGGCTGTCTGGTAGGGGATGTAAGACAAAGAATTGCAGAGCAGAAAACTTACTAATCAGAGAGAGCAAGATCCCTTCTGCTTTGCAACTTAAAGTTTGATGGGCTCATGTGAGTGATAATGGAGTTTTACAGTCACATCAGTCTTAAAACTCCAAACCCTGAGATATGTAGCCCCAACCTTTTACAGGTCAAATTACCATTCATTTTATGATAATTTTCATAGTGCCAGATCAAATAAACCAAATTATTTGTTTATTTCAAATGCTTGCAGTGAATTTAGAAAGTGTACTTTGTGTTTCAAAGATTTCATTGTCATCGAAAAAGCATTTTTTAAAAACCCAAAGAGATGAGCTAAGTTCTTGGCAGCAATAAAGGGGTAATTCATTTTTTTTTCATAAATCTGTTATTTGCAAGTCTGACTATCATGGTTTTAAAATGTGTGGTGTGTATAAGTGTTTTAAATTCCTATAAAATTTGTTTCAAAAATGTAGCCAAGGTGTTGAAAAAAACATAATTGCTTTTATGGGCTTTAAGCAAATTTAATATTACATATAAAGTGAAATTGGTGATTTAATCCCGTGGCCAAAGGAAATTGGAAATGAAAATACTGACTAGTATTATTAATGACAAATCTTTAGAGGGAAGCACAGGTTGAGTGATAAATTTCCACTCTCAGCTGGAGTTCAGACATACCTGGCAGACCACTGGGGTGGCTGGTCAGCAGTCTTGCAATGGTACTAAGAACCCACCTTAGGAATGTCTGGTACAATGAGCTTAAGTTAGGAACAAAACTTTAGTTCTTGGAAGGCAATAGGCATTTTGAGAATTAAAGTATTAATTTGTTGGTAACCCCAACTCCTGGGTGAATAGTTGAGCCCAGGGGAAGGAAAGACAGCTTTAGATAAAACAATAATCTATTTTATTTTAGTTTTTCAACTTTTAGAGTCAAGGGTACATGTGCAGGTTTCTTACAAGGCTATATTGCATGATGCTGAGGTTTGGGGTACAATTGAACCCATCACAGAGGCAGTGAGCACAGTACCCAATAAGTAGTTTTTCTATCCTTGTCCCTCTCTTCCTACCCCTCTTTCAGTCCCCCAGTGTCTATCATTCCCATCTTTATGTCCACATGTACCCAATGATTAGTTCCCACTTATAAGTGAAAACATGTGGTATCTGCATTAATTCGCTTAGGATAATGGCCTCTAGCTGCATCCACGTTGCTGCAAAGGACATGATTTTGTTCTTATTTATGGTAGCATAGTATTCCTTGGTGTATATGTACCACATTTTCTTCATCCAATCCACTGTTGATGGGCACCTAGGTTAATTCCATGTCTTTGCTATTGTAAATAGTGTTGCAATGAAGATATGAGTACATGTGTCTTTTTGGTAGAAGGATTTATTTTCCTTTGGGTATATATACCCAGCAGTAGAATTGCTGGGTCAAATAATAGTTCTATTTTAACTTCTTTGAGAAATCACCAAACTGCTTTCCACAGTGGCTGAACTGATGGGCATTCCCACAAATAGTGTATAAGCGTTCTCTTTTCTCTGCAGCCTTGCCAACATCTATTGTTTTCTGAATTTTTAATAACAGACATTTTGACTGGTATGAGATGGTACCTCATTGTGATTTTGATTTGCATTTCTCTGAGGATTAGTGATGTGGAGCATGTTTTCATATACTTGTTGACTGCTTTCATGTCTTCTTTTGAGAAGTGTCTGTTCATGTCCTTTGCCGCCTTTTTTTTTCTTTAAGTTCAGGGGTACATAGGCAGTTTTTTTATATAGGTAAACTTGTGTCATGGGGGTTTGTTGAACAGATTATTTTATTACCCAGGTATTAAGCCCAGTACCTGTTAGTTATTTTTCTTGATCCTCTCCCTTTTCCCACCCTTCACCCTCCAATAGGCCCCAGTATCTTTTGTTCCTCTCTATGTGTCCAGGTATTGTCATAATTTAGCTCCCACTTATAAGTGACAACATGCGGTATTTGGTTTCCTGTTCCTGTGTTAGCTTGCTAAGGATAATAGCCTCTGGCTCCATCCAAGTTCCTGCAAAGGACATGATCTTGCTCTTTTTTACGGCTGCATAGTTTTCCATGGTGTATAGGTATCACATTTTCTTTAGCCAGTCTATGATTGATGGGCGTTTAGGTTGATTCCAATGTCTTTGCTAACGTGAATAGTGCTGCAATGAACATATGTGTGCATGTGTCTTTATGATGGAACAATTTATATTTCTTTGGGTATATACCCAGTAATGGGATTGCTGAGTTGATTGTAGTTCTGTTTTTAGGTTTTTGAGGACCAATCACCACTAACAGTGTATAAGCATTCCTTTTTCTCCACAACCTTGCCAATAGCTGTTATTTTTTAATAATACACTGTTGTGAGATGGTATCTCATTGTGGTTTTGATTTGCATTTCTCTAATGATCAGTAATGTTGAGTTTTTTTCATGATTGTTGGCTGCATGTATGTCTTCTTTTGAAAAGTGTCTTTTCATGTCCTTTGCCCACTTTGTAATTTTTTTCTTGTAAATTTCTTTAAGTTTCTTATAGATGTTGGATATTAGACCTTTGTCAGATGCATACTTTGCAAATATTTCCTTTCATCCTCTAGATTGTTCACTCTGTTGATAGTTTCTTTTGCTGTGCAGAAGCTCTTTAGTTTAATTAGATCATATTTGTCAATTTTTGCTCTTGTTGCAGTTGCCTTTGTTGCAATTGCTTTTGGTATCTTCTTCATGAAATTTTTGCACATTCCTATGTCCAGAATGGTGTTGCCTAGGTTATCTTCCAGCGTTTTTATAGTTTTGGGTTTTACATTTAAGTATTTAATCCATCTTGAGTTAATTTTTGTATGTGGTATAAAGAAGGGGTCCAGTTTTAATCTTCTGCATATGACTAGGCAGTTATTCCAGCACCTTTTATTGAATAGGTAGTCTTTTGCCCATTGCTTGTTTTTGTCAGCTTTTTCAGAGATTAGATAGTTGTAGGTGTGTAGCCTTATTTCTGGTTCTCTATTCTGTTCTATTGGTCTATGCGTGTGTTTTTGTACCCGTACCATGCTGTTTTGCTTACTATATCCCTATTTGAAGTCAGTTTGAAGTAATACAGTGTGATGCCTCCAGGTTTGTTCTTTTTGCTTAGGATTGCCTTGGCTATTCAGGCTCTTTTTTGGTTCCATATGAATTTTAAAATATTTTTTCTAGTTCTGTGATGAATGTCATTAGTAATTTAATAGGAATAATATTGAATCTATAAATTACTTTGGGCAGCATGGCCATTTTAATGATATTGTTTCCTCCTATCCATGAGTATAGAATATTTTTCCATTTGTTTGTGTCATCTCTGACTTCTTTGAGGAGTGTTTTGTAGTTCTCCTTATAGAGATCTTTCAACTCCCTGGTTAGCTGGATTCCTAGGTATTTTATTTGTATGTGTGTGTGGCACTTGTAAATGGGATTGCATTTCTGATTTGGCTCTCAGCTTGGCTACTGGTGGTGTGTGGGAGTGCTAGTGACTTTTGTACATTGATTTTTGTATCCTGAGACTTTGCTGAAGTTGTTTATCAGCTTAAGGAGCTTTTTGGGTTGAGACTATGGCATTTTCTAGATATAGGATCATGTCATCTACAAATAGGGATAGTTTGACTTCCTCTCTTCCTATTTGGATGTGCTATATTTCTTTCTCTTTCATGATTGCTCTGGCCAGGATTTCCAACACTATGTTGAATAGGAGTGGTGAGAGAGGGCGTCCTTGTCTTGTGCCAGTTTTCAGTGGTAATGTTTCCAGCTTTTGCCCATTCAGTATGATGTTGGCTGTGGGTTTGCCATTGATGGCTCTTACTATTTTGAGGTATCCTTCTTCAATACCTAGATTATTGGGAATTTTTAACATGAAGCGGTGTTGAATTTTATCAAAAGCCTTATCTGCATCTATTGGATTTGTCTTTAGTTGTGTTTATGTGATGAATCACATTTATTGATTTGCATATGTTCAACCAACCTTGCATCCCAGGGATAAAGCCTACTTGATCATGATCGATAAGCTTTTTGATGTGCTGCTGGATTTGTTTTGCCAGTATTTTGTTGAGAGTTTTTGCATCAGTGTTCAAGGATATTGCCTTGAAGTTTTCTTTTTATGTTGTGTCTCTGCCAGATTTTGGTATCAGGATGATGGTGGCCTTATAGAATGAGTTAGGGAGGAGTCTCTCCTCCTCAATTTTTTGGAATAGCTTCAGCAGGAATGGTACCAGCTCTTCTTTGTATATCTGGTAGAATTCAGCTGTGAATCTGTCTGGTCCCAAGCTTATTGTGATTGGTAGACTATTTATTACTGATTCAATTTCAGAGCTCATTATTGGTCTGTTCAGGGATTCAATTTCTTACTGGTTAGGTCTTAAGGGTGTATGTGCCCAGGAATTTATTAGTTTCCTCTAGATTTTCTAGTTAATGTGTATAGAGGTGTTCATAATATCTTCTGATGGTTGTTTGTATTTCTGTGGGGTCAATAGTAATATCACCTTGTTGTTTCTGGTTGTGTTTATTTGGAGCTTCTCTATTACCTTCTTTATTAGTCTAGCTAGCTCCTGGATTTGTTGATCTTTTAAATTTATTTGTGTCTTAATCGCCTTCAGCTCAGCTCTGATTTTGGTTATTTCTTGCCTTCTGCTAGCTTTGGACTTGGTTTCCTCTTGGTTCTCTAGTTCTTTTAGTTATGCTGTTAGGTTGTTAAATTGAGATCTTTCTAACTTTTTGATTTGCACTTTTTAATGGGGCTATTTGTTTCTTGCTTGTTGAATTGCTTAAGTTCCTTATAGATTCTGGATATTAGACCTTTTTCAGATGCATAGTTTGCAAAAATTTTCTCCCATTCTGTAGGTTGTCTGTTGACTCTGTTGATAATTTCTTCTGCTGTCTAGAAGCTCTCTAATTCAATTAGGTCCCACTTGTCAGTTTTTGTTTTTGTCATAATTGGTTTTAAGGACTTAGCCATAAATTTATTGCCAAGGCTATTGTCAAGAAGGGTATTTCCTAGATTTTCCTTGAGGACTTTTATAGTTTGAGGTCTTGCATTTAGGTCTTTAATCCATTTTGAGTTAATTTTTGTATATGGTGATAGTTGTCCAGTTTTATTCCTCTGCATATAGATACCCAGTTATCCTAGCACCATTTGTTGAATAGGGAGTCCTTCCCCCACTGATTATTTTTGTTGAATTTGTCAAAGATCAGATGGTGGCTCTAGGTGTGCAGCTTTATTTCTGGGTTCTCTATTCTGTTCTACTGAAAAACCATCTATGTTACTGCAAACATGGCAACTCAGTTTGGCACTGCTCTGGGGCCTCTCTACCAAGGTATAACACTGAGGAGAAAGGCTAGTGTTCTTTCCCATCCTGCCACAGGCTGCCACACTGAATTACTGGGCTAAGGACTTGGTTGTTCCTAAAGCTTCCAGTGGTTCAGCACAAAGACTGCCATCACTGGCAGGGCAGCACGGAGTTCCCAGGAGTGGAGTCCATTCCTGGGACCTGCATGGCAGTGGCCTTAGGGTCTGCTGGGCTCGCATGGTGGAAGAGGACAGCACCCCACCATGCTATGCCAGGAAGCATGGACAAAATAGCAGTATGGGCTTGGGGATTGGTCTGGATACCTTGGGAAGAGAGCACACATAGGACACCCTTGGGGACCCTAAGAATTAATTGGACTGTGAGCACTTTACAGAGGGTTGACGATCAACCTTATCATGTGGTGGGTTATGGCAGTAAACTGTGGGCTGAGATACTCATGGGCCTCATGCATCTTTATTAATGAGAAATGGGGACATTTGGATGCACATCAATTAATATCATGTATTGTTCTCTGACTTCAAGTTCAAAAACATGTTTTTTGATTGATCTGAAACCAAAGAAAATAAAAGAAGACAAGGAGAATATTTTGCATGAACTAATTTGAGCTTCTTATTCATTCAAATGTTGTAACAATTAACAGAGGTGTACTATTTGGCTTTTTATGCTAGTATTTATGCTTGTTATCCAAATCATGTTCACATTTAAGAAGTCATTACACATTTTCTGATGTATTTTATCTAACAAAAGACATTTCTTGCTTTTGGAAGCAAATGAAGACAGGTTTTTCATACCCCACTGAGTGACGTGTTCCACTCAGTACACAGAGATAAGATCTCCACAGTTGGTAGTTGAACAGGTGACCAGAAGCACGGAAATGCAGTTCTTCAAACTGAGAAACACAGATTTGGAAGAATGCTTACAATTCTTTTAATGAGTCTAAGTAATTCATCTGCCTTGGGAAGGGACACAGACAGCCAGATTAAGTAACCTTTTGCATGTTCACAGGTCAACTGGCAGCAAAACAGAGAAATTAATTTGCTTCTAATACTCTAGGTCTTGCTTCCCACAAACCATAAATGCTTGATGAAAATACTTTTAAATATCTCCCAAAACATGTCCCCAAGCTCAACTTTCGCACCATACCTTGGAGTATGCTCTTTACTATAACTTCCGTGTGATCAGCCAGGAGATCTGCCTTGGTAATTGCAGCCAGAGACAGGTAGTTAGACATATTCCTGCACAGTTCCTTGTTGCCTCTGTGGAGGAATTTCACTGCAATGGGGATGGCTAATGCCATCACTGGGGGTCGGTTGTAATTCTGAGGAAATATAAGAAAGCCACAAATAATAAGTGACTCATTATTCATTTATTCATTCATTCACTCATTCAAAAAATATTTATTGGATTAAGCTACCAGAGTACAGCTGTGAAAACACAGGCCTTGCCCTGTTTATATTGTATTTGGGAATTCTGGGAACTCTTGGTTTTGTTTAAGAGACCTAAAGACAAACAGGCAGTTAACAGCATAAACTGATGACAGCCGAGATGGGCAAAAGGCAGGGTGCTAACAGAGCAGAGAAGGAGCACTCAATCCAGTCTTGGGGAATGTCAAGAAAGACTTCCTGGAGGGGGTAATGTCTTAGTTGGGACCTCATGGATGAATAAGAGATGGCTGGGTGCTGGCAAGGCAGGGAGTAGACAGAAAGAAGGAAGAGTAGGTATGCAGAGACTGAGGTGAGGGAGTACCTGATGGCACTGGAGAGTTGTAAATAGCTCAGGATGGCTGAAGTGTGGTATGTGTGAGAAAACTGGAGTGGGAGGTGAGGGGAGAGACGGGGCAGGTAAACAGGGGCATGATTATGAAAGGTCCGGCATACAAGGCTAAGAAGTTTGGCATTGATCTTTAGGGTAATCGGGGGCCACTGATAACAGGAATCACTTGTCAGATTTACACTTGAGAAAAAAACCTAAGGAATGTTGAACAAGTCGCTTTTTGCCTATATCTATCTTAAAAATTAAAGTTTCAGCTAATTAGATTCAGAGGAAAAAAAATAAATGAATGTAAGATTAAAACCTAAAGGTATTCTGGATCCTAAAATAATTCTCTTCTTGATTTACTTTGTGACTGAATATAAATATCCTTACATATAAAGTAGTCCTATTAGCATTTAGTTACCAAATTAGGGAATAATATTTAGAAAATACAAATTGCTTTCTTTTTTTTTCTACCACATAATGTTTTGGTCAACAAATTGTTTTCTTAAAAATGAATGGTACATATTCACTACACCTGGCCATCAACCCCACCTCTCAGACTAACTGTAGAAAAAAAAACTGTGCAGTGCACAGCGTGTTTGGGAGAAATAGCCCTGGACTCCTACTCTTGCATTATTTGATGACAGACAAAGTTCTGTGTTGCTTGTCCCACTGTTATATTCAGATCTTTGTTTTGTAGCTGAGCTTGTACCCTGATTAATACAATGCAAAGCCAGGACCACTTACATTCTTTAACTTTCCCTGTGGCTTAAAGAGAAAACTATATTCTTAGAATGAAATGTAGAACTCCACCTTTATACATCAAATCTTACAATAAGGACAAAAGAAAAGACATGAGATAAAAATTGTCATTGATACATACAATTCCTGAGCAATAGAAATGGGGCAATTGGGTCAATTAGATATTTACATGGGGAAAAAACATATCCCCACCCCTATATCTGCCATAACTAAAATCAATTTCAGATAGATTGCAGATCTAAAGGTGAAAAATAAAACAAGACAGAGAAGACAACCCAGGAGAACATCTCGATGGCCTCAGAGTAGGCAAGGACTTCCTTAAACCTAACTCAAAAATAATTAACAATAAAAAAGTCATAAAGTGGATAAAATCAAGAACTTCTAGTCATCAAGAGATATCATTTAAAAAGTGAAAAGATAATCCAAAGAGTGAAAGAAGATATCTATAATATGTTCTGGGTACTGGTAAACCTTTGGATAAATGTATTTTATATATATAATATATATTATAAATATAAAAGTATTATTTATATATATATAATATATATACACACTCTTCCAATCCATAAGAAAAAGAAGATGCAATCAAACAGAAAAGTAGACAGAGGACTTAAACAGACACGTTACAAAATAAAGCTCCAAAACATGAAAATATGCTCAATTTCATTAATTTTTAATTTTGCTCTGGGTTCTGATTACAGGGTTGTATTTGGAGAGAATTCATCAAGATATGATATGACCTCTTTTCTGAAGAAGAAGCACAGTTATATAATTACAGATTTTAGCTATTCTTTTAAATAGATGCAAAAGTTAGTATGAATACAGAATTGCATATTGTATGCATGCATTTTATAAACAACCTTTGTCTTAGGGTTCTACGAAGGACAACGACACACAGTGGTGGAGTCAATGCAGCCAAGAATATAAAAACGGTGGTGACAGTGTCAGGAAGATGACTTGTCTATTCACACTAAGTATGGGAATCAGGTAAAATAAATATTATGGGATATGTAAGGCACTCAAATGTATGTTCCTTAAAGAGCTAATGAGTTTTGGGAGTGATAGCATTCATATCTTGATATCCAGTCCATAAATCTTTCCTGAAGTCACAGAAAATAACATTCTATGATTTTTCTCTGATCTTCATATCATCAGCCTTTTACACTCCTGCCCAATATACATTTATACTTCTTCTGGAGACTCTACCCTAATTCCTCTGTGGAACTGTCCAGGTGCTTCTAATGAAGGCATCTCTACCTTTTGTCTTAAAGGTGATCAAGTGACTCAGACACTGATCAATGAGAGAATCACATTTCCCTGGTTCAAGGAAGGACACGTTACCAAATTATAATTAAGGAGCCATAAAATGGCTCTGTGAAAGAGATTCTCTCTCCTGCTGTATTTAAAGTATTGAGAAGGGAGGATCAAAAGTAGTTGCTGTCATCTTGTGACCTCAGTAGGAGAGAAACTGTATGAGACTCAAGGAAACATGGTTCTATCTGAGAGACCAGATCCTGGTAATATCATTTGAGCCCAATGCCTTAGGCTGTGCCTGAGGCCAGTTATATTCCTAAAGATTTCTAAATGAGCCAATTAAATATCTTGCACTTAAGCATCCCTGCCTCCCCAGTCACTAGAAACAAAAACAGAACTGATAAATCTTTAATCCATTCCTGCAGTTCCATCCATTTTCCAGACTCAGGGGTCAATCTGACCACTGGGCAGAGAAAATAGGTACTCCATAACCTAACCTGATATCCCACTATTAAGTCAGTCGTGTTGAAAGCTCTGATGCTATTCTTTGGCGATAAATCATGCGTCTATATAGCAGTTCCTCTCAGTAGGTCTCTGGCCTATCCATCCTAGAGTTCTTAACATCACGGAAGTATCAGAACCATAGCCCATAGCCAGTATCCTCTGACGACTTCCCTGAATGCCTTTGTCTAGATTGTCTCCCCTCCCAGTGAATTTAATTGGGCCTGATCTGACTGGATCATTACTGATACGATGAGCTTTGAGACCTCTCTGAGAGGCTGGCTGCTCCCTTCCCCAGAGGTTAGTGCTCAGCTTTAGAAGTCAGGGCACGTGCTTGGTTGGAACACACAAAATTGTTTGGACCCACTAAGGCTAACTCACACCAAAGGATTTCCAAAAGGCTGGTACATAACCAGGCATGCCAGTGCACTCAACCCCAGTGAGAGGCTTTCATAGGTCAGACTTAGGGTATCCCTTTCACATTTTCAGGATACCTAGGAGACAGATTAGAAACTAGAGTGTCCACTCATGGGCACAAAATCAGGTCAGAGCAGAGAGAGATCCTGAGGGATATTTCAGGTAGACCACGGTGAAACCTGATTAAAAGAACACTCCTGCCCTATAACTGAATCCCTTTCTCTGCTCATTGGAAGTTTCCATTCATCAGATCCAGTATTTTTCCTAGTGGTGCTGGACAAACATGCCAAAATAATGACACAACATTGAGCATCCTCTTTTTGTTAACATACTGATCAAACATGTGGTGTTTAGAAAAGCTAATTGATTTGGTCATTTTTCTCAATTATGATCATATCCTGTCCCTGCTCCCTTGACTTACATTCAAAAAAGTTACTTATTAGAGCATTGGGTATTCCCCAAACATCTCAGTCTCACCTATGCAATTTCTTGGGTTGCATTTTCTTGGGTTCGAGGGTCCCATGGACCTAACAGGTACCAAACAACATCCAGTGGCTGAGCTTCACTTTCAAGGGCAGCAAAAGGAGTTGGTAAAGGAGGAGATCTCAGGCCCATGAAACTATTTCATCTCTGGAATTATTTGGGTCACAGAAATGCTAATGGCATGCATGCAGAGAAAGCCCTATGATTACAGTTCTACAAACAAATGACTTTAACAGCAGCTGATAATGCCAGAGCCTATGAAAGACCTTGCTTCTCAGTGCAGATGTGAGCATGTTGGATGAATATCATCTTACAGTTTGGTGCTGAGGGAACAAATTCAGCGAAGTGCAGCATAGAAATAGACTTTCTCGTGGGGACAATTTAGCTGTAGAGGTTAAACAAGAGAGCTTTGTTCTACGGATGCCAAGAATTATATTTCTAAACTAGATTAGCACCAATTTGAACTTTTGGTGGAAATTGTGTTTTTGAAAATGCACTTTGGGAATGTTCCCCAGTGTTTTAAAATTGAAAAGAATGAAGCTAAGTAGGAAAGATATCTATCTGAGGTAATAGCAACTAAAAAGCTCTTTGGCTCTTAGGCCTTGAATTCAAGTAAGAACCATAAAAAATGATTAAGCTCAAGAAATATTAAACCTCATTTATTAAAATAGGGTTCCTTGATTATTCATTCACTATTATCAATCAAAGCTAAACCAATTTTGGATTTACATATAAAATGGTTCATTCTTCCCAGCATAGCTATATGTAAAATCTAATTGGCACACAAGCTAAGTTTCCCCAGTGAATTTTCTGACAGGTAATAGGGAGCAGGTCTCAGGAACCTGGGAGTGTACATCCCAGTCCCCTCCCATTTCCTGCCACTATATGAGCATTAGATACTGAAGCCTATTCTGGAGAGAAATGTAGCTGCTGTGAAAGTCAGAGGGCAGCCACGTCTCCTGAGCCCCTTCACTCAACCATTCAACAAATATTATTTGAGCACCTACTATATGCCAGGCACTATTCTACGTGCTGGGATTACTTCAGTGAATAGAAGAGCTTATAATTTGGGGAAAGGAGAGACAGGATATTTAAAAAGTGGCTATAACACATAATTAAATCAATAGCTTGTTAGAAAGCATCCAGTGTTATTTTAGTCTCCTGCAGATAATGATAATGATGATGATACCAACTTCCTATGTTCTAAATATTTTGTCTATTAAAGTCTATTAATTTAATTTTCACAGCAAACTCATGAGGCAGCTCCTCTTAATATCTGCATTTTACATATGAGACAATTAAGGCCTGGAAAGATTAATTTTCCCAAGACCACACTACAGGTACAGAGCAGAGCTGGGATTGCCTACTGAATAAACTGCTAGATTGGCATAACCAGTCCCATCTCTAAGAGTTGTGAAGGAAATGCTCTCCACTGTCTGAGGCACTTCACATGCAACACTAGCAAGGGCAGAGTTTAAACCTTCATATTACATTGACTGGGGAAGAAGAACTGAGAAGACTGTGCGGCATCAAGGAGAAGGAACAGCAGGTCCTTCTATAAAGAGGGAAAAGTAGACACTTTCTGATTTTCCAGCAGCAGATCTGGAGATTATTCTATTACCCCTGTTACCCTGCAGGCAGCCTGCTTTGGTTATTTCCCTCTTCATGCAGTCATCAACAGTGGTAGCAGAGATTGGGGGAAGATGAAATGTGGAGCTGATTAAATACATGGCAATGGCTCTGCTAAGTGATTTGGCTTGGGAAGAGGCTGTGACTGCAGTAGAGTGAGGATAAAGCCAGGCATTGGCTGCCAGGCTTCATGATGGCTGAACTTTCAATTCTCTAGAACTTCATTCTAGAACAGCAGCTATGTCAATAATTATAATGTCCTTGAGGTACGTTTTAATTTTAATCAAGTTTGCCAAGTTTGTTTTTATCCTAGAACGTAATACACATTGTATGGGTGTATTCTTTTTTAGGATTTTTCTAGGAGCAAAAAAAAGTGGGGGGGTGGGGATGGCCAACTCCATATAGATATCTGGTCAGAGGGTTAGAGGAAGCTGTTAACTCTAGGTAAGCTGTACTTTGAATTAGGTACTTCCACATAGTGGCTAGAGCACAGATAGAGATCGCTTTTGTAATAAAAGATCCTCTTCATGTGCACCTACCACCACCAATTGGAAGTACTAAACTCCAGTAGTTTGATGTCTTGAATGGAACCAGCTGGATGCTCATTTTCGTTGCCCTGCAAGACTGGATTAATTTGCTAGCTACAAACCACTACTTCTATTGAGTACTTACTATTTAGCAATTGTACTGTGTAAACACCGTATATGTAATATCATTTTTAACTTTCATAATAGTCCCGAGCAGGAGGTGTTGTTATCCCAATTTTAGAGATGGCAGAACAGAGATTTAGAGAGAGAAAATACTTTGCCAATCTCTCATCTTGATAAGACCAAGATCCAAATGACACGGAAGCCTTCAAGCTCTAAAGCTCTTTGCTATTCTATTCTTAGAGTCTCCTCAGGGAGTCAAAATTTCAGACTGGGAGATGACATGGAAGGTGATCTGATTCAATTCTCTATTTTACACATAAGTTGAGAGACTTGTCTAATGACACAGGATGTGTAGAAACATATGGCCCAAGGCCAAAAAACAAATTCACAAGTGCATGTCCCATATATGTACCGATTTTGTATTGAGTTTCCTCAATACAAAATCAGTAGAAGGTGAGTTCTGGAATTTTTAAAAGTTATTTTAAGGTAAATGTGGCAAGTTCACAAATTTAGGGACCAAGAAAAGAAGTATAATTACCAACTAAAAGAGGAAAAGGAATGGTCACCTGAAGTAGGTTTGAGCGTAGGCCGACAAGAGGAAATCTGGGGGACAAAAAGAAAAGTGTGTGTGTGTGTATGTGTGTGTGTGTGTGTGTGTGTGTACACATTTAGCTTAAAATGACAGTGAAGTGGCCAGAAAAAAAAAAATCAAATGAAATGGCCAAGGGTGCAGGAAGAAGAAATGACTGGGCCTCTGCCTGATCAGACAGTAAGACCCTGGGTTGCTTATCTGGGGAGATGGGATGGGTGGAGAGGCAATCACTCATTTCTTGTTGTTTGTTTTCCTTCCATTTTGTGTAAAGCTAAAAATGCTGAGTGTCTAACTTTTGAAAGTTGGCCTATTGTTTCATTTTACTGAAAAAAAAAATAGAAGAAAATGAGTCATTTGGATTTCTACACGTTCCCCACAGGATCCTAAATTACAAGTAATACCAAAATCATCCTTTCAATGTTTACTGCAAGCCAAAAATTTCCCTTTAAAATCTGATGATAGCTAAATATAAATGCTATGACCCCAGGTTTGCCTTTAGTTCCTGGTGCTGCATTTCTGGGACCTCCAGGGGTGGCCAGGACAAGATGCTGAACTTTGCTGAAAGCAAGTTTGCCTTTAGGCCTTCAGGCTTTCCATTTTAGTGGCTTCTGCCTCCTTCTGAGGGCCTACAATGGACACCCCATCCCTACACCGGCCCTACATGCTAGACTTACCCACTTCTCTGCCTAACTTGTCCCTCTTAACCAAGGAGCCTACTAGCCTTCAGTCCTTTTCTCTTTCGCTTCCCAAAATATCAACCCTTGACCTCAGAACCCTGCTCTCTACAATCTTACAAACTCATTTACACTGTCTTGATCATCAATGAGTTGAGCATTTCAATTTCTCAAAAACATTTAATTCCTTACACCATACCCCATCCCTTTTAAGTAGGAGACACAATGCTTTACTCAGAATAAAACATCCCATCTAACATAAATGTTAGAATTATGGGCATTTGAGAAAGGTAGCATGCTTACGATTCTCTGATCTTGGTCTTATTTCACAAATCTGTACTTTTGCACAAGCTGTTTTCCTGTGTAGACTGTCTTCTCACTCTACTTAGCCTATCTAGTGAAATTCCTGCTCACTGCTCATAAACCTTCCAAACATGATCTTCACCCAGAAAACTTTATCTGATTACTCTAAAACTGTGTTAACACAGGAGCCACTGACCATGGGATGCTCTTGAACATCTGAAGTGTGACTAGTCCATTTAGTGATGCACTAAAATGCACATCAGATATGTAAGAATTGTGTAAAAAAAATGGTGAATCACAAGGTCAGGAGTTCAAGGCCAGGCTGGCCAATATGGTGAAACCCCTTCTCTACTAAAAATATACAAAAATTAGCCACGTGTGGTGGCAGGCACCTGTAGTCTCAGCTACTCAGGAGGCTGAGGCAGGAGAATCACTTGAACCCGGGAGGCGGAGGTTGCAGTGAGCCGAGATCACGCCACTGCACTCCAGCCTGGGCGACAGAGCGAGACTCCATCTCAAAATAATAATAATAATAATGATAATAACAACAATAATAATAGTAAATAAATAAATTTTAAAAATTGCTATATTGATTGCATGTTGAAGTGATACTATTTTGGATATAATGGGTTGAAGAAATATATTATCAAAATCAATTTCATCTTTCTTTTTACGTAAGTGGCTACTAGAATTTTTTTCCTTTTTAATTTTTTAATTGAGATAAAATATACATATATAATTTACCATCTTTGCAATTTTTAAGTGTACAGTTCAGTGGTAATAAATATATTCGTATTCTTTTTCTCCCTCTTCACCTTTGTTCCCCCACTCACCCTGGGACGAGAACATTTAAAATTACATATTTGACTTCTGTTTGTGGCTTGCATTAGATTTCTATTCGATAGTGCTGCCCTAAAGACGAGTGGTTTTGAACCTGCAGGGGGAGATGGATAGGATGGTTAAATTGTCTGAATGTCTGTTAAAGTGCACATTGGAGTGAAATAATCTATGTTTCTGATATATATCAATAATATACCAAGATAACCAATGAAGAGCAAATGCACTGGGTCTTTGGTGTTCCATCAAGCACTATTCATCTTTTGTTAATTTTGCTGCAATCCTCATTTTCTCCCCACCAACCCTTAACCCTGGGGATGAAAGAGATACAGTGTGGTGGTGCATGAAGAGTCTTTTGTTCAGTTGATCAATTCCTAGACTGAGCAGACAAGGTAAAATATGATCCAGTTAATCATAAACAACTGTGGGAAAAAAAGGAAGAAGAATAAAGGACGCTCATATCAGCTGCAACATGCACTGCTAAGCATTTTAACATAATCAGAATTTCCTGACCTGTGCTCAGTGGAACACAGGTTCTGAGGGATGTTCATAGTGTTGTGTTGGGAGTGGGGAGGAGAAAGGAGGTTTCATAGTGAAATCAGACTGGAAAATGCTGGCCTAAACAAGGTTAACCAGCTTTCTTTATTGCAGTACTTTACAGAACCTTTAGTATGCCATGAAACATTGTGATCATTCAAAAGGGAAAAAAGAATTGTTTTCCAACTTATTTCATCACAAAGTTCTTTTCTGAGAAACACCTATCAACATCTCTGGTTGGTAAATTTGTCATAGACAATGTCATTTAATGTGCATTTCACATAGAGGACCCTGTGGCTTAAGAATGTAAGTGACTTGCCCAATATCGCAGTGTTACACAACTCATTAGCGGCTGAGCCAAAACTCCAAATTCACATTTATACCAGAGGAAATAATTAACTGTGGTCAGAACGGGCAAATATCATCATGAAAAATTCTCAATACATATAGAAATATGTCTGAAATGACTTAGTCACTTTCCCTGCTAGGTCCCGAGCGCACTGCCCCTCAGTTCATTTTCTGCTTCTACTGTGTTCTCCTTGGATGAAAGAGATCTCCTCTTCTGAATTTTTTAGTACTCCTCCTGTGGGTCTTGGCACATATTGCTTTCTTGTTAACTTTTTATATGTATACTCTCCAAACAGATTAGAGGCTTGCAGTGGTATTACTTGAATTCCCTACAGTGTGTCTTGCACGTAGCAGGAGCTCTACAGAACTTTCTCAGTTTATTAATTACCGGCCCTCCCAGCTATTGATGGCTTGTAGTGTCTTTTTACAGTATCTAAATGCTGCAGAAGCATTGGCTCTTGGTTCACAGACATCACAGGTTCACCTAGGCTGCCAACTCAGTATCAAATAGCCTGATGTTGAACACTGACATACCTGTAAAATGCAACTCATGATATCAGATGCGATTTTTGCATGAGGAGTGTCTTCGTCTTTCCCAAAGGGTCTCAGGTTATGTTCCAAGCAGGAGTCCCAGAGCCCCACAAGGGCCTTTGCATGCTTTTCAATGGACTCGGTCTCTCTGATGGCTGTTGTGATTCTTGTGATACAGATTTCAACTACTGCCTGGTCATTGTTATTGGTTTGGTAATCCTGTTTGGAAAGAAAATCTTCATGTTAAATAATACTCTAGAAAGTTATCCTTCAAAGGACAAAATACTAACTCAGTCATTTAGAAAATGGGTGCACCAGGCTGTGTGCTAAGGGGTGAGGGTGTAAAGCCTAATACAATAAAGGCTTCCTTCCTTGGAGATCCTAATCTTGTGGAAGAGGCAGATACACAAACATGCTAAAATGGAGCAGGTTCTACTATCACCCTTAGACAGGGATCCCTGAGAGTACACAGGCGCTTAACTATTCACTTGCAAGTGGGTTTAATCTTTAGACTATTTCAGTTTCTAAGTCCATTACAGGGCAGGGGTTACTTTTTACTCTGACATTTCAGCAACTTTTGTGAAATGTTTCAAATTACCCTTCAATTTCCCCTCATTAGTTTTCTCCCTCTTTCTGGACATAATGGAACACATCATTTCATCTCTCCCTTTTCAACTCAAATAACTACAAAACCCATTTTACCTTTCCCCAACCAGGTTTTCCTCCATTCCCCTGTCTTAATTCTCCCTCAAATACCTGATCATCTTTACTGAGAAATAATGGGACCTCCAAAACATCTAAATGTGAAAAACAGACCCACTGCATTAATTTGGATAATTGGTCTGACTGTGAACTTCACATGGTGGACTCACAAAACTGAAAATATAATAGAGCAGGAAAGTATTTAGAGCCTGACATCATCATGTGAGATTAGAGATGGGAAGTGATGGGGTTTTTCGGCACTACAGCAAACTCCAGCTGTAACAATTTTCTGTTGCTATAACTAATAGGACAGTAAACATCTTGTGCATGAAGCTCTCTCTACATTGCAAATTATTTATATACTAGAGCCTCCAGAAGTGAAAATTTCTGAGACAAAGGACAGGCACATTTTTAAGGCTCAAAATAGGTACTGTTGAACTATGTTCCAGAAAGGTTTTACGAATGTGAACTCCCTCCAGCTGGGTAATAGAATGATCTCCTTATTGTACACTTACAAGAACAGAGTATTTATAATATTTCTAATTTGATTAGTGAGAAACAGTATCTTATCGCTGTTTTGCTTAGGAATTTCCTTGCCCAAAAGTGAGGTTGAATGGTTCTGTGTTTATTGGCTGTTTGTATTTTCTCCTTTGGGAACTACCCACGGTACCTTATATATATTTTTCTTTAGGTGACCTCATCTTTTTTTTTTTTAATCCTTCTTTGGTACAATATATTTTTCTATTAAGGGTATTAAGTGAATATTTGACATTTGGCTGCAAATATATCTCTACGTTTCATTATTTTTAGTTTTTTTGCTGCTATTCAATGACATCCTAAGATTTTAGGTAATTAAATTTGTCAATTTTGGGGCCTTATTGTTTTTCCTTTTCTAAATTGGAAACTTAAGTTGTTTACATTTTTTTGAAAGGTAATACATAAACATCGTACAAAAATTCAAAAGATGCAAAGAAAGGGTTTACAGTTAAAAGTTAATCTCCCTGTCAGCGCTGTTCCTCATCCGTCCCAGTCCCCTTCCTCAGCGGGAGCCAGGCTCAGCAAATCCTTATGTTTATACAGAGGCATTCTAAGCACATGCAGATATTATCCACACATTCTCCTTTCTTTCTGTGTGATTCCTGTAACAGATTTTTGTTTAACTTCAAGTTTTCCTTATTCAAAATTTGAATAAAAATCATCTCTACTTTTTTCCAGATTAAAAAGAACTTCACAAAACACTCACCATTTATTACTTTAGAAATTCATCTTTTAACCATTTGCTTAGCTCTTAAATCTATCTGGTATTTATGGAAATAAGTAGAAATGTACATTTTCTTCTAAATAGCTAACCTAATCTTCCTACTACCATTTAGTGAATAATTCATTTCCTAGTAATTGTTTTAAATATATCAGATTCTATTTCAGGGCTGTCTTTTCTGTCTGCCATTTCTCAATTCTTTTACAATACTAATTTTGCAACTTTCCCTATGTAAGCTTCAGAATTTTTTTTTAACTTTTATTTTAAGTTCAGGGGTACATGTGCAAGTTTGTTATTTAGGTAAACTCGTGTCATGGGAGTTTGTTATACAGATTACTTTGTCACTCAAGTATCATGCCTAGTACCCATTCGTTATTTTTTCTGATTCTCTCCTTCCTCCCACCATCTAACCACTGATAGGCCCCAGTGTGTGTTGTTCCCCTCTGTGTGTCCATGTGTTCTTATCATTTAGCTCCCACTTAAAGTGACAACACACAGTATTTGTTTTTCTGTTCCTGCATTAATCTGCTAAGGATAATGGCCTCCAACTCCATGTTCCTACAAATAACATGATCTTGCTCTTTTTTACGGTTGTGTAATATTCCATGCTGTATATATACCATATTTTCTTTATCCAGTGTACCATTGATGGGCATTTAGGTTGACTCCATGTCTTTGCTATTGAGCTTCACAAATTTTTGACCATGTTTCCTAGTGTATTTTGTCTTTTTGTTGTTGTTAACAAAATATTTTTTCTCATTAGAACTTTTAATTAGTTTTTGCTGATTAAATGAACCTTTTTTTTTTTTTTTTTTTTTTTTTGATGGAGTCTCACTCTGTCACCCAGGCTGGAGTGCAGTGGTGCGATCTCAGGTCACTGCCACTTCCGCCTCTGGGGTTCAAGCAATTCTCCTGCCTCAGCCTCTGGAGTAGCTGGGACTATAGGAGCATGCCACCACGCCCGGCTAATTTTTTGGATTTTTAGTAGAGACAGGGTTTCACCATGTTAGTCAGGATGGTCTCAATCCCCTGACCTCGTGATCTGCCTGCCTTGGCCTCCCAAAGTGCTGGGATTACAAGCATGAGCCACCATGTCGTGCTTTTTGTATTTATTTTGTAACTTGCTCTTTAGCTTAACTACACTTAATTATGATAAATTTTCAATTCATCATCTTGGGTTTTCTAAAAAGATTTTTGTGTTTCATGCAGCCTTTCTGAGATCTATATATTTTATATATCCCATGGCTTATTATGTTGGCTAGAATCTTCTATGCTATTTCACATAAAAGTGATTAGAACAAGAATGCTAGCTTAGTTCCTAGTTTTGATTCTTGATTTTTGGCATAAAATTTTATGGTCCAGAAAAACAAACAAAAAAATACAGTAAATGTTTTAAATCATATAGAATACATCACTTTCTATTTTCAAGGTTTACATATTTGATTTAATTTCCCTAGTAAGCATTATGCTGGCTTTTTGGGTGAGAGATTTTATAATATTATAATTTACAATATTAAAGAGGTATCAGTCTATTGCTATTTATTGAGTTTATTTTTAAATAAAGAATAAATTGTGAATTTCATTAAATGCCTTTTTAGCATTTATAGGTACATCAAATATTTTTGTCCTTAGATCTATCAATATGATAAATTACAGAAACAAATTTCCCAATATTAGTTAACTTTGCATTCCTGGAACATGTTGTACTGGATCTTGGGAAATAATTTTTTAAGGTGCTGCTAAATTCTGTTTTTAGTATTTCATTTAAATTTTTTTGCGTCAATATTTGGTCTTATGTTTGTCAGGTTTCGTATCAATTTTATGCTAAGTCCATAAAGGATTTTGGAAGATTTAAGCTCTCTATAATCTTACTTATTATTTGACCTTACAGTGGCTCAACAGAAGTGAATTAACATTTCCTGCAACTAATGTGTCTATCTGCTTTTACTGGTATCTCCTGGAGTTTTTCTTTATGAATTTTATTGCTATGTAATTTAACATAAAGATATTCTTAATCTTTATAACTCTTGTGAACTAAATCCATTAAAAAAACAAAGTGCCTTTATTTTACTGAATGCTTCTGGCATGAATTTTTTCTTATCTGACTAAAGAACATGATCCCTGTTCCTTTTGGTTTACATTTACCTCATATCATTTGCCTATTTTATTCTTATTTTTAAAATTTATTTTACAACCTATATTGTATCAAGTGAGTGGTTGTTAACTCTCTTTCTGTAACTTTCTAGGAAATAATTTAGTAGCATCATTCAACGATTCTTAATAGTAAAAAATATGCCTAGTACATAGAGTATACAGAAGTCCTTGATCATCGTCTGGGTCCAAACCATTTTATCATAATCAACAATTTAAGCATGGTGGAGCTACATGTAGACTTCACAGGTCTTCATTTGAGAACAGAGGGCCCTGCCTTAGCAAATGAGTGGGCAAACTCTCACAATTTTAAGCAAAGAGGATTAGTTTTGACTCAGCATTGATTTTCTGTGTCAAACGATTATTTCCTGTGCTTTATCTGTTAATTTGGCATGGTGTTAAAAAAAAAAAGAAATAGCCTATATATTAGGTTTGAATATGTGATATGGTTTTGTGGTAAACATCAAAATGATTTGCTTTAATTTGAATTATTCACATGTGTTTTATAGTCAAGTAAATCATTGTTTAATTTTGCATCTTTTTATTTTAGATTTTCTAATTTTTAATTTTTGTTTTTTTTTCAGACAGGTTCTCTCTGCCACCCAGGTTGCAGTGCAGTGGTGCCATGGCTCAATGCAGCCTCAACCTCCTGGGCTCAAGGGTTCCTCCTATCCCAGCCTCCTGAGTAGCTGGGATTACAGGTGCATGCCACCATTCCCAGCTAATTTTTTTAATTTTTTTTTTTTTTTTTGTAGAGATGGAGTCTCGTTATTTTTCCCTGGCTAGTCTTGAACTCCTAGGCTCAAGTGATCCTCCCCACCTTGGCTTCCCAAAGTGCTGGGATTATAAGTGTGAGCCACCATGTCCAGCCTATTTTTACATTTTCTAAATCATTTCCTAAGTCATTAAATATATGTCTCTTCTTTGCTAGATTTTGCCCGGTGATCTAATCTAAAAGTCTTTTTAAAAAAATAGGTGCATTTTACCCATTTATATAAAGTGATATGATAGATACATTTGGCCTTAAACATGTCATATTAGCTCATATTACGCTTGAGTTTTTTCTTAAGTTTTGAAGTTCAAGAATTTTACTAAGAAGTGGTACATTTTGGACCAGACATGAAAAAAGCCAGAGTGCACAAATAAGCTGTGTGAACAGGTGACCCGGACCCCTGTGTCATCAACCACTATAGAAATAACATCTTACACTCAGGTGACACTTATGGCCACATGAGGGGTTCCCTCATGGCCAGCTGACAGAGGAGGAAAATGTCTCAACTTGGTTTACTGATGGGTTGGCTGGGTATGTGGGTGAAATTCAAAATTTGACTTCTCTTATGTATAGACCTACTCAGGGTGACCCTGAAAGACAAAAATGAGAGAACATTCTCCCAACGGTCAGAGCTTCAGCCATGCACCTGATCGTTAATTTTGTGTGGCAAGAGAAATGGCTTGGCTGAATGGCCAAGGGCCTGAAAAAAGAACGATTGAGAAACTGGAAATAAGGAGCTCTGGGTAAGAAGCATGGATCCACACATGGGATTGGACATAAAGTATAAACATCTTTTATGTTCATGGGAATATTCACTACACAAGAGGCACTAAAATACAAAGCAGAGGGAATGACTCAGCCAAATGACATCAACCAAGCCTCTGTCATCAGTCACTCCAGTGTGATCCAGTCAGCACATAAATGGAGTAGCCATGGTGAGGGATAGAGGCTAGGCATCACCCACCACTGCCTTGATGTAAATCTACCAGCAACAGAGGCCCCTGCTAAGTCCTCAGAATGGCACCATCCCTCAAGGAAACAAATCAATCACTTGGTGGCAAGTTATTTACATTAGACCTTTTCCACCCTGGAAGGGACATCAATCATATTGAGTGGAATTTACACGTAATCCAGGATTGGGTTTGCTTTTTTTCTGCCCACAGGGCTTAAGCCTGATTCACTATTTGAGGGATCACAGAGCATTTGGTCTGCTGACATAGGATTCTACATAACACTGCATCAAACCAAAGAACCATTTTATAGCAAAGGATGTACAGCAGTAGGCACATAATCATGGGACTCACTGGTTCTATCACATACCATAACTTCTTCTGCCCCCACCCCAATACTGCTAGACTGATGAATCAATGGAGCAGGCTTGCAAAGAAGCCACTCAACCTTATATCCTGTTAAGATGAAACACCATTCTCCAAGGGGCAGTACACATACTAAAACAGTGACCACTGCATGGTACTGTATTCCCTGCAGGTAGAATACATGAGCCCAACAGCCCAGTCACCTCAGGTTCTTTGTGTCAAGGGGACCAGCAGATTAAGAAAGGAGTTGCCAACCTGGCAGGAGTAATTAGCCATGCCCATTAGAAGACAGTAGGCTGCTGTTACACAATGGAGATATCTCTTGGTACTCCCTTGCCCAATTTTGATGGTAAATGGACAATGGAGCAGTCACAACCTGAGAAAGGAATGGAGTCCAGGGACTTAGATCCCTCAAGAAAGTGCATCTGAGTAACTCAACTAGGAAGCAACTTAGATTAATAGAGGTGCTAGCTGAAGATGAAGGAAATCCAGAAGAGGTTGTAAAGGAGGGATACTGCATTTGTCTTCTTGTTATAGTTGCAAATAATTATCACATACCTACTGGCTCAAGAATTTGTGTTGAGAAATTAAAGTTCTGCAGGTCAGAAGTCAAAAATCAGTCTCACTGGACTAAAGTCAAGGTGTCAGCAGGGCTGGTGCCCTCTGGAGGCTCTGAGGGCATTTTTTTTTTTTTTAATCTGTTCTAGCTTCTAGAGGCCACCTGCATTCCTTGGCTCATGGTCCCTTCCTCCATCTTTAAAGCACATCACTTCAACCTCTGCTTTTATCATTCCCTCTCTTTCTTCCACCTTTGACCTTGTTTCCCCACTTATAAGGACCCTTGATTATATTGGGCCCACCCACATAATCCAAGATGATCTCCCAATCTCAAGATTATTAATTATATTATATCTGAAAAGGTCCTTGCCCATGTAAGATTACATTCACAGGTTCTGGGGTTTAGGATGAGGACATTTTTTGTGGGCCATTATTCAGCCTACCACAGAGATGATGCATACCAATTGCAGCCTTGATAAGAACTGGAGTGGTGGACACTTGACTTGGGCACAAAGTATAAACATCTTTTTTATCCCATGTTAATGCCCATGAGAGCATTCATCACAAAAGAGGCAATAAAACACAAAGTAGAGAGAATGACTTATCTAAATGACATCAAGCCTCTGTCATCAGTCACTCTAGTGTGATCCAATAGGCACGTAAATGGAATAGCTATGGTGAGGGATAGAAGTTATGCATCATTCAACGCTGCCCTGATGTGAAACCTGACAGCAACAGAAGCTAATGCTGGGCCCGAAGAATGGCACCATCCCTCAAGGAAACCAGTTAATCACAGACATGTTAGATCCCCTTCTAACTTTCTTATTATAAATTTCCTTAGAACAAGAGATCAATCAGCTTATCAGAGAAGCTGTTTCCATATAGAATAAATTTATTATACAAAGCATACCATTTAGAACAGTTCTGGGGTAGACTATAGTGGACATGATGATACATTGCCCAAATCCCCTCTCCAGGACCTAGGTACTCATTCTCTCAGCTGTTGGTTTGTAGCCAAGTCTGCCTATAGAAATTTTCTGTGGTCAAAGGGAATGGCCTCATTCAACATTTTGCTCCTCCCATTGGACAACCTGCATCCAATGACTAGTCATCATGGAGATATGAAGGCCTGGTCCCTTGTCGTAGGATGACTCTGAAGGGTCATCCCAGTTCCAGAGGTCCCTGTGAGAGATTAGTTGAGGCCTTTTTTTCACAGCTGCATTACAGTGCAAATTTTTCCTCTGCCCAATCCTGCTTCATCTACCCCCTAACAGGTATTGTTTCTCAGAGCACTCCCCTATAAATGTTCTGCATGGTAATCACCATTTCAGAGTCTGTTTTCCTGGGAACAGTTTATATAGATGACACTGAGAAGCATAGCAAACAATGTCCAAATAATAGTTTATTAATAAATGGCAATGAGATGTTTGTCTGAATGAAACAAGCCTCAATAAAAGTGGAAGGTGCAACTCAATGAAAAATACATGACAGTCATCTGTGTCTTGGTCATGAACACTAGAACTCAGTCTCCATGCTAAGAAAGTAATGAATTATCAGAGAATTTTGAAAGGGGCCTTTCGAATGAAGCCATTGTGTACAGGATCGTGTCAGTGACATTGTTGAACATAAGGCAAATATCCTATGATTTCTAACTAGAAAAGTTAAGCAGCTGTCCATAAAGATAAATTACTTCACATTGTTCATAACTGCAGCGAATATAGTAATATATCAGGTATAGATACATCAGTTATGAACTTTGATATTACTGTGAGCCCCTTAAAGCTATGAATTTCTTATTACACAGCACTTTACTACAAAGAGATTTTTCAACTTCAAAAATTTTATATCTTCAAATTCTGTACATGGCATGAAGAAAAAATTCTCCAAAATGAGATTTCCTCCAAAAAGGGGGAAAACCTGAATAAACAGTTAACTGCTTCCTTTAACAAATATTCAAAAAGACAAAAAAAAATTTTAACCTGTTTTAGTGGTATAATTGAATCATTTAAAGCATTTTGGCAAGGGATCAGCTTTGCAATTAGGGTTTTTCTGACTTGCATTCCAGAAAATATCATGTTCTTTTGAAATACATATGTGTATGTGTTTATGTTTGGGCTCGACATTGGGTCAGTACCTGTGCATATTAAAATGAGCAACTTCTAAGGACCAAATCTATTTAATGTCAAACCCATCAAGCCAGACTTAGAGAGTCATTCTCACAGTGACCTAGCCATTGTCAATTTTAAAGTAATTTATCCTAAAGTGGTGGGGTGTCAAATGGGAGAAGTAGGACAACGAAAAAGCCACAAATTGTGCTGCTCCAGGCTTGTTTATCAGGATGGTTCACTCTCACTCAACACACCTCCGCTTCAGCATTCATTAACCTTTTATGTCACTCTTACCTACTCTGAAAGCAGTCTTCAGGGAATGGCCCACTGGCAAAAGGGAGGGAATACCTCAGATAAAGCAGTTGGTGGTGGGAAGAATGAATTTGGCATGGGAGTGGAAACTTGAAAGAAAAGAATGGAGAGTCCTAAGGCAAAGGATGTAATCATTTCTCCCTCCCTTCCTTTAGAGGCTGCATAGCATAGTGGTTAAGAACATGGACTGCATCAGAATGCCCATGCTAAGGGCTCGGCTCTGCTTTTACCAGCTCTTCACAGGCAATCACTCATCTCTCTAAGCCTCTGTTTCCTAATTTTTAAAGTTAGAATATTGTTACTATCTGGCTCCTAGGATTGTTGCAAGTATTCAATGAGTTAATACATGGAAAGGATTTACAACAGTGTCTGGTGCACAGTAAGTGCAGATAAATGTTAGCTATTATTTTTATTTCCCTTAAGGATACCATAACCCTAAAAGCCAGCTTTGGGTTTATAACCTACAGTGAGTTACAAATTCTTTCTTTCTTTTTCTTTTCACTTTCTCTCTTTCTTTCTTTTTCTTTCTTTTCTCTTTCTTTCATTCTTTTTTTCTTTCTTTCTTTCCTTTTTCTTTCTTTCCTTTCTTTCTTTCTGTCTCTCTCTCTCTCTTTCTTTCTAATAGATATCTTTATTGCATTTCCAGTGTTCTTCATTTTTTTGGATGGATAAAAGTGTCTGAATATATTATATTCCTTATCTCTGAAGAATTTCTTTCATTTCTTGTTGAGTAGGTCTGTTGCCAATGAATTCCTTGTTTTTATTTGTCTGGGAAAGTATTTATCTCTCACTTTCTTTTTAAAAATTTTTTATAATTTCAACTTTTATTTTAGATTCAGAGCGTACATCAGCAGGTTTGTTACAAGAGTATATTTTATGACACTGAGGTTTGGGGGCATAAATTATGCTGTCACCCAGCTAGTGAGTATAGTACACAATAGGAAGTTTTTCATTCCTTACCTTCTTCCCTCCCTCTTTCTCTAGTCTCCAGTGTCTATTGTTCCCATCCTTACGTCTATTTGTACAAATGCTTAGCCCCCACTTATAAGTGAAAAAAGTATCATATTTAGTTTCTGTTTCTGCTTTAGTTCACTTAGGATAAATGGCCTCTAGTTGCATCCATGTTGCTGCAAAGGACATGACTTTGTTTTTATGGCTGTGCAGTATGCCATGGTGCATATGTACCATATTTTCTTTATCCATTCCAGTGTTAATGACCACCTAGGTTGATTCCATGTCTTTGCTATTGTGAATAGTGCTGCAATGAACATAAAACTGCATATGTCTTTCTGGTAGAATAATTTATTTTCCTTTGAGTATATACCCAGTAATGGAATTGCTGGGTCAAGTGGTAGTTCCTTGTTCTTTGAGAAATCTTCACACTGGTTTCCACAGTGGCTGAACTAATTTACATTCCCACCAACTGGGTATAAGCTTTCCCTTTTCTCTGCATCTACAGCCTCACCAACATCTGCTGTTTTTTGACTTTTTAACAAAAGCCATTCTAGCTGGTATGGGATAGTATCTCATTGTGATTTTGATTTGCATTTCTCTGATGACTGCTAAAGTTGAGCATTTTTTCATGTTTGTCAGCTGCTTATGTCTTCTTTTGAGAAGGGTCTGTTCATGTCCTTTGCCCACTTTTTAATGGGACTAATTGTTTTTTGCATGTCGAATTGTTTAAGTTATTTATTGACTCTGGATATCAGAACTTTGTCAGATGCATAGTTCACGAATATTTTCTCCCATTCTCTAGGTTATCTGTTTACTTTGTTGATAGTTTCTTTTGCTGTGCAGAAAGAAGCTCATGGATTGGAAGAATCAGAATTGTTAAAATGGCCATACTGCCCAAAGCAATCTATACATTCAACACAATTCCTATCAAATTACCAACATCATTTTTCACAGAATTAGAGAAAACTATTCTAAAATTCATATGGAACCAAACACACACACACACACACACACACACACACACAAAAAAAAAAAAAAAAAAAAACAATCCTAAGCAAAAAGAACAAAGTTGGAGACATCACATTACCTGACTTCAAACTATGTTACAAGTCTATAGTAACTAAAACAGCATGGTACTTCTACAGAAACAGAAGCTCTTTAGCTTAATTAGGTCCCACTTGTCAATTTTTGTTTTTGTTGCAATTGTGGTTGAGGACTTAGTCATAAATTCTTTCCCAAGACCAATGTCCAAAATGGTGTTTCCTAGATTATCTTTGAGGATTCTTATAATTTGAGGTCTTACATTTAAATCTTTAATCCACCTTGAGTTAATCTTTGTATATGGTGGTAGGTAGGAATTCAGTTTCATTCTTCTGCATATGGCTAGTCATTTATTGAATAGGGTATCCTTTCCTCATTGCTTAGTTTTTGACTTTGTCAAAACATTGCTAAGTTTTTGACTTTGTCAAAACATTGCTAAGTTTTTGACTTTGTCAAAACATTGCTTAGTTTTGACTTTGTCAAAGATCAGATAGTTGTAGGTGTGCAGCTTTATTTCTAGGTTCTCTATTCTGTTCCATTGGTCTATGTGTCTGTTTTTATACCAGTACCATGCTGTCTTAGTTATTGTAGCCTTATAGTATAGTTTAAGGTCTGGTAATGTGATGCCTCCAGCTTTGTAATTTTTGCTTAGGATTGCTTCAGGTATTTTGACTCTTTTTTGGTTATATATGAATTTTAGAATAGGTTTTCCTAATATTGTGAAAAATGATGTTGGTAGGTTTTTTGTTTGTTCATTTTAAGACAGAGTCTCACTCTGTCGCCCAGGCTGGAGTGCAGTGATGGGATCCCAACTCACCGTAACCTCTGCCTCCCAGGTTCAAGTGATTCTTATGCCTAAGCCTCCCAAAATAGCTGGAACCACAGGCATGCACCACCAGGCCCAGTTAATTTTTTGTATTTTTAGTAGAGACAGGGTTTCACCATGTTGGCCAGGCTGGTCTCAAACTGGCCTCAAGTGATCCACCTGCCTTGGCCCCCCAAAGTGCTGGAATTACAGGTGTGAGCCACCCACGCCCAGCTGATGTTGATAGTTTGATAGGAATTGTGTTGAATCTATAAATTGCTTTGGGCAGTATGGCTATTTTCATGATACTGATTCTTCCAATCCATGAGCATGGAATATTTTTCCATTTGTTTGTGTCATCTGTGATTTCTTTCAGTAGTGTTTTGTAGCTGTAGTTGTCCTTGTAGAGATTTTTCAGCTCCTTTGTTAGATGCATTCCTAGGTATTTTAGTTTTTTGCAGCTATTGTAAATGGGATTGTGTTCTTGTTTTGGCTCTCATCTTGAATGTTACTAGGTATAGAAATGATACTGCTTGTTGTACATTGAGTTTTGTATCCTAAAATTTTACTGAAGTCGTTTATCAGTTCTAGGACCCTTTTGGTGGTATCTGCAGTGTTTTCTAGGTATAAATTATGTTTTCAGGGAGGAGAGATATTTGGACTTCTTCACAAACATTTTCATGTGTGGTTGATATTTTTATACATTTATTCCACAACTACTTAATAATGTATTGAACAAGGACCACATAGTTATTACTGTTATAGTCATATTCTACATTGGCATCCATACTAATAATCCTTTATATTTTCATCCTTCTTTCCACTTTTAAAAGCATACACACACACACACACACACACACACACACAATGTGTATATAATGATACATTATGCCATTTATTCTATCACTTCAAGAATCTCCAAAGCCAAGACATCACCACCACTAACAACAAGTGAGCTCAGAACTGACAGTATTGCTGGGATTCCTAGCAGAAGCAAATACAAACCACTTTGAAGGTACAACACTCAACACAGACCACTCAGTACTTACACAAATAAAATCTTACTTATGCTGAACTTAAAAATTTAATATTACAAAACACCCAAGAAAATAAGGCAATATGAGCACATGTAAGCAGATTAAACACAGAGCAGATTAGATATTTAAAAATTTCAGGTAAGAAATTATTGACCTCAAATTACAAAATTATATATTCAAAATCAATGTATAAAGAATAATTATTTTTATTTTAAAAGACCAAGTCACTTTTTTAAAAACCAGAAATTTTGTTTTTAAAAAAGAAATCTCTAGAAATTAAAACCTCAGTAGATGGATGAAACCGTGGATGGATAGAGCTGAAAAAAAGACTTAATGGATTGGAAGATAGAGCTGAGAATATAATATCTCACATAGAGATGGAAAATATAATAGATCAAGAAATATTGAAGATAAAATAGGACAGAATACGACGGATAGGAGGGCGATGATTTTGTCTGTTCTTTTTTTGTACTATTATGTTCTCAATGCCTAGAATATTGCTAGAAGAGAGTATGTACTCAATACATATTTGTTGGATGCACAACTGAGTGAATAAATATCATTTCTAAAAGGAAAGATTAGATGTGAAAGTTAATATTTGAGAAAAAGTTTAAGAACTTTACAAAATTGAAAAAAGACATAAAACCCTCAAACTCACAAAACACAATAAGGATTGAGTAGGAATATACAAATAAAACTATATCTAGACATGTAATAGTGAAACCATAGAACACCAAAGGCACAGGGAAAATATTAACTAGAGAGAAAAGTAGATTCGGTATAAAGAAATAGCAATTAAAATGACAGCACATTTCATAACAGCAATAATAGAAACTACTGAGAAATGAAATGGCTGCCAATCTAGAAATGCATATTCAGGTAATTATTCAAAATTAAGGGCAAAAATAAGGACTTTTTTAGAAAAACAAGCATTTAGAGAGTTTATCATTAACAGACCTTCACTGAAGGAACTTCCTTTTCCCCAAAGATGGGGTCTTGCTATGTTGCCCAGGCTGGAGTACAGTGGCTCCTCAGAGGTGCAATTATAGCATGCTGCAGCCTCAAAGTCCTGTCTCAAATGATCCTCTTGCCTCACCATGCTGAGTAACTGGGACTACAGGGACATGCCACTGCACTTGCTGAAGATACTTTTAAAATGTATACTTCAGAAAACAAGAACTTGGATTCAGGAAAACAAATAAAAAAGAAAGGTGAAAAAAGAAACAGGGAAATATTAGGTACTTTAAGCAAGCATTGACTATACATTTTTTTAAAGCCTCTCATTTAAAAAGAATAGTTTCAAGGGTATTACACAGGTAAATAAAAGTGCTGGTTAATAACATGTAAGATGGGCATTAAAGTCTTCCAAGGTACTTCTAGGAATAGGAGGAGGACAGAGTTCCTGAATAACTTTAGACATAGTTACTGTAATTAATCAAATGTAATATGGCAGCAATGAGAAGATCTATGATTATTTCGTGTGTCATGAAGAAAGAGAAGAGACTGCCAGTTAAATTGTGAGGGGCATCATGCCTCCAAGAGAGTCCTATACAGGATATTAATTGAGCATACTAGACTCTCATTTCCTTGAAATTTCTTTCATCTATGCTAAGAGAATTGTCCATTTCTCCTGCCCTCAATTGTATTACTTATTATAGTGTAATAGGTAGGTGATCTTTTACCAATATCTCAGTAACAAAAACTATATTCTTTTTTAGGTTCCATATAGTGCCCAGTTATTATTTTGCAAGAAAATGTGGAATTGCTGTCATTCCCCCAATGATTGGTTAACTAATATAAAACTTATATACCATGATGCTATTCTGCATGCCTTTCTGCATACACAATAAGTTTCTGTTTCAGTGCCACATTATAGTCTAGTAGTTTTGAAAACATTTTAAATGGATATTTAACTCAACATTGGTAGGAACAACAAGGTATCTAATTCAGTTAGAATGGTAACAATATGAAGAACAATATGACAAGTTCCTGCACATGTAGGCCATGACAACTATGTATGACTACTGCCTGGCCAACAGCAATTGGAAGATTGTCATCAATTATAAAACACATATTTATTTCAGAGATTTTAATATGGGAAAATGTCTATCTTAGAATTGATGAAATATCATCAGTATGTTTGCTAAAATGTTAAAGGCAACTATATTAAAATAATAGAAATAGAATATATAATCTTCAACCCACTAGTCCCAAGAGTGGCAGGAAATAAAATGATAAAAACTCAATCAATTAAAAATTTTCAGAAAAAATATAAAAATAAACATGGAAAAGTCAGAAAATACAACACAAATAAAATGAAGAAATACATCCAAATAGATCGCTTATCATAATAAGTATGAGTTGACTAAATTTACCAATTAAAAGACAGATATTTTCTATTTTGATTATTTAAAAAATCTACTTATATAACATTTACAAATTACATTAAAGTCATCATGACATAGAAAGGTAAAAGTAAAAAGACAGACAAAGAAAAAATAGATATTTCTACTCCAAAGAAAACAGGCAAAACTTATTAGGAATAAAAATGCTCAGTATATACTAATGAAAAGAAAAGTTCTCCAAGAAACAAATAACAATCTTTAACTTGTGCATACATAATAAAAAAGCCCCTAACAAGCTTGACAAAATTACAAGGAGAAATTGGCAAACCCAAAATTATAATGGAAAATGTAAAACATATCTGTTAGTAACTGATGGTCCAAACAAATGCAAACTTATTGAGGATATACAAAATTTGAACAATATCATTAACAAGAGTTATTTAATCAACATATTTAATATCCAATAATATAGATATTAAGACATCCAATAATTAGAGAATACACATTCCTTTCAAGCACATATTAAACATTTAAAGAGGCAGCATAGGCCAGACACGGTGGCTTATGCCTGTAATCCTAGCACTTTGAGAGACCGAGGCGGGTGGATCACGAGGTCAGGAGTTCAAGACAAGCCTGACCAACATGGTGAAACCCCGTCTATACTGAAAATACAAAAATTAGTCAGGTGTGGTGGTGGGCACCTGTAATCCCAGCTACCCAGGAGGCTGAGGCAGGAGAATTGCTTGAACCCAGGAGGCGGAGGTTGCAGTTAGCCAAGATTGTACCACTGCACTCGACAGAGCAAGACTCTGACTCAAAAAAAAAAAAAAAGAGGCAGCATAGTTTGGTGGCTAAGAATAGCTTCTGAACTCACATTCTGGGCTTGATTTTTGGTTCTACCAGTTACTAGCTATACAACCTTGGTAAAGTTACATTATTAGCCTTTCTATGTCTGTTTCCTCATCTATAAAATCGGAATATTAGTATACTTATCTCAAAAATTTACTTAAATAAATATATTAATGTGAAAAGCTCTTAGAACAGTTTCTGGCACACAATAAGTGCTACATAAGTATTAGCTATTATAATTTACACAGATTAGCCATAAACTCTGTAACAAAGCAAGTCTCAACTACTTCGAAATAACTGATACCATGCAGTTCACATTCTCTGACTACATGCAGTTAAGATTTAACTTAACAACAAAAAGATTATAAAAATTCTTGGGGAAATTAAAACTAACTTCTAAATTACTTGTGAGTCAGAGGAAGTCACAATAAAACTAAGAAAATATTTAGAATTTACAATAAAAACATATCTCAAAACTTGTAGAATGATACTAAATGTTACTTAGCAAGAAATTTATGGTCTTACATGCTTATATTGGAAAATAAGAAAGTTAAAATAATCAATAACCTAATTATACAATTGAGGAGACTAAAAAAAAGAACAGCAGAATAAAGCTACAGAAAGTACAAAAAGTAAAGTAGTAAAGACTTAAAAAGAAATTAATAAGATTTTGAAATGATCCTATACAGATGATCAATAAATCAAAACTTTAAAAAGTAGAAGGCAAAGCTTTGAAAATATGGGTAAGATATCAATGAATACAGAAGCTGCCAAAAAATAATAATTCAAACAATTTGATGCTAATAAACTTGAAAACTCAGATAAAATATAAAATTGCTTAGAAAATATACTTTACCAAAAGTGACTGAAGCAAAATTCCTAATTTTCCTCAAAAAGATTGAATCAGTAGTTTAAAAATCTATTAAAATACACAAATTTATAGTGCCAGAGAGTTTTATACTGTTCTATGAAATCTTTGAGGATTAGGTCACAATATTACAAAACTCTTGCAGATAACAAAATGTGGTAACATTTCTCAACTCATTTTATGAAACTACTGTATATAACTTGATGTCGAAGCTAGGTAAAGACAGTGGAAAAAGGACAATTAAAGACCAATCTCATATATAAGCATAGTTCTAAAACTACTTTAAAAATAGCAAATCAAATTTTAAAATGCATTAAAATAAACAACAAATTTTATTTTGCTCCAGGAATACAATAATGGTTCTATATTTGAAAAATCTATTACTGTAATTCACCACATTAACAGATTAAAGGGGAAAATAGGATTATCTCAAGAGGATAGAAAAATCAGTTGATAAAATTAAACAATTCTTAGAAAAACAGGAATAAATGGGAACCTCCTTAATCTGATAAAGAGCATTAACCAAAAGCCTGGAGCAAACATTATGCTTACACTGAAAAGTCAGAAAATTCTCTTTAAATAAAAAGAGAGAAGGATAACTCATTCTAGTCAATCTAGTTCTGGAGAGCTAGTCAGGATATGAGACAAAGAAATCAAATAATAGAATAAGGATTGGAAAGGAAGAAACAAAACTATAATTATTTTAAAGTGATGACTTACACATAAAAAATAATCAAGGAATGTGCTTCTTCCATTTAAAACATATTTTTTTCTTGATTCTCTCCTCTCTCCCCATCTCATTCTTTCTAAATACCAGCCCATTTCTCTGATCTTTATGGGAAAATGCCCAGGGTTGTCACTGCTCATTTTCTTCAATTCTCTTCCCACCATCTGAAACTAACTCCAATCTGGCTTTCAGTCTGACCCATCCAGTGACAACTGCTCTTGTCCAGTCATAATGACCTTCATGTGTCTGAACCTCAGTCAATTCTCAGTCTTGACCAATCAGTGACAAATCTCATTTGACCAATCAGTGGCATTTGACATCACTCTTTCCTTGCAACAGCTTATTCACCTGGCATTCAGGAAACCATGATTTTCTGACTTTCTTTCTTTCTTTCTTTTTTTTTTTTTTTACTGGATATTTCTTCTCAGTTTATTTTCCTAGTCCTTCATCATCTCCTTAACTTCTGAGTACTGGACTCAGTCTTTGGACTTTTTACTTTCTGTCTGCACTCACTCCCTTGGTGATCTCGCTCAGTCTCAAGTCTGACAAGTTCCAAAATTATAATGGCCAGCCCAGACTTCTCTCCTGCTCCAGACTCATACATACAATACTTGCACATCTCCACTCAGAATTCTGACAGCTCAGACTTTACACATGTAAAGTGGAACTCGTGATTCTTCCTACACTCCCTTCCCCTCACCCTCCCTTTCCAAATTCCTTCCTTCCTTGGTCGTCTTCATCTTAATTATTGACAATTTTATCATCCTAGTTTTTCAGGCCAAAAATCTTAAGTTCGTTCTCTCTCTCTCTCTCTCTCTCTCTCTCTCTCTCTTTCTCTCTCCCCCTTCCCCCCACCTCCCCCTCTTCATCACATGCACATACTTCAGCAAATCCTGTTGGTCCTATCTTCAAAATACATCCAGGATCATCTGAACACTTACCACCACCACTGCTCCATGATGGTCAGAACCTCTGCTTCTTCTTATCTGAATTATTTCAGTAGCCACTCAACTGGCCTTTCTGATTTCACTCTTGCCTTTCCACAGACTGTTCCCAAAACAGGAATAGAAAAATTAGACCATGTTACTTCTGCTCAGAACTCTCCAGTGGCTGCCCAAGACTCCAACAATCCAGCCTCCACTTCTCTCCTAACCTCATCTCCCTTTCCACATTGTTCCCTTCACTACAGCCACACCGACCTCAGAAACTCCAGCCTACAACCTCAGGACTTTTGTACTTAATGGTCCTTCTGCCTGAAATGATTTTCTCCAGTACAGCCACACTGACCTCAGAAACTCCAGTCTACAGCCTTAGGACCTTTGTACTTAATAGTTCCTCTGCCTGAAATGATTTCCTCCAGGTACCCAAAAGTATTGCTCTCTCATCTCCTTCAAGTTTTGCTTAAATGTCAGCTTTTGTCTCAGTATGGACTACCTTGTGCACCCTATTTGAAATTTCAAGCCTCCGATATCCTGTCACTGCCCTCTGCGTTAATTTTCTACATAGCACTTACTTATAATCTTCTAATACACTACATATCTTCCTTATTTATTTGTTTATTTTCTGTCTTACCCAATTAAATGGATGATGTCAGAGGGCTTTTTTTTTTTGTCTTTTTTGATTACCCTTCTATCCTAGCATCCAGTACAGTGTCTGAAACATAGTAGACAACTAATAAATATTTGTTGAATAAACTGGAAAATGTATATAGACAAATTATTAGGATTAGTAAGAGAGTTGAGTGAGTTTGCTGAACATAAGATCACCATACAAGAATCATTTATGTTATAACCAACTGAAAATAGAATTGGAAAATATAATTTTAAAAAAGAATATTATTATATTCTCAGAAAAAAATATAAAACACTTATACATTTAACAAAAGATGTATAATATTAACATTCTTAGGAAAAATATCATAAAACCTCTTTGAGCAACATTTAAAAACATATAAATAAAGGGATAGAAATGTAATGTCTATAGATATAAAGACAGTAGTACATAATGATGTTAATTTTCTTCAAATTAATCTATAGTTATAATAACACCCAGTTAAGATACTGATAGAATTATTCAGAAAACAGGAGAAGCTTAATATAAAATTATTAAAGAACAGAAAAAAACAAAGCAGTGTTAAAGAAGGGTGGGAATACTGTCCTATCAGATATCAAGACTTATTACAAGGTAAGAGATAAACTGTGTATCAGAGTGAGATATGCAACCTGCATAGGTGACAAAGGACTAATACAAGAATATACAAAATAGTCCAAGTTAATAAAAATAAGATTTTAAGACTACAAAAGAAAAAAGAAAAAAAAAACATAAACAGATACTTCACTGGAAGTAAAGTGGTAGGCACTTCCTTCAGAGGAAAACAAATGGCATACAGCAAATAAGCATATGAAAAAATGGTCAACCTTGGTAATAATGAGAGGAGTGTATATTTAAACAATTACATGCTGCTTCACTTAGATTAAAAAAAACTTTTAAAATCTGATAAAAGCAAGCACTGGTGAGGATATAAAGCAACTGGAACTTTCATACACTGATGTTGGGTGTGTAAACTGGCACATCCCTGTTGGAAAGCAATTTGTTGGTATATCACAAAGTTGCAAATACACAAAACCCTAAAACCTGTTGTTTCACTTTTAATTGTGTACTTTAGAAATACTTGGCAATTACAAGTATTTAGAACTTTAGAAATAATTGGCCAAAATTGCCAATTACAACAATGTTTACTGTAGCACTGTTTAAATAATAAATATAAACCAAAAAAAGAATGGATACATTGTAGCACATTCACATAAGGGAATACTCTGCCTCAGCAAAAATAAATGAGTTGAAACTACCTGTACCAATATAGACAAATCTCAAAAACGTAATTTGAGCCCTATGACAACATTTATATAAAGTTTAAAAATACAAAATACTATGCTGTAATTCACTTTGGAACCATGGATGTGTAGCAAAAACAAAAACAAAAAGCAACCATGCATAGCTAAATACCACAAGGAGGATATTGGTTACCTTGGGAGGCATGAGGGAGGAGAATTGGATTAAAAAGAGACATGCAGGGATTTTCAATTGTACCTAACATGTTAAAGTGGGTGATTCTGTGTGCCTGGTGTGTTTCATTGTTAAAAGAAAAATAAAGAGAACTGGAAGGCGGGTGGATCGGTTGGGCATGAGGTGAGCACCAATGGAAAGGTGGGAGAAGTGGATGAGTGGATGAGACAATCTCTCTTGGAGTAGCCTGGGAGGAAAGCCAAGTTAGTACAAGTGATTATCAGGTAAAACTGGTCTAGAAAGGACTTGAAATGAAAAGACAAAACTTAAAGGTATGTTTGGGAACTTGGAGAGGATACTGAGTTGAGTAGTCACATTTTCAAAGTGAAACATAAGGGCAAAACATTTCATAGTAGTATTTTGTAGTAACTGGTAGAAAAAGAGGACATGGACTGGACAGTAAAATCTAGTAAAGTTTAATTATTTTTGTGAGTGGCTTTGGGGGAAGGATTGGAGGCTTGTTTGCCACATTTTTGGATTCCACAAAGCTGAAAGTGCTAAGTAATATATTTGACAGAATCATGATGTTTAAAAGACATATTCTGGAATGAGGGCTTAAAGACAATAATTTTTTTTGCAATGTTGAAAATGTGGCAGAATACACTTTAAAAAATTTAAACTTATCTAATTACAAGTCTTGATTCAACCTGAATGCCTTAGCACATCACAAGATAAATGTGGACAACTGATTTTTTAAAAACATAGAATATTTGACTAGTATTAGTAGTTGTTCTAAGCAATTGGTCTGAGTATTGGGCAATGATAAATTACAATAATAAATTAGGACTATTCCAAAGGAGGGTAAGCAGAATGATAAGAGTGTAGGCCATACCTGGGAGCTTCAATGAAGCCTTCTCTAACAATGCAGAAACAAGATTGTCCTTTGAGGATTAAACCAATAAAGTCCACTCATATGAGTGGGATTAGCCAGTACAGGCCTAAACCAAGACATTATCTTTTGATGGGTGACTTTGCAGGTGAGTTAGATGTAATCTCAGGGAGGAAGGGCTGGAATGTGATTGTCATGGAGGAGGAAGAAACCTAATCAATAAAAGTATTTCTTATCCAAAGAAAGACTGAGTAAACAGACTTGAGAACAGCATGAAACACACAAGAATTCTGATCCGTACGAGTTATAATTTTCATTGTAAATCAGTACATCGTGTTTTAATCTAATTTATATTTCCAAGTCTTGTATTTGGATAGCATGATTTGGATAGCATTTCTCAGGTACCAACAAAATTGAGTTTTCCAGATCTGACAGTTGATGGCTACAACATGAGGTGCTGTAACCTTTCCCAGACACAGGCTCCTTCTTTGTCATGGAAAAACCCAAGGTCACTAAGATGTTTAGCTGGGATGAGACAAGCCAGAGGTGAAGCCTGGTGCTTATCTTCAAAAGGTTTAAAGTTTTTCTTGTAGAAACAGAGGGTAGACTCTTTTGATTGTTGGGGGCAGAGAACAGAACAGAGACAACAGGTAGAAAGTACAAAGTAAGATTTCATCTGGCTAAGCAGAGGAACATGTTAACAATTTGAACTCCCAACAATGAAAATGCTCTCTCTTTGTCAGGGTTCTTTGATCATAAGCAACAGAAAAAGTCTGAATAAGTACAGCAAACAATAATAATAATAGCTATAAGAAGAAGATTAGAGGTGGCCCACTTATTTGAAGGAGAAAGTGAAGTACCAGGCCTTAAAAGGAGCAGTGATCAAGGCAGCTACAATGATAGAGAGGGAGGAAGTAAAGTACTGTTTCTTTGGGGCACCGTCCTCATGATAAATCACCCCCTGCTGATATCTTTCTTAAAACTACTGGGGAAAAACTTCTGATTTTCAAGCTTGGGCCAGGTGTTCACCTCTTCTCTCCCCCACCACTGATAGGGAAGGGTAGTGGGCACTCATGAGTAGGGAACCTTGATGGAGATGCCATCAAGGTTTTATGCAATGGAAAGGGACAATTTACCAAAGGAAAATTGAGAAGCAGGTAAAAATATTAGAAACCCACCATATTCGCATCATTGCAAGTGCAGGAGAAGCCACCTATTTTTCAGCAATCTTCTGTGCTGGAAGTTGGAAGGGGCAATTTAGACGATCCCTTCCTGTTCTACGTTTCTGAAGAGAAATTGAGAAGTGGAATTGATTACTGAGATCCAAGGTCATTAGGAGAGGCCTAGAGAGGAATAGCTGGGGCTGGATCTGAGGGAAGGATGGGACGCAGCTAACAGGGATGTAAGCCATAGAGCAGGCATGGTGGTTCCATGTGCTAATCAGAAAAGGAAGATAAGGAGCTGCTGGCATTGGTAACCTCAAACTTGATATATGTAAATTACAAGCTACCATTCTTCTTCTGTTCCATGAGAGGGTTACAGATAGAGAAATGGAAGAAGTAAGATGTGGTAAAAGTTAGTAGATGAAGAAGACACACGAACTCCTGGCTCTCCAGAACTCCTGGTAGAGTGAGATGCTATTTGGACAGCTTAATGAATGGACGATGATCCTAATGACAAGGGACCTGCCAGCCTTAATGGCTAACCAGTGGAGTTATATAATAGAACTGAGTCACCAGTCCTAAAATTCTGAATTTGATGTCTGTGAAACAAAGCAATTAATGATGCAAACAAAATAAATAACTGGCCACTAGTGACCTCTAGTGGAAGTAGGCTTTAGGGAACTTATGTGATCTTTGATTACTGTTTTGTTTTGTTTTCCTAGTAAGAAGATGAAAACCAGTGTAATTTTCAGCCAACTGATTTGCAGAGGAGTGTGAAAGAAGGGGTTTCTGAAAACAGGACAAAAATCTTACCCAGAAAATGAAAATGTACCAGGAACATGTTGTGCTTTGCGTCAACCTAAGTTGATTAATGTTCTGGAAAAGATGTGGATGAGTAATTGCCATCAAAGACATTACCTGAGAAAAGAAGAGTTTTTTGAGCAGTGACTTCATTGGTCACTGGGGGGAGTTCAGCATGTTAATGGCAGCCAGCAAGAGAAAATAGGCTTGAAGAGGAGGCTGCACGGGTTGCCAGTATACCTTTTAAATATATCTTCTTTGTAACACAGAAGAGCGCTGTTGTTTCTGAAATATGCACACATTTGCCAATTCAGTATTGTATGGCTTGAGTCCCACCACTTTCATCTTTCCAATGAGTGTCTGTGCCAAGTGTTGGCTAACACTGCTGAGCTGGGAGGATGTGGGTGGATGCCTGGTGGCCCTAGGCCTTTGAAGTGGGACCAGTCTCATGGAGGGTCCAAGTACAATCAAGAAGGTCAACATGAAACCACACTGGGCACTCCACATCCATCCCCTTTGGGAAGTGCTTTCAGAATATATAATCTTGACATTGAAGAGAAGCGAAGGAATGCAAGTATTGATGGGAGGTTTTACATCTGTCTGATCACACTGGGGACTAATAATGGGTGGGTGGAATTAAATGGCAGGTCCAGGGAGTAGGGATGCAGGTGGGTAGAAAAAGAAGCAAGGGAAAGATAAAAATAGAGACAATACAGAAGTAAACAGAATCAGCCTTATTAAGTCCTGGGCAACTGTCACTTCTGGCAGCAAAGCGATCGTTGTCCTTGTCTCATATTACCTGCGTGGCAGGAGGTGTCATCCTGCCTTCTTTCATTATTCAGCCTCCCACACACACCCTGCTCTTGTTTACTGATGCTGTTATGCTGCTCTGCAGGTCTGCTTTTCCCTGGATTGGCTCCCTCTCCTCTCAGTGTCATTTCAAGGACATAAAAATAGCCCCTAAATAATATTTTTGTGAGAATTCCATGCTGCTCTGCAATTTTCAGAATTCTGGTCTTTGTGAGTGGGCAAAAGATGATCTAACTGCCCCCTACTAAGCCATGACTTCCCTACTGATATTTCTTAGATGCCAACAAAACCACAGAGCAGATTAAGAGAGACCAATATTAGTGGTATTTCCTCTTTCCCCTGCAAAGATCTTTCTGCCAGGATATAAACAAATCTCTAGCTCTAGGACAGGCCATTTCAGAGATGTAGTCTATAAACCAGTTTACTTACTGAAGATGAGCTAATTATCTTAATTTGCTCCAAAGCTTCTGTAAGGCTGTCTTCAATCTCAGAGTCATCTAAGGAGAAGAGGTCCCCAGCTCGTGAAAGATCTTTTTGTCCCAAAACCAGTCTGAACAGTTGATGCATGGTGAGGATGAGTTTGATCAGTTGACTTTCTACAGACCCAGAGTCATGTGTTCCAGTTATCAGAGGTCAGTAAGACAAAAACATGTAGAAGGAGGTATACTTCTTATTCCATGAAAGGTCATTTTTCTCCAGACTTTGAGGTCTTCATTGACACTCTCTGCAAGGGAAACAAATGACACAATGTAGCCACTGGCAGAATGGCATAAGCTCAGAATGTGAACTCAGTGTCCAGCGGAGAGAGAGAGAAAAAAGAAACTTGGAAACATGTGCCTAGACTAATAGATCCTGGCTTAATGATCTTTAAATGAACTCTTTCCTTGTTTTTGTCTCAAAAAGTCTTGTCAAAAATTACTAGGTTTCTCCAGAATTTAATTTGAACTTTAAAAGTCAACATGAGCCCTACGCTTTTCTCCTTTCTACATCCTTCTCTTCTCTCCATGTCACAAGGAAAAACAACAATCATGCCTAACACTTGCCAGATTTTCCTCAAAAAGATTCTCATGGGAATCAAACAGAAAGGGAGAACAAAAGGAAAAGAGGGAGCATAGGAAACATCTCCTAGACCCACTTCCTTGAACCCTTTCTTCCAGAACCTGGACACAGAAACCAGTGCTTACCTCTTGGTTGGGCTGCCTTGCTACGCTAGCAGTAGAAGTTCCCTGCTCTGTCAGTCAAAAAGGTGACCTCAGTACTTACCCTACTCCTACGTACTCTATAATCAAGTAGCAATAAAATAAAGATGCTGCTTAGGAGAATGGCGTTAGATAAATCTCTACTGAACATGAAGATGAACTTTAACACTGAAATGAACATGATAGCCTTGCCATGTGGGCTAAAGAGGAGGGCTTTGGGATCAGGCAACTCTCCCTCTATTCCAGTTGAAGTAATAAAGTCCCACTATATTTCTCACCCAATTAACAGTCTACAGAGAGGAGGGCAATGGCACAAATTAGACATCTGATTATTCTCATCAGCTCCCTTCTGGGCCTAATAAAATCACAGACCATTTGCACTGGCAGAGACCTTAGTAATCATTTAATGTCCAGTGAGGTTTAATGACTGCCCCAAGGCCCCATAATAGCTGTGGCAAGGATAGTCTACTGATTTCAGTCCAGTGCACTTCCCTCACAGTTTACAGTAGAGTGGAATCACCTCATACATGTGGGTAGCTTACAAATGTAGCCACATGCTTAGTGAGAGCCAAGAGTGAGTTATTTAATACAAGTAATAGGCATTTCTACCTAGCATTTTACTCTGAATGGTTTGCCAGAAAGAGTGTGAAAAGGGAGAGGAGAATCTATTGTTTCCTTGGGTAGTCTCAGACCTCTCCTCTGAGCTATTGTTGTGAGAGCACCTCTTTGTGTTGAGTGCAAGTTTAAAGACACATACTCTTCAAACACCATGGCCTCAAAATACAAGCCAAAGCTTTCATTACACACTCAACTAAATAAGCTATCTGTAGTATTGTAAGTGGTACAATTCATGAGTCATAGGGATTTTAAGGAAAATACTCTCTATATGCAATTTTTGTACTATCTACCAGCTTTTGAAAAATGAAGCCTAACACTTACATGCCTTTATCTATGTACCAGGCATAAACACTTTGTAAATATTAATTCATCTAATCCTCATAACTATATGAAAATATGTCATCCCCACTTTGTAGGTGAGCAACCTGAGGTAGTTAAATAACTGCTAAAGCCATGCAGCTACAAAACTGGAGAGCTGGAATTTGAACCCAGAGACTCCAGTAGTGCTAGACTCCAAGTTCATAACCATTATGAAATATTGACTCCATGTAAAATGTGAGGCTACTGTTAGGAGTAAAGGTCCTCAGAGCATTATTAATATTAATGATGAAGGTGTGAGCAGGGTTATCAAGCAAGAAAATGAATTCCTCTCCCCTTCTACACTGCTCCTGGATCCTTGCCCATTCTATGCCCTGAGATTTAGAGCAACCAGAGAGCAAGACAGTCACAGGAGAAGACGCTTGGAGGAAGAGCAAAGGAGAGTGGTAAGCTTTCAGAGGGAGGTGGAGCACAGTGAGGTACTGCAAAGTAGTTCGCACCCTGGGAAATGTGGGAGGGTGAATCACAATATCTCTAAGGAAAATCAGCACAGTGTTTTCCTACATTTTTCTCTTAACACATTTTCCTCCCAGGCTCAGATATTTACAGTGACAAGAGTCTCAGTAAAATAATATTCAGGAAAATTGGATGGAAATGACTTCACCTGACCTGTCAGCTTGTTGGACATGTGGCACTCCATGAAGTACATTCAACTGCCCCAGTCATAGATGCTCAGGAGCTCCAAGAAGGAGCAGTAATACGTGCTGGTACAGAGGAGCACCCCCAGGCTTTTCCTGGGCTCTTTCTGCACACTCCACATTTACATGACACCTGGTGTGGAGTCCCACATTCATGCTGCCAACTTCAGCTCTTACTCTTGAGGGCCCATCACATGCAAAACATTGCTTTGGGCCCTAAACAGAAACATCAAGTTGTTTAACACACAGCCATACAGGAAAGCTTTCACAAACATAGGGGTGGAGTGGGGAGAGGTGAGACTTACACATTATTTTTCAAAGGGCTCTTTTGCACGTTTTCAACTGTGATCTTCAAAACACCTTCTACAATATGGGAGTGACCAAGAGAAAAATCTCCTGGATACTACAAAAAGAAGTTTGGGGAAGTACAAGGGAGAGAGAAGTCACTTCCAGGGGAAGATGATAATGAATAGCTTTATGGAGGAAATGGTATTTGAGAAGCACCTTTAGGATAGCTAAGATTTTTACAGGTTTTATTCAGTGCACTTGTGCTGAGTTCATACTAAGTCATCTGCTCATCTAGGAACCAAGGGTCATGTCCCAGCTCAGCTATTCAGCGATTATAGGACCTTTAGTTCATGTTGTTTTCCTTTCTTGAGACTTGGTTTTCTTATTTGCAAAATGGGGCTAATACACACCTCGTCTATTTCATCAGGGTGTTTTGAGGGTCACAGGTGATAAAGTGTAAACGAGCCCTTTATAAAATAATGGCACAACTGACATTTGGTGGGTGTTTGCCATGTGTCAGGTACTTATCTCAGTGCTTCTCACATACTTAGCCACTTAATTCTTATGACAATTCCATGCAATCAAAAACTGATGTTTAGAGAGGAAAGTAACCACCAGCAGAGGCACTTGAAGAGTAAGTTGCCAAGTCAGGATTGAAGGCAGCTGGTCTCCCAGGATAGTTGTATTCATGACTGTGTGAGATAATTATTATTGAGCTGTCTCCCTTCCCATCAGCTCTCATCCAATGAGTACCTCCACATGCTGCACATCCCTTCCTAAATAAGGACTGGCAAGGCACATTATTTATTTTTCAGCAGCTCTCATTAATATTTTGCTCAGGTGTCTGGCTTCTCCTGCTGTTCTTTTTGCAATAGCAGGGAAGGTCAAAGCCAGATCAAATTCTACCTCATGTTCTGAGAAACTCCCTACCCTTATGAATGTCATAGTCCTGTGGCCTGTGTGCACGTGTACATATACATGTATCATGTACACACAAGCATACCATATACACACATGCACATATGTGCACATACTCAAAATACTTTCTACACATCAACCTTTTTGCTAGACACTAGATGCTTTCTTCTTTTAGTTCTCCCATCAACTCTGCAGGTAGATATTACCACCTAAGAGGAAACAGGACCAGTGAGGTTAAGTATCATGCCCAAGGTTACACACAGAGCCAATATTCACATTCAGGTAGGCCAGACTCCAAAATCTCATATTTTTTGTATGATTTTTAAAAGCTGGCTTATAAAATTCTTACAGCCTTTAATTTGCTTCCTTCATAATTTCCTTCCCTAATCTTTAAGGGGTTCTAATCTGAGGCCCACCTTCTCATTATTTAGTTTTTTTTTTTTTTTTTGGCAGGTATTTGCTGGCGAATCAGCTTTCTGTAGGGAGAAACAGAAACCACAAAAACAGAAATGATGGCGCAAAACGTGGCACATTTCAGGGAGTCACAGCTGTCCCGCGCAAACTCGACTTTACCTGCGTGCTACTCCTCAAAGGCGCCCTTGCAGTTACTCAGCTGCATGGTTTGAGACTGGGCGGGAGATTCAGGCAGGCTCCGAGGGCACAGCGAGTGGAATCCGCTCAGCTCAGTGAACCTGAAGTTGTTCATTGCGGAGCCGGTGCCGGGTGGAAGAATTCAAGGAATGCAGCCTGATGCCACCGGCAGCCCCAGAGACCGGTCAGGTGACAGGCTGCACCTCACCCAGCGGAGTTACCTCCCAGTGCAACGCTCTGTTTCCTGAGGTGAAACACAAAGCCTGCTCCAGTAAAGGAGAGTTGTTTTTAACAGAGAAAACAGAACTCCCTGTGTTCGTGAAAATCTATACTTTCCCAGGGAAGAATGGGGGGCGGGGGCGAGCCACGCAGGAAACAATTTTCAACAGAACTCAAGCAGGTGAACGGAATGGCTGTAGGGAGCCACCTCTCAGAGCTCCAGGGGAGGAGAAGAGAACTGCAGCTTCATTAACACTTCCCTCTCCCTGAGATCTCACAAACGTTTTGGAAACACTGAGTGTTCGTCCAGTAAGAGTCACCTCCTAAAGAAAGTATCCCTTTACTCTGCCTCTAGAGTAAAATTGTTGAAAGTTGAAGTATGCGGGAAGTTGCTAATAAACAGAACAAACTTCACAACATACGTACTCTCTTTTTTTCGTTATTTGCTGGGAAGCTATTCATAGAAATCCACGTGGACCAGAAATATTGGATTTGTACTTTTAAATATTGCAGCAACACTCAGGCAAAAGGTTTATCCTGCTTAATCTACTGACACTCCGATGGAGAAAAGGGCACTGGAACCTTCCTTTATTCTTTAAACAGTTAACAGTGCACTTTAAAAAGCAAGGTTTTTAAGACTGCATTCTTCTCGACCCCTAAGTCGTCTGTTCCTGTGGTAGATCTATAGCTATATCAAATCATCTCACTTCTGGCAATGTGTACAGGCAGCTATCCTGCAGATAATCTCATCTTTGTGCTCACTAGGGTGTGTCTACTCAAAGGGTGTGGTCAGGGTGGCCACAGTTAAACCAGGTCATATGTTCCAGGAGAACGACCTCGTAAATCTGCCTAGACAGTTGGTGATCAATCATATTTTTATGCCATCCACATTTGGAGAACTATCCCCTTGAAGAATTCCTTTATAAAAATCAAGAATCCAGTCATTCATGAGTAGCTGTATTTTTTCATTAGTAGTTTTTCTAATTTACAATATACTAATGAAGTTTCGTCTTTTAATGGAATAGATGATATTGCTTTAGCCTTCCCTTTTAATCCTCTATTCATTATTACTGATTTTTAATCCCTAGATTTTTATCCAGTTTTATTTTTTTAAAGGGTGTAGAGTCCTGAATTGGACACTCTATGGAACTCCAGTAAGAAGAGCAGAGTGATAAGAGTATGGGAATCTAGACTCAACTGGATTCCAAGCTCAGCTATGCCATTACCTGCAGTGTAAATGTGGGCAGGTTAATTAGACTCCCTGAGCCTGGAATTCCTCCTTTGCTCCTGAGGATTGTGATATGGGTTGTTGGGAGGTTTAAGGAGATGATATAAAACATTTAACACAGAGCCTGGCATATGGCAACCACAGAAAAAGTGCCAGCAATCATATCCTTAAGAGTACTATTATTCCTATAGATGGTCCACCAGTTAACACATCCCCATGCCATACCTTTTAAAAATTAATACATGACTGTACTGTTCACTAAATTGGGTTCACAGAGCTAAAGATGTTTAGGTTGTTTCCATTTGAGCCATATTTATATCTTTGTTGTCCTTTCTCTATCTTAGTCATCCTGTCCTTACCTCTGGGTTGTTCACTTTTCATCTGTAAACTTCATTCTCTTGAATGGGTCCCTGTTGATTTTTTGGCAACCTTATCTTGTTTCCTGGAGAGATAGTTTTACGGTGATCCTACCCACACCAAGGTTGAACAATAACAGTGAATGTTTTTACAGAGCAGAAATGGGCTAGAATACAATGTATCTCAAACTTTTTGTGGCTGGGTAATCCAAACACCTGAGTTTTCCATGGAAGTGTAGCACTCCTTCCCGTGTTTATTAGTGAGAAAGGAGTGGCCCTCCAGGGCTCCAGCTACTTTCTTTACTACTTTTCAAGGTGACGTACACTCAATGCCCACTAATAAAACATTAGTGGCTTACTCTATTATGCATCTGTAGATTCTGCTAAATGAAAATATACATGAACTGGAGGACTTAATCGCCACACTATTGGGATACTGCCTATAGAATAATTGAAACTCTTGGGGGAGATTTCAATCACCATAATTAACTCAAGAAACCAACTTATTCTGAAGAATTCAGCCTCTAGCTTGCAACTTAGGTTAGGGTATACCCTGGCTTCCTCACTTCAGAAAATTCTAGAATGACAATATTTATTTACATTACGCTTTAGACTACATTACTCTGCATCAAAACATTTTCATTTTATTCACCTGTATTAAAAATGCTCATTAACAAACTTAGACCCATTTGGGCTCTAGAAACTTTCAATAAAGTTCTCAGATTTTTCCCTTGAAAGAAAGGATTACAGATTCTTTTGAAGGAGCATCTTTTTCACACAGCGTGAAAGGACTACAGGCGTTCCCATGGGAATTGGCTGCATACATTTCAGCCCTTCCCACAAGATGTCTATTGTTCCCTGGATGTCTCTGGGCTTCCTTGGCTGTGGCGTGCTGCTACACTTCACTTCTACTGAAAGCCTCTGAGTCTGGCTTATTCTAAGCAATGCTAAAGGCTTCAGCCCTGTCTTTTTGCTAGAGTACATACGATCTAAGTTTGTAGCAGGCTTATTTCATAAGTACATGAAAAAAATAGATTTGGTGACCTATTTAGTCAAGAGCCCAAAAAACTACTTAATTTTGATTACCTATTTCAACTTATTAAAACACAAATAGGAAACATTTCCTTCAAAAAGGATGAGAAACACTTATCTTCAAGTCTAATAAACTTTCTAAAATCAAGGCTTTTGTGACTTGTCATAATTTTATAGTGTATTCATTTTCACCTGTAAATGTTGACTTTGTTGGTCATTTTTGCTCTGGAATAATACAAATCTTGCTGAAAAATCCTAATTCAAATTCGTGGGTTTGTTCTTCCAGAAAATGTACCAAAACTCTCAAACTACATGGAAAACTCAATGTTAAATGTATCTTCATTTACATTTAAGTTTCATGTACCAAATATCTATATGACCAACTCAAATATTTCTCTAAATATTTTTTTCTGCTTTTTAAATCAAAAATATATAAATGTCATTTAATCCAATGGTTGATTACTACAACAATTTAAGTGTGTATCTGAAAGAGTAAAAAAGTGGTTAGATTTAATTATGATTTGTAAGATATCTGAAACACCAAAGGAAAAAACGGCAGCAGCAACAAACAGTAATGGTGACCCTGTTCAACCCACTGACTGTAATGATGCTATAATATTTAATTTTCTTTGAAAATCCGTAGGCAGAGCCAGTTTCTTTGCTGGTTGCAAAATGTTGATTGAAGTAAACAAAAGTATAAAATAGAAATGAGACTAGATTATTACGGAGTAAAACAAAAATGCACATGATATGAATCTAGAAGCACAGCTTTCTGCTCCTGAGGCCTAGAGACATGTTTTAATAACCCACAGAGAAGTGGCATTTTTACTCTAATAACCGAAATGCCTGCATACATGGCTAGACACACAGCTCCCAAATGTGCTTTATCTGCATAATCAGCCAGCCCCTGGAAGTTTCTCAGCTCCATTCTCCTATCCCCCACTCTTTGCTTCTTTGCAGCCTCTGACATTTACTTTAATTAGCTTTTGTTTTTGCTGAACAAAAGGTCATGAAAGAAGATAGCCATACCTCTTTGCACAGGAATCTCTGGTCATAGAAAATAGAAGGCAAAATCCTTGATCTTTAGAGCACTGCAGCTGGGACCCATGACCATGCTCAGAGGCAGCCTTGCAGCTGCTGCCCAGTCCTGTGGGCTGCAGCCGCGTCTCCCTGAGCTGCCTGTCAAGCCAGTGGTACATTTCATTCCCTCCCCATTGACTCACCGTGCGGAATCAGGCAAATGAGTAACTTTTCTTCTCTCTCCCAAACTTCTGCTTAGACCTAACAATTGACGCAAAGCTTCACTTATTTCTACACTAGATTTACAGATTTCTCTGAGCAGATCTGTAGTTTGAAAGAATTAGATTTGCCTAACAACCAGTAATTTAGGTTCTGTTAATGAATAACTCACTTTAAGAAATCAAGGAAGTTTTAGGTTAATATCAGATGTGGGGCCTTTTAGCAGGCATCAGGAAAAAGGCTTGGGGAGGGAATGCAGGAAGGGAAGCACTGGAATGAAATGGTATTTAAGCCAAATATGATAGAAGAAAAATACCACAAGAGAAGCAAAATAGCTAGGGTAAAGGAGCAAAAGTCTAATTATACTATTGGTATTGCTTACGAAACACACAACAACTTAATGAAACTTCCCTGGTAGCACTAGAGATTTTTCTGAACCCTCATGGTTCCTTCTTGCATCCACTCAAATTTCTAACTCCTTCCTTTTACCATCCAAATATAGAACTCATCTTTTCAAACCTAATTCATTGGGGATCCCTCACAAGCACTCCCACATCGCCTCATCTCTCTCTCTCTTTTAAGGAGAATGCACTTTAAAACCTCTAATGCATAAATTAATTGGTGGTGCCCAGTGGATTATTATATCTAGAGGCTCTTCTCTCCCTTTAAGTGTATGGCATGGGCTTTCTTCCCTTATTGATCTGAGGTTTTGCCTTCACATAAAGTGATAAAACATTTCTGAGTCTCTCCCGACCGGAACTTTCAGTCAAACCATGTGAGGGTAACAGGGAGGGTGGGGGCGGGGGCTGCAGTGGGGAAAGTCAGGTGTAAGATGTACAAGTGGAAATAAAAATATTTCCATTCAGTGGCAATCATGCTGCATGTAAAAAAATTACTAGTCCAATTAAAAGGACTACTCATGGGGTGAAGATTACTTTCTCTTGTGTTTGACACTCAACATTCACTTACTCTACTTTTAGTCAAAACTGCACCCAAATTTCCCTTGGGAAACCATGTCCTTTGGGTACAGCTGATGCCCATAAACAGGATGGGCCTTAATTGGTCTTACCCAAATTAGAGTAATTGCATTCCTGTGATCATAGTGACTAATGCAGGGCAGGTGTGCGACCCCTTCTAGGCCAATGAGAGGACAATGATGAAAGCTCAGCTTTGGGAGTAAAAAGTCTAAGCTGCTGGACTTGATGATAAGAAGGTGTAAGGTCTGGCTGCTATTGCCCTCTTGCCACCAAGAAAACTGTTGACTTCATTTGGGCCCCTTAAACCACCTGCCCCTAATGCTAGCAAGACCTACCCTTCAGTGTACACTAATAAATTCCTTAATAGCTTAAGTGATTTTAGATTGGGTTTTCTGCCATTTACCATTAAAAAATTTCCACCTGACAGAATCAGCCTAACCTAGTTTTGTGGGAAGTCTCTCCTGGGTGCAGCTCATTGAAAATTAAGTGGACTAAGAGACTCAACAGGAACTATCTATGACAAATGGGCTCCTTCAGTGACAACCACAGGCTTCCTCTGACAACTAGCAGATGCAAGAAAGGCCTGGAAAGGAATGTAGTCATTCAGTGTACCTGAAAACAGGACCTTCTAAATTATTTTTTCCTAACCAGCTACATAGTCATTTCCTCAATACTTGAGTCCCCCAAAATAATTAAATTTAATCTCTTAGACTTGCCTGGCAGTACCTAGCCACATACCATTTGACCTCAATACCCTTGTCATGGAATCCATCCATTCATACACAATTTTCAAAAATTTCCTAAAATCACTTACGCTATTAAGGAATTTATCAGTGGACACTGAAGGGTGGAGCTTGCTAGCTTTAGGGGCAGCTGGTTGAAGAGGCCCAAATGAAGTCATCAGGTTTCTTGGTGGCAGAATGGCAACAGCAACCAGATATTACACCTGTTTGTCAAAAATGTATTTGAGTAATCAGTTTTACAGAGTATTGCTTTGTCTTTATTTTTCCCCTCTGTTCTTGTCTAACTCTCACTCCTTCCCCTCCTTTGGGAAACTTGAAATAAAACATTGTCTGTAACCACAAAATCAGACAAAGACGTTTTCTTTACAGAAAAGAGGTAAATTCTAAGGCAACTTACATAGGTGAGTTACATATAAACACTGAGAACTTCTGAATGATTTCATTTTCTATAAACAGTTTTTCTTACCTGTAATCATGAAAGCTCCTGTAAGCACACCATTTCTATGGTCAGCCTTCCAGCTTTGAAGAGTCCATTGCAGGCACAAAAACTCAGACACAGCCAGGAACTCCCTTTTGGCTCAGCAAAATAGCATGTGGCATGAACTATGACAGTCAAGTTTCTTTCTTTCTTTCTTTCTTTCTTTCTTTCTTTTTTTTTTTGAGAAGAAGTCTCGCCCTATTGCCCAGGCTGAAGTGCAGTGGTGCGATCTTGGCTCACTGCAACCTCTGCCTCCTGGGTTCAAGCAATTCTCCCACCTCAGCCTCCCTAGTAGCTGGAATTACAGGCGCACACCACCACACCCGGCTAATTTTTTTTTTTTTTTTTTTTTAGTTTGTTTGTATTTTAGTAGAGACAGGGTTTCGCCATGTTGGCCAGGCTGATCTCAAACTTCTGACCTCAAGTGATCCACCAGCCTCAGCCTCCCAAAGTGTTGGAATTACAGGCATGAGCCACTGCACCCGGCCAAGAGTCAAGTTTCTTTAAGAACAGGAATAGGGCCCTATGGCTAAGGTTTATTCATTTTTTTTCATTATAATAAAGAACATTTTGATAAAACATGCTCCCAAATTAAAGAAGACTCATTATTCTCCCAAACTAGCTCCTCCTTCCGTGTTTATTTTGGTGAGGGCCCTCACCATCTACCAAGTATACAAACAGGAAAGCTGAGTGTCATCCTGTATTTCTCCCCTTCCTTTTCTTACCCACATCCAGTGACTCTCTGGGTCTTATCTATTCTGTGTCCTTAACATTCTGGATAGATCCCAAGGTGGCCCTCGATGATCCACTTTCCGGTGTTTATTTCCCCCTTGTGTAATTTTTCCCACTTGAGTATAGGTGAGACTTGTGACTTGCTTCTAATGAATAGAATGAAGTAAGATGATAAAATGCTATTCCTGTGATTGCCTTATATTGCTAAGGCTCCATATTGCTGGCAAACTTCCTCTAGAGAGTCTCCTTGCTGGATTGATGGAGTAATGGGCCATGTTGAGAAAGCCCACATGACAAAGAACTATGAGTAGAGTCTAGGAGCTAAAGGTGGCCTGCAGCCAACAACCAGCAAGAAGCCAGGGCCCTCAGTCCTTCAGACACAAATGAATGAATTCTTCCAACAACCTTAGTGAACTTGGAAGATCCCCAGACAAGCTTCCACATGAGAACACAGCCCAGCCAATGCTCTGGCTACAGCCCTGTGAGATTCTGAGCAGAGGAACCATCTAAGCCAAGACTGAACTCTTAGCCCACAGAAAGTATGAAATAATAAATGTGTGTTGTTTAAGTAACTAAGTTCATGGTAATTGTTACAGAGTAACAGAAAATGAATATACAACCATTTTCCCCCTATCTACTGTCATAGATAAATAGCTATTGTCTTTGTAAATTCTTCATCCTTTCTTGTCTGGCTATTGACATTAGTCTCTTCAAAGGTCTCCCTGCCTCTAACATGGCCTCTTCAACTTCATTCTCACTTCTGCCACTAAATCAGCTTTCTAAAATAAAATATGATATATGAATCTCTGCTTAAAATTCACAAGTGGCACCCATTACCTGAGGATGAAATCAAGTTCCTTTGCTTGGCACACAAGGGACTTTGTAATCTAGTCTGCACCTGACTCTTCATCTTTGCTTCCCTTGCTTATGCACACACAACCCTGTGTAGTGAGGTCACTACACTCAGAATACATCCAAGAGCCTATCACTTTTCACCATCTTTACTACCACTGTTGTCTGTGATCAAAACACCATCATCTCAACTCTAACTTGGATTATTGCAATGGGTCCCTGGATTCTGTCTTTGGTATGCGAAAATATAGTCTAAACAGAGCATCCAGGTGATCCTACTAAAATACAAGCCAGAACTGACTCTCCTCTATTCAATACAGTGCAATTGAATGGCTCTACATCTCACCCTGAGTCAAAGCCAGAGTCCTTTCAATGATTAACAAAGCCCTATATGATATGGCTTCCCCATCTCCCCCACATCTTCAACTTTATCTCTTACAATTCTTTGTTTTGATCTCTCTGCTCCAGTTACACTGGAGCTACACAGAGTTTCCTTGTTAATCCTTGGTCACAATAGGTAATTCCCACCACAGAGCCTTTGCATTCGCTATTCCCTCTGCCTAGCAGGCTTTTACTCCAGAAGTTCACATGGCTTGCTTCTTCACTTCCTTCATATCTTTACTATACATTACCCATACATGTTTCCCTTGATCAATCTCTGTAAAAGAGCAACATACCCTCCCTTCCAGGCATGTCTCGTTTCCTGCTTTATTTTCAAATTTTTGTCCATAGCACTTACTATCAACTGACATACTATAAATTTACTTATTTCTTTTTAAAAATTACCCTTCTCTCGCCACTGTCTCTAGAATATAAACTTTATGAGGGCAGATACTTTATTTGTTCGCTTGATCCCTAGACTTTGACATGATATCTGGCACTTAATATGAACCTGAGTTGTTGAATAAACTTTGAATAAATGGGTGAAGGTAATTTAAGCTCAATCAAACTCTCCATGCAAAACTGTGATTTAGAAGTAAACGATCTGGTGAAGGATGACTGTAGAAACCACTGTGTCATTGAATTTGGTAGCAGAAAGCTCTGTCCTTCATGGGCAGATGTGGTAGCAAGAGCAAGTTCCTGGCTCAGCATTGGCACCTGTGGGGGCAGTGGTGGTTTCCCATAGGACCTAGTACAGGAGCAGCAGGGGCTTCCTCATAATGCCTGTTCTCCAGTGTGGTTTTGATTATTCAGTTCTCCCAGCAATTTTGTGAATTTCCATTATCATAATAAAATCCATAACTGTTTAGTCACCCAAGAAATGCTTCTGTCACTTGCAACTAAAAAACCCTGACTGATGATATATACTCGTCACTCTCCCTTCTACTTCTGTGCCTTGCTCCTGCCAGTCCCTCAATCTCAAACACCATGATCTGTCTATAAAATGCCAACTCATCTTCCAACCATAACTCTTACCTCTTCCTCTCTGGAAAGATATGCATGCCTAGTAGAGCTGATCACATCTTCCTTTGTCTCCACAGGGTAACTCCTACAGACCTCTACTATATAATTCTCATTCTCTCCCACTAGCTGACAACCCCTCAAGGACAGGCATGAGGTTTTAACTCATCTGAGGAACCTCAGCTCTACTACTATTAGCACAAGGAAAGAATTCAATAAAAAATTCATGAATGATGCTTTCTTTATAAAAACATCAGTGAAATAACAATTCTATAATTGAAAATAATTCTGATGCAGAAGGAGAGGGACAGCAAAGAAACCCATTGACTGATATGCAAATTTTTCTTGCCAAACTGGTAAAAAATAATTCTAATTTTTCCAGTATTAGCAAAGAGAAAGAAAGGGGACATATCCTTTTACTGAAAAAATGCTAGCCAACCTGATAGGAAAAATAGAGAAAAGATGCAAATTACCAGTATCAGGAATAAATGAGTTAACATCACTACAGATTCTGGAGATATTAAAAGGAAAGTAAGACAATTTTATGGAAATTTATGTCAATAAATTCAACAACTTAGATGAAGTGGACAAATTCCTTGAGGACAAAAACTGTCAAAGCTCACTCTAGAAAAACTGGATAACCAGAATAGCCCTATATTTATTTACTTTAAAATTGAAAGTATACTTAAAAACATTCACATAAAGAAAATTTGAGACATAGATGGCTTCACTGGTATTCTACAAAATGATTAAGAAAGAAATAATAACCATTATATACAAATTATTTCAGAAACTTTATTTCACAACTCATTTCATGAAGCCACCCTTACTCTTATATCAAAACCAGACAGTGTGGTGTCAAATCAAGATAGACAGATGAATCAAAACAGAACTCAGAAATAGAAACACACATGTATAAACAACTCATGTTTGTGTAAAGCTATTTCAGTGGAGAAACAATAGGTTTTTTTCAAAAAACAGTACTGGAACAGTTGTATATCTATATGCTAAGAAAACACTCTGATCCATAGTTAATTCCACATATAAAAATTAACTTCAAATAGATCATAAACATAAAAGTTAAAACTATAAAACTTCTAAACTAAACATAAAACAAAATTTTTATGAACCTGAGTTAAGTAAATCTTTCTTATATATGACACCAAAACCATGATTTATTTTTAAAATGTTGATAAATTACTTTATAAAATTAAAAATTTTTGTTCTTCAAAAAATACTGTTAAGAGAAGGAAAAGACAAGACATATACTTGGAAAATATATTTGCAAAACATATTGCTGATAGAAGACTTGTATTCAGAATATATGGGCTCCAGAAACTCATTTATAAGAAAACAAAAAACCTAATAAAAATGGTCACGAGATTTGCACAGGCACTTCACCAAAGATCTATGGATGAAAAATAAACATGTGAAAAGATACTCAACATAACTAGTCATTAGGAAAACCAAAAATCAAAACCACAGTGAGCGACTACTACATAAACCTATTAGCATGTCTAAAATTAAAAAAAAACACACACACACAACAAAAATTAACTCAAGATGGATTAAAGACTTAAATGTAAAACCTAAAACCATAAACCTTAGAAGAAAACTTAGGGAATCCAATTCAGGACATAGCCATGAGCAAAGACTTCGTGACTAAAACACCAAAAGCAATTGCAACAAAAGCCAAAATTGACAAATGGGATCTAATTAAACTAAGGAGCTTCTACACAGCAAAAGGAATTATCATCAGAGTGAACAGGCAACCTAAAGAATAGGGGAAAATGTTTGCAATCTACCCATCTGACAAAGGGCTAATATCCAGAATCTACAAGGAACTTAAACAAATTTACAAGAAAAAAACAACCCCATCAAAAAGTAGGCAAAGGATATGAACAGACACTTCTCAAAAGAAAACATTTATGTGCTCAACAAACATACGAAAAAAGCTCATCATCACTGGTCATTAGAGAAATGCAAATCAAAACCATAATGAGAGACCATCTCATGCCAGTTAGAATGGCGATCACTAAAAAATCAGAAAACAACAGATGCTGGAGAGAATGTGGGGAAATAGGAATGCTTTTACACTGTTGATGGGAGTGTAAACTATTTCAACCATTGTGGAAGACAGTGTGGCGATTCCTTGAGGATCCTCAAGGATTCCTCAAGCATCTAGAACTAGAAATACCAGCAATCCCATTACTGGGTATATACCCAAAGGATTATAAATCATTCTACTATAAAGACACATGCACACCTATGTTTATTGCAGCACTATTTACAATAGCAAAGACTTGGAACCAACCCAAATGCCCATCAATGATAGAATGGGTAAAAAGAATGTGGCCATATGCACCATTGAATACTGTGCAGCCATAAAAAAGAATGAGTTCATGTCCTTTGCAGGAACATGGATGAAGCCGGAAACCATCATTCTCAGCAAACTAGCACAGAAACAGAAAACCAAACACCGCATATTCTCACTCATAAGTGGGAGCTGAACAGTGAGAACACATGGACACAGGGAGGGGAACATCACACACTTGGGCCTGTTGGGGGGTGTGGGGAAAGGGGAGGGAGAGCATTAGGGCAAATACCTAATACATGTGGGGCTTAAAACCTAGATGGTGGGTTGATGGGTGCAGCAAACCACTGTGGCACATGTATACCTATGTAACAAACTTACTCGTTCTGCACATGTATCCCAGAACTTATAATATAATAATTAAAAAAAACAACCTGACCATATCAAGTCTTTATGAAGATAAGGGGCAACTGGAACTTCTTATACACTGATGGTAGGAATTAAAAGTGGTAAAACACTTTGGAAAAACCATTTGGCAGTTTCTTAAAAAGTTGCATACAGGTTGAGCATCCCTAATCCAAAACCTGACATTGGAAATGCTCCAAAATCCAAAATTTTTTGAGTACCGACATGACACACAGAGGAAATGCTCATTGGAGCATTTTGGATTTTAGATTTTTGGATTAGGGATGCTTAACCAGTAAGTTAATGCAAATATTCCAAAAAATTTTTTAAAAATCTGAACTCCAAAACATTTCTGGTCCCAAGCATTTCTGATAAGAGATTCTCAACCTGTACATGGATTCAGCCTTTCTACATCTATGTATTTATCTGAGAGAAATGAAAACACACGTCTATGCAAATGCATGTGAATGTCTATAGCAGCTTTATTTGTAATGTCCAAAACTAGACAAAAACCAAATGTCTATGAGAAGATGAATGAATAAATAAATTAGGGTATATCCATACAATGGAATACTACTCAGTAATACAAAGGACTGAAATATTTAGATCTAACATGGATGAATCTCAAAATCATTACACAGTGTGAAATAGCCAGTAAAAAAAAGGCTGCTACTGTATGACTCTATTTAAATAAATTTGTGAGAAATATAAAGTAATCTGTAGTTACAGAAGGAAGATCAGTGGTTGCTTGGATATGCTGGGGAGGGGAGCAAGAGCTGTGAGGGAGGAGTTATAAAGAGTCATGAAACTCTAGGAGAGGAGGATGTGTTCATTGTCTCGATTGGGATAATTTCACAAGTATACATATGTCAAAACCTATAAGAGAGTACACTTTATATATGTACAATTATGTCTATTATACCTCAACAAAGCTGTTAAAAAATCATCCCCAGTACTGGCAAAGATGAAAAAAAAGACACATTCTTATACTGTTGGTGTAAATGTAAATCACTATGACTTTTCTGAAGGTCAACTTGGCTTGTCAAAATCTATAAAAATGTGTATCTTTGGATCCAGATATTCAACTTCTAGGACTTGGTTATAAAGACATTCATCACAGTGCTGTGAATGTCTTATAACAGCAAAAAATGGAAAGGGAAAATTCTCGCCAAGACTTGAAGTCAGAGGAACGTGACAGTTCATACAGAAAAGAACAAGTCCATGTTCCGCTCACAGAAATGGCTCCAGGTGGGAGTCACAAGAGCAGTGGAGGAGTCTCGCCTGATGACTCAGACTCAAGGGTCTAAGGATTTGGGCCCAGCTGTGGCTGATAGTGAAAGCTCCTCCTCTGAGGCTGAACATGTGACAGAGATCTGAGGAGCTGAGACCTTGGGACCAAGCTTGGGGACCACTGAGGCAGGGACCCAAACTTTAAAAGCAGCAGCTCTACAGCAGTCTTGGATAAGAGCCTGGGCAATGGACCAGTCCTCGGTGACCCACAGTATGGCATCTACAACACTGATAATGGTAAGCTTGTCAGACTTGATCTCTCTCTCCAGCTGGCATTTGGAAGCAAGACTAGCCTAAACTGAGAAATCTCCAATTGGAGACAATGGAGACATGCTTGGCATAAAAGAAAAACATTGTATTTTCTGATAGTAAGGAGAAGTGAGAAAGTGAATATTAACTAGAAAAATAAAATTTTTTTAATTAAAAAAAATTAAATGTGACCACATTTGTTCCCTAACACAGTGAAGTGGGTCCTATGGCTTACACATTTATACATTTTTTTTAAAAAAAAATAGAGATTATACTGAATAATATAATCTCTTTTTTTACATATGTTGCAAACATCTTTTCAGATAAATAATATTCATCTATATCATTTAAATATAAAATAATATTCCATTTATATTCTATAAATATACTGTTTTTTTTCATCTTAACCATGCTCCAACATTTGGATATTTTGTTTGTTTCTTTTTTTTTTAATAGAAATTGATCCATCTCTTATCAGGATGGAGTCTACATTTCAAGAAATATTGTGAACAGTGGCTTTTCTAAGACCAGAAAACTTTCCACAATACATTTTCCAAGGACAGTGAGAACCTCTTCATTCTTCATTACATAACTAAAAGAAAGAATCAATTGACTCTTACCTGAAAAAAGCAGATCTGCTGTAAGATAACTAGCTTTATTCATACAAGAGAAACAGGGGCCATTTTTTCATGGATAAATATCCAGATAGACAGGTGAATAAATGAGAAACAAAAAGGGGCGGGGGAAAGAAGGAAGGAAGGAAGGAGGGAGGGAGGGAGGGAAGGAAGGAGGGAGGGAGGGAGGAAAGGAAGGAAGGAAGGGAGGGAGGGAGGGAGGGAGAGAGGGAGGGAGGGAGGGAAACTAATCACCAGGGTGTTAAAGGTGGATATCTACTCTGATGAGGTCACAGGAGTGCCTTTTTTTATTATTTTACTTCTCTTATTGATTTTTCTGCACTGATCATGTTATTTTAGAATAGGAAAAAATATGTTAACATTAATAAATTTAAAATGAAATTATATAACCATATATAACTAAGATTCACTAAGCTACAGAAAAAAATATTCTGATCTGATTTGAATTTTTGTTTTTGCAATGCTGTCATGAAAAAAAGATCAACAGATATGAAAATGTCATAAAATTAGATTTCTATCAATGCTTTTAGAATTGAAACAGATTTATCTAAAGAGATATTTCAGAAAGCAAAATCATTGCGTCAGAATTTTTGAGCTTCAAAAAGAAATGAAATCTTTCTGTTTTGAGAGGCATTCATTTATAAATAATTTATATTCATATATAAATATTTTTTACATTGAAAAAATTTTCAACTATGCTTTGAAAGCTATTCATATGTACATGAATAATATAGCTACATACGGATGGATGCATAGATGATAGATAGATGATAGGTAGATAGATAAATAGATCGCTATCCTTTTAGTTGCTGATAGCATTTCATGTTATGAATATAGTGCATTTTTTATATCCATTCCTATATTCCTTTATATCCATTCCTCTATTGATGAAGCTCTACGTGATTTGCAGAATTTTACTGAGAGGTAATGTGGATTTAAGGTTGAAAGAGTACACTTGGTCTGGGCTGCCTGCCTAAGTTCAAATCCATTCCTACCATTTACAAGCCACATGACCTTAGGCAATGTCCTCAACATTTTTGTTATGTTAGTTTAAAAAAAAATCTATAAGGTGGGGATCTTAATGGTACTTACCTCCTAGAGCTGTTATGAGGATTGTATGGGGTAATATTTGTAAAGTGCTTGGAATCAAGACTGGAATGTAGTAAGTGCTACGTGAGTGTTCGTTAAATATATGCCAAAAGGAACATCCTTGTAAGTGCTTCCTTGTGCACGGTTGCAGGAATTTGTCTAGGATTCCTATCCAGAAGTGAAATTTCTGGGTTGTAGGGTATGCAGATTTTTAATTTGATTAAATGCTGCCAAGTTACACTTCAACATGTCAGTACTAATTAATGTTCTCACAAGGGTGACTTTTTGTCACATATCTGACATTGTTCAACAAAGCCTCCTTAATTTGACCTGATGGATGAAAATGGTATCTTTTTGTATTAATTTACCTTGTCCTGATAAGTGATGAGAGTAAATATATTTTACACTCTGAACATATTCATAATTCCTCTCCTGTTAAATACCTGTTCAAATTAATATTCTTTTCATGGATTCATATGGAGTGTCTTTTTCTTACTGATTTGAAGGAATATTTTACATACTGCAGATACTAAGGCTCTGTTTGCTACATTTGTTGTAATTATATTTAATTTGTTTTTCAGCTTTGTTGACAGGAAATCTTTGCTATATACAAGTTTTGTTTTTCAAAATTTAAAATTAAAAAAGTAATACATTAGCATAGTTAAAAATTTAAGATATACATATTAAAAGATATAGAGTGAAAAGATACCCATTCTCATATCCTTGTTTCTCATTTACTTAGTTCTTGCCTGAACCTCTGCCACAAGAAACAAGATGTATCCTCCAAAGTTTCTTAATTCAAATACAAACAAGTAAAAGTATGTATTTTATTTCCATGATTTTTTTTTCCAGCAAGGTTTCTGATACCCAGGCTGGAGTGCAGTGGTACAATCACGGCTTGCTACAGTCTCAACCTCCCAGGCTCAAGAGATCCTCCCACCTCAGCCTGGCTCGTAGCTGAGACCATAGATTTGCGCAACTACACCAGGCTAATTTTCGTGTTTTTTTTTTTTTTGGTAGATGGGGTTTTGTCATGTTACCCAGGCTGGTCTTGAACTCCTGGGCTCAAGCAATCCACCCACCTCAGCTGGCCAAATTTCTGGGATTACAGGCATGAGCCACCATGCCTGACCTATTGTCACGATTTTACATACAAAGTTGTTTGCTCTATACACTCAGTTCTGCAAATTGCTTTAATTACTTAACAATATATCTTGGTGCTCTTTCCAACTCAGCATGTGGAGGGCTTACTGACTCTTTTTAAAGCTATTAGTCCACTGTGCAGATGTGCCACCATTTATTTAATGACTGGCACTTGGGTAATTTTAATATTTTGTATTCCTAAAAATAGAGCAATAAATTAGATTGAATGTTTTTCATTAAAAAAAATCATTTTCCTTTGATAGTTTATATTTTTTTCTGTCTTAAGAAATCTTTGCTTACCCCAAGTTCATAAAGATTCTCCTTTATTTTCTTCTAAAATATGTAGAGGTTTTTTTCCTGTTTAGGTTTTAATGCAAAATTCATTTGTTGTTTTTAATGTGAGGTAGAAGTCCGTTTTTATTTTCTGTATATAGAGAGCACATTTTTCTAATACAAATTTTTAAACGTGGTTATACTCTATCTATTAATTTATGATACCAACTCTATTATACTCCAAGTTTACATATATGTTCAGATCTATTTCAGGAGTCTCTATTATGTTCATTGGTCTATTTGTTTTCTTCCATGCCAGTACTACACCATTTTTGATTATGTTAATTTTTTAATGTCTTAATACAGTGTAGAAAAAGTACCCCTTCATTGTTCTTTCTTCTTGAAATGTCTTAGCAATTCTGTGACTACATAAATTTTACATGCAACCAGAGTCCATAGAAATCAATTTGAAATCTTGATGAGAATTGTAACGAATATATAGATCATTTGGGGAGTATCAATATCTTTCACATGTTGATTTATTTAATTTATGCACAAGGTAAAATTTCCACTAATTCAAGTACTCTTTTATGTTCCTCAATAAACTATTACATATTGTTTTCATTAAGTTCATGCACATATTTGTAGGGTTTATTCCTAGATACTTTATAGTTCAGTCGCTGTTCCTTCTTTTTTATGTGATTCTTTTTTCCTATTACATTTTCTTTTTATTATTCCTAGTATAAGGGAACTTTAAGGTTTGTATATTGGTTTTTATCTGCACCCTTGCTGAACCGTATTATTAACTTTAAATATTTACGTGTAGATTCTCTTGTATTGTTGGCAATCTTATCATCTGCAAATATAAACTTTTTCCCCTAATTTATTTATCTCTTACTTCTTTTTAAAATTCATTTGTACCCACTTCTGATTTTTTTTTTAACCATCTTGCCATTAGTCATTTCAAGGAACCAGAGTCAGTTTTGTTGGTCAGCCTCACTCCCACCTTTTTTATTTTTATTTTTGTAGTTTCTATTTCATTAACTTCTACTTTTTTCTCCTTGTTTCTTTTCTACAACTTTTATTGGGTTTACATTTTCCCCTAGCCTCTTGGAATTACTATTTAGCTCTTCATATTTCTTTTTGGTTTGCTAAAGTCTTTGCTGTAAGTTGTATTTATGGATTTTATATTCTTATCTTCATTACTTCCTTCCACTTTCTCTAGGTTTATTTTGCTGGGGTTTTGTTTGTTTGTTTGTTTTTTACTTTCCTAAGCTTGAAGTTAAGGCCATGGATTTTTTAGCTTTTCTTTTTCCCTCACATTTGCCTTTAAAACCGTAAGTTTCATGGCTGTAGTTGCCATTTGTAAGTACTGATATGTTGTATATTTATTATCATTGAGTTCAGAATATTTTCTATTTTTATTGTGACTTTTTTGACCCAAGCAGTTATTTACAAATCCACTGTTTGATTTTCAAACATTTAGAGATTTTTCTAGTTATCTTCTTACTCTCCAACAGTGGGCAGAGAGCCTACTCTATTCAATCCTTTAAAATATTTTGAAACTTGTTTCATGTCTCAGCATATGATCATTTAAAAAATGTTTTGCTTGCTGAATCCAGTGTTCTATTCATGTACATTAGATTGAGTTTTAAAATTATTTTTTCTATTATTATAATCTTAGTTTTTTTATGGCTTGTTCTATTAGATATTTAGAGGTGTGTTATAATTGTTGGTATGTTTTGGAATTGTCCATTTTTCCTTATGTCTATTTTGAAGTTCTGTCTATTTTGTAATTCTATTTATTTTGAGTCTCTGTTATACCTAGATAGAAAATTTGAATTGTTATAATCTTCCTTTCGGATAAAAACTTTTATTATTTTATTTTTATTTTTTAGAGACAGGGTCTTACTCTGTCACCCAGGCTGGAGTGCAGTGACATGATCATAGCTCACTGCAGCCTTGAACTCTTGAGCTCAAGCAATCTTCCCACCTCAGCCTCCTGAGTAGCTTGGACTACAGGTGCGCCACCATGCTCTCCTAATTTTAAAAAATTATTTTAGAGATGCGGTCTTGCTGTGTTGCCCAGGCTGGTCTTGAACTCTTGGCCTCAAGTGATCCTCCCACCTTGGCCTCCCAAAGTGCTGGGATTACAGTCATGAACCACTACATCCACCAAAATTAATTTTATTATTATGATGCATTCTCTAATAGTGTTTTTTCTTTCAAAGTTGGCTTTTCTGATAATAATATAACTACATAATTCTTTTGGTTAATATTTGCTTGCTATGTTTTTTTTGTCCTTTTACTTTTAACCTCTCTTTATCCTTATGTTTTAGATGTCTCTTTTTTACATCACATGGTTTTTATCTTTCTTTAAATCTGTTCATCTTTGCCTTTTAACTAGAACATTTAGACAATTTGCATTTAATTTCATTATTTATATATTTGGGTTTAAGTTTACCATCTTGGTATTTGTTCTCCATTTGTTGTATTTGTTTTATGATTCTTTTTTTCTCTGATGTCTTGCTTTTGTTTACTTCGAGCATTTTTATTCCTCTTTTCTCCTCAATAAGTTTAGAAATTATTAATATACACTCATTTACTATTCTTTTAGCACTTCCTTAAAGAATATAACAAGTAAACATGTATATAATTTTATATGTCTACATATAATATGTGTGTATGTATGTGTGTGTATATATACATATGTACATATGGAGGAATCACAAGATATTTTTTCAGCAATGATATTATGATGTACCTAAGTGTGGATTTCTTTTAATTTATCTCACTTAAGATTCATAGGGCTTCTTGAATCTGTAGTTTGAGGTCATTTTTGGAGTATTTATAGCTGTTGCCTCTTCAAATTATTATTCTTGCCCCATTCCCTTTCTTTTCCTTATAAGTCTTCAGTTACATGTGGAAGAAACTACTTTGTTGCACTATTTATATCTCTTAATTCCACTTGTAGTTTCTATCCTTTGACTTTCTGTGCTTCAGTCTGGATATTTTTTTCTGATTTGTCTTCCGCTTCATTAATTCCCTCTTCAGCCATGACTAACAGACTTCCATCCAGTAAAATTTTAATTTTAGCCATTGTAATTTTTGTTTATAGAATTTTCACTTGCTTCTTTTTTAATAAATTCCAATTCTCTGCTGAATTTTTAGTTATATCTTTTTCCCCCTCCTTGAACCTGGTAAGCATAATAATAATAATAATGATAATAATAATAATAATTATTATTATTATTATTATTTTGAGACAGAGTCTTGCTCTGTCGCCCAGGTTGGAGTGCAGTGGGGCAATCTTGGCTCACTGCAACCTCCGCCTCCCAGGTTCAAGGGATTCTCCTGCCTCAGCCTCCTGAGTAGCTGGGATTACAGGCACGAGACACCACTCCTGTCTAATTTTTGTATTTTTAATAGACACAGGGTTTCACTATGTTGGTCAGGCTGGTCTCGAACTCCTGACCTCATGATCCACCCACCTTGGCCTCCCAAAGTGTTGGGATTACAAGAGTGAGCCACTGCACCCAGCCAGCATAATTATTTTAAAGTCTATGCCTAATAATTTCAGTACCTGGGGATTCAGAGAGTGCATTTCTGTTGGCTATTTTTTTCTAGTTTTTATTCATATTTTATTGTTTCCTTGTATGCTAAGTTGTGTGTGTGTGTGTTAATGGACATTGTATTTGCAGTGTCCATCGTAGAAATAATTTAATGCTAAGGATGTCATGTTCTTAGGAAGAGGATTTATATTTGCTTATGCCAGGTACCTAGAGGCATTAGCATGGTATCAACTCAATTCAGTTTAGGTATTGATATAAGTTTAAGTTGAGTTCACTTCTATTTCCCATTTATCCTGTCTCTGGGATAGATACCCTCAGAGTTTCTACAGGGGTTTCTACAAGTCACCTTTCCTTCTTGATAGGTCCTAAACTCTAATGGCCATTGATTTTTCTCTGTGAAGCTGTGAAAAGTAATACTCAACTTCTCAGCCTCTTAGACTTTCAGGGTCCCTTTGAGTCAGCAAAGCTCACCAAAGAAAAATGGCCCCCAAAGCCAGGTTCACCTCTCTGGGCTTTGATCCCTCTTCACATCTTGACTCACTGATACTTTAATATCTTTTTGCATTTTCAGAACCTTGGAACAAACTATTCTTTCAAACACTTAAAAATTATCTTTTTTCCAAATTTTATTGTCCTTAGTAGGACAATTGGTCAGATTTACATAGCCTGTCTTTATTCAAAGTAGAATTCTGAAGCAGTTAATATTTTATTTTAAAAATGAATTTTTTTCATAAGAGTAGAAAATTTGTCTGCACATGCACTGGGATTGCTTTGAAATGGCATTTATGAATGCTTTTGTGTCATTTCTACAACCTTACTTTTAATAGTTCAAGAGTTCACATTGTAAAGACACTAAATAAAGCAATAAATTGCCTTGAAAAATGTCTAAACTCCAAATATACTTCACCAGCATACATAACTCTGGTTCTTTATAAGCAATGGTATAAGAGTTGCCAGGGAAACACCTTACCTAGTTCCTTTATCCTTGAGCCATCATAAAAGATTTCCACCAAAATTTCAAGGACTAAACAATGACTAACTTTCTTAACTAAAGGAGATTTCAGAAAACAACTACTAAGGCTGATAAGAAACATATGCTAAGAAGGCAAGAGCATGAAATTAATTTTTTTTAAATGTGGGTACTATTGTCTTTATCTTTACTACCCCATAAAGAATGGTTTGTGAACTAGATGCAACCCCCATCCCTAATATGCTTCATTATTAAAGCAACACTTAATTAAGTGGCAGACAAAGCCAGAAACATGCTGTGGTTTAAGAAAGTCTCTTAGGTTATTTTCAGATGTTTCTTGTTTGGCAAGAGCCAGAGCACATTTTGTTGAGCACATTTTATTCCTATGTGTATTTTAAGGGAAATCTAACCCATGTGTTTTATTTCATTAATATTTTGCCAAGTTAAATGGTTCTTTTGTAAGATATATTTAATGTTGTTATTTTTATGAGACTTTTTCCCCTGGATTATGAATTCATATGTCACCTAAAATAAGTATACTTTGATCCAAATATCTTGTAGTTACAAAGTCAGAAACCCACAGAACTTGGGTGATTTTTCCAGCAGTGCCAAATACAATATTTTATGTGTACTACTAACATCATGTTTTTTTTCTCATATTTGTCAATCAGCACTTTATTGGAAAAACAAGAATTATCCACCTTTTAAAGTCCTGCTTTTTGATCAATATCCAGAGGAGACCATAGCCAAATTCAATATGAGCCACTGACTTCAGGTAGTGGGTGTAGATCTAAGTGTGTGATCTGTATAATGACTAAATCACAGCTATGCTGATTTAAGTGGATACATCAGAGGACTTGAATACTAACCCATAGCAGTGTCAAAAGTGACCAGGCCAGGCGCGGTGGCTCACGCCTGTAATCCCAGCACTTTGGGAGGCCGAGATGGGTGGATCATGAGGTCAGGAGTTCAAGACAAGCCTGGCCAAGATGATGAAACCCCATCTCTACTAAAAATACAAAAAAAAAAAAAAATCAGCCAGCATGGTGGCAGGCGTCTGTAATCCCAGCTACTTGGGAGGCCGAGGCAGAGAATTGCTTGAACGCAGGAGGCAGAGGTTGCAGTGGGCCGAGATTGCGCCATTGCACTCCAGCCTGGGTGACAGGGCATTCTCCGTCTCAAAATAAAAAAAAGTGACCAGTGACGATATGGACAAGAGGAACTTTCAATCAATACTAGTGGGAGTACAAATTAGTAAATTGCTTTAGAAAACAATTTAGATTATCTAATGAAGTTGCAGATGCACGTGTCATATAACCTAATAATTTCACTCCTTAGGAATAGTTCTGGAGAAACCTGTACATGAAAACCAGGACACATATACAAAAAACTTCACAGTGTCATAACAAAAAACTGAAAACAACTTAAATAACCATTAATAAGAAAATGAGTAAATAAGTTGTGATATTCATACAGTGAGATTATATAGAGCAATGAAAATGAATGAATTATAGACACATACATAATTATAGACACATTAACATGGATGAATCTCAAAAACAGGGTGCTGAATTAAAAAAACAAGTTATAGTAGAAAAATGCACTATGATTATATTTACATGAAGTTCAAAAATGTGTAAGAAAAGATGTTAATGTTTAAGAATATGTATAAATATATAACACTAGAAATAAAAACATGGAATGATATAAATAAAATTCAAGATAGTCATTATTTCTCATAGGATAATGGAATGTTGAGGAGCTAGAATACACGAAGAGCTTTAAGATTGCATTAATGTTCTATTTTCTAAAAGCTGCATGATATGTACGTAAGTTTTCTTTTTTTATCCTGTTTGTACTTAAGAAATATGTGGTGAATATTATTTTGTATTTATTCAACTTTTAAAACTTAATTGAAAATGCAGATTCAAGCATACAATCAACATACTGTATTATTTACCTGCAACCCCAATTCCCATGAAACCAAAGCAAAAGGTGCAGTCTGTCAGAGTTCAGTTATATGTTTAATGGTTCCTTTCCTGTTCTGACTTAAAAAAAAAAAATCCCTTTGGGTCTTTCTATGTCTTACATAGCTGGGCTATTTCTTGTATTTTCAAATTAGATTAAATACTATCAGGCAGCTTCTGTCATTCCATATAAGTAGTAGTGATTACTCTATCAGAAAAAAAATCTATAATAACATGGCATAGTAGTTAATGTTTGACAAGCAAGTCTCCATGGTGTACTATAGCTGTCAGTATAGCCATTAGTAACATGAAGACACAATGGGCTAAATTCTACAAGAGAATAGAGCTCTCCCTCCTTGAAAATAAGCACTGAACTCTTTCCAAACAAGGAATCTATTTATTGTGTAGAATCAATTATTTACAAACTGAGGGCAGCTAGCCTCTTTCTTCCCCTTTCTCTGCCTTTCTCCCCTCTGTTCCTCACTTACTTCCTTTTCCAACTTTATTATTGTTATTACTATTTTTCTTTCTTTCTTTCTTTCTTTTTTTAGAGTATCACTCTGTCACTCAGGCTGGAGGGCAGAGGTGCGATCTTGGCTCACTGCAACTTCCGTGCCCCAGGTTCAAGCAATTCTCCTGCCTCGGCCTCCCAAGTAGCTAGGATGACAGGCATGAGCCACCATGCCCAGCTAGTTCTTTTGTATTTGTAGTTTCACCATGTTGGCCTGGCTGGTCTCGAACTGACCTCAAGTGATCCACCCGCCTCGGCCTCCCAAAGTGCTGGGATTACAGGTGTGAGCCACCATGCCCGGCCCTTTTCCAACTCTATTAAATATCTATTTCGTGTCAGTTGCCAAATGTTTATGTATGCACTGGTGTCCCCAAAGAATTGCTGGAACTTCTGGCAGTGCATATCCTGCTGTCACAGCTCCTTTTTCGTTCTGGAAAAGAATGACCCTTTCTTTGGTTAATCAAGTGACACTTTCACAAATTTTGCCATATTTGTTACTTGCATAATTTCTTTTTTTAAAATTGTGAGTTCTACAACATATACAAATGAGCATATGTAATGTATATTTATATATAAAGAATAACATTATATATTATACATAATATAGATTATGTATAATATATAATTTAAAGAATGATGACATTAACACTCATATACTCATGACTCAGGCTAAGGAATAGACACTAACTGCAATTAGAATGTATGCACTCCCCAATTTTTCCTCCTTCTTCTCATCTAGAAATAATGCACTGCTTGAATTGTATATCATCATTCTCTTGCTTTTTGCGTCATAGTTTTATAACCTATTTGTTTCTCTATTTTACATGTTTTGAGATATTAATATTAATGTGGTAATGTAGTACACATTCTTCTGTGACTCAATGTTTTTCATTCAACATTCCATTCTTGTGATTCATCCTATGATGCTGTGGATGATTTACTTTTTACAGTTGCATAGTATTCCACTGTATGTCTTTCTCTCATTTTATCCTTTCTTTTTTGATGGACATATGACTTGTTCCCAGCTATTGCAACTGCAAGAGTCAGCTTTGGACATCCTTATACATGTCTCCTAATGCAAACATGCAAGTGTTTCTCTTGGCAATGACATTGTTGGGTCATAGGATATGTGAATATCTCACTTTACTGAAAATGCTTATTTATTTTCCAAATAGCTGTACAGATTTACATTCTCATCTGCAGTGGGTGAGAGTTCTTTACATCATTATTAACAGTTAATAGTGCTTGTTTTCAAATTTGTCCTCATCAATGAATTTGGACATCTTTCAGTATTTATTTGCCATTCACATTTTCTTCTGTGAAGTGTTTATTCATATCTTTTGCCTATTTTTCCATTTGATTCTTGATCTTTCTCTTCTTGATGCATAAGTGCTCTTTGTATGTATTTTATGTGTTCTTTTTCCTGTATATGTATCTCAAATATGTCCTCCCAGTCTGTGGCTTAAAGTTTGATCTATTTATGATATTTTTAAATCTCCTTTGATGTATTTATTTTAACGTAGTCAAAATTATAAAATTTTTCTTTATGCTTTGTGCTTTTTTGTGTCTTATTTTAAAAATCCTTCTCTACATGATTATAAATATATTCTCCTTTGTTGTCTCCTAAAAGTTTTTAAAGTTTTGCATTTCACATTTAAGTCCTTAATCCACAAAGAATTGACAGTTGTTTGTGGTGGAATATAAGGATCTGTATTTAAAAAATTTTATTTTTGTATAATCAATTAGTAGAGTTCCATTTGTTTTAGGAGTGAATCCCTTCTCCAGTGAGCTGTACTGCCATCTTCACATATACCATTTTCTTCTAGGGAAGAGTCTGATTCTAGAATCTATAATATGTTTTGTTCTTTTAGAATATAGTCTATCCCTGCACCAATACCACATTGTTTCAATTACCATATTTGGTAGAGCACATTGCCTTATTTTTCCTTTCTCAAAATTATTCCAGTGATTCTTGGCCCTTAGCATTTCCATGTAAACTTCAGAATCAGATTGCAACTTCCATGTAAAACTCTATCTAAATTTAAATTAAATAGTACGGGTCAGGTGTGGCAGCTCACACCTGTAATACCATCACTTTGGGAGGCTGAGGTGGGCAGATGGCTTGAGCCCAGGACTTCAAGACCAGCCTGGGAATTATTGTGAAACCTCATCTCTACAAAAAAAATAGAAAAATTAGCCAGGTATGGGAGCATGCACCTGTAGTGGCAGCTACTCAGGAGGCTAAGGTGGGAGGATTGACTGACCCTGGGTTGAGACAGGGCTGCAGTGAGCTGTGATCATGTCACTGCCCTCCAGCCTGGGTGACAGAGTGAGACAGAAAAGGAAAGGGAAGGAAAGGGAAGGGAAAGGAAGGGAAGAAAGAAAGAAGGAGAGAAAGAGTATGAAATGTACAGATAATTTGGGAAGAATTAACATTTTTACATTAAATTTTCACATTCATAAGGTTGCCATAATTCCAAAATTATTTAGGTCTTCTTTGATGTTTTTCAATAAATTATTTTATTTCATATTTGGCTTTGTACATTTTTTTGCTAGGTACCTTATTTTTGTTACTATTGTCAATGGTGGGAATGCAAATTGATAAGACTGTTCTGGAAAACTATATGACAGTACTTTATGACACGGAAGAAGCACGTGCCTGTCCCTGGCAATGCCAGTCCCAGGTGTCTACCAAGGGAAGCTCTTGCCCGTGAACACCAGGAGATCCGTAAAAACAGCCTTATTCACATTCAAAAACAAAAAACAATCCACATGTCCATAAGCAGTATAGTGGATAAATTATTGTGATAGATTCACTGAAATAGCACGTAGGAATAAAATTAACTAAATCTATGCATATTAACTTGTATAAACATTAAAATCATAATGTTGAGTGAAAAGAGCAAATCACAGAAGAATCCATATAGAATGATCCTTTTCATATAAAATGCAAGGACAGAAAATATTATATTTAAGTATATTAGGCAATATGTTAGCAGCACAGGCATATGTGGTAAGATTATTAAAAAGACAAATAAAATTAGCATTAAACTCAATACAGGAGTTACGTGGAAATGCAAGGGAACAGAGTTGTTATTGGAGGGGCACATTGTCAGCTCTGAAATAGTCATTTTCTATTTCTTAAGTAGGCTAGAGGGAACATATGCGTTTGTTTTATTCTTTTAAAATATACAAATGTGTGTGTGTATATGTATGACACACATATATAGTATGTGTACTTTTGACATATGATATCATCTATAATAAACTCTTCATACAAATTTAATTAAAACTTTTAATAACTGAACTTTTTTGGTAATCCAAAGTACTTTTTATGGTTTCATGATGGCTCATTAATATGTCAGCCTCAAGAGTGGCTTATGGCTGAAGAGTTTTCTTTAGCCCCCTGGACAATTGAAAATGGGATAAATGACAAACTTTGAGATCCTTTTTTTATTTCCAATCCTCCTTTCTTGCTTAAAATTATCCACTCCAAGCTATTACTTTTCATAAGTCCTGTTTCATTGACTGAATGGCATGAAACTCTCTTATTTAAAGAAAGTAATCTAGTCCAAATTTTCCTAAACTTTAAGCCATTTGAAAATCCCTTTATAATTTTTGAGATATCCATTATCACATGTGCTGTTACATATATAGTATTTTTCTTTATTTTTCATTTCATATTTTATTTCAAAATGCAGTATTTTTCATTAAGTTTGTCTTAATTTGGCTCACTTTTGCTATACTTACCTCACCTTAAGAAATATTAGTGAAATCATGAGTTTGATGTGCTATTTCTATTTTACCTGACATTCATGAAAATAGAATCAGAACTATCAACATATTTTAAAGTTTTCCACATATCACATCTGACCAAAGGTCATTCTATGTCCATGTGCCACACTTTAGGAAAGTCTAATTAAAAGTAGGAACACACACACACAAACACACACACACACACACACACACACACACACGACTGTCTGCTTCTCTTCCCATCTCCTCTGCTCCAACAGTACATGTTCACTGGAAGGGCAACCAGCAGCCAGCTCTGGTTTCAGCATTTGCCAGGCTGCCAATCTTCCCCTTTGTCTGTAGAATGTTTCCCATTTGGATTTGCTTTCTGCCTTTTATTTGGGCTTGCCATCTTTCTGTTGCCCAGCTCACTATAAAAGGGGGTAAATTTATGCCCTGGGAAACCAACATTCCCGCAGCTGCAATGCCAGCCGGTCGACCAAGATAAAGTATCAGAGCAGAATTAACAGACTGGTGCTCAAGTCCCTGTTTACACATGGGCCAAGTCACTAGGGGCATGTGTGGCTATGTTAAGAGTAGGTTGTCAACCTCCCCATCAGCATCCTGCCAATAGCAGGGTGACAGCAGGCCCTACAGTCTTCTGTGACAATCCAATTCACACATCTCGAGTGATCATCAACCACTTGGGCTTAACTGACTCAAATTCTCCACCCACTTTCTAGCTTGGACATTCTTGGTTTATTAAGTCCTGCTTAATAGCATGAGGCATCTCTGACACAGTTTGATTAAATAAGTTTTTTCTCTTCCTTTTAGTTGCTCTTTAAGCTTGGATGGTTTAGATATTTCCAGAAGGCTGCCACTGCCTCTTAGTTCTACACATGTGTATATGATGCCATTGGCAGGGCCTTCCAGGCGCATAGCTGAGTCTGTTAAGACTTAGTGAAGCCTGAAACAGAATCAATGTTTCATTTACATCAGAAGGCTCTACATCACATCACATCCTGCTGGACACAAGCTGGACAATATCTTAATACTAATCAGCTTTTTCTGACATTGAATTCTAAGGCTTGGTATTTTGAAAACAAAAAGTATTAGCTTTGGCCCTCCCAGCTGCTCTCTGACGATTGTCTGCCCCCTTGCCAGACTGTACAATTTGACACTCTTGTTCAGCGACTTCTCACTCATTAAACTGATCAAGATACAAAACTCGTTAGTTAATTTTTCATGCACTTGGGGGATCTGGTTGCATATTTTAATGATCTGCTCTCAGAATGTGCTGATCAAACTGCATATTTTGTTGATTTGCTGTGACATATCCTTAACCACAGTGTTGCTCACACAGGGTCCTGGGTGATGTGAGCTGCATCCAGGAAATGCTGAGTAGATGCCATGTGTGCTAATTGAGCTGTGCAGCTCCACTGAGGCTCTGATGTACTCTTTACTGATTGATTTGAATAATAACCATTTGGAAATTTCATATTCCGTATCCTGGGGCTCAGATGATATCAAAACTAATATTTATTAGAGTAGCATTCATTCTAGTTAGACCCTAAGGCATTTTTCTCATTTGCTTAAGGTTTGGTCATGAAAACTGGAGACTCCACACACATGCACACACAAACACACACACACACACACACACACACACACACACACACACACACACACACGCCCCATGCATAAATGAGATAAACAAAGAAGCCAGGGTGGAAGTCTAGACAAGGTCAAACAGAAAGATAATAGCAATAACTTAGCTAGACTCTCTGGGTCCTGTTTTTGTTGAGAGCTTAGGAATTGGCTGTATGTATTTGAAAAACAAATCATCTGACCTTGCTGTCTCAGCCAGAGAGGGTGCTCAGGACCCCTGCCAACGAGGAGGCAGAGAGCTGGGCCACCAGGGCCTTCTTCAGAAGGTCAGGGGAATTGGGCTGTTATCCAGAACCTACATGACTGATCACATGACTCCTAGCAAATAAATCACGATCTCCAGATCTCATTTGCCAAATTTGTTTTTTAAAAAGATGAGTGAGGCCATGGGCACTTTCAACTTCTAAATTCTATAAGGTATAAATAGTCAGGTCATGGTTAAAAAAAAAAACTCTACCAAGGAAAATTATTTTACATTATAGACAGATGGATTTTGCTTTAATATACTACCACAACACAATAATAATAAAATAGAAAATCAAAATTAAAAGGGGGGTTTGAGAGTAGTGGGATTGTCTTCTCAGGATAGAAACAAAAAGATGACATAAATAAACATGATTTTTCAGCATGCTTCAAATGCAGACTTTTGGGGCAGATACTCTGTATGAACCTATAAGGGACCAGATAGTAAATATTTTAGTCTATGTGAATCATATAGTCTCTGTCATACCTATTCAACTTTTCCATTATAGTGGGAAAGCAGCCACAGAAGACGCCATAAACGAATGAGCATGGCTATCTATCAATAAAACTTTATTTATAAAATCAGGCAACTGGCTGAATTTGGCCCAAGAGCAGTGATTTGTTTACCCTTGGTCTAAAACATTATCCTATTATTTTTCAGTTTACTCTTCTATAAAAATATAAACCTGATAAGATCTACTATTTGTGAATGTTAGAAGAATTAAATGAATTATTACAATATTTAGTACTCAAGTACTTAGAACCATGACTCACACATAGAAAGCACTATGGAAATGTTAGTTAATTTTTGTTACTATTAGTTATTATTTGGATTGTATAACCAAATTAATTCATTGTCCTGATAATTAAGTCTCTGCCATGTGTCATTTCTGGGTTCTGTGTTGACCTAACCAATCAAAGCCTTTTTGTCATGGAGTGCACAGAATGGGGTGGGAGTCAGAGATGAAAAAAGAGATATCTAGCTAGCTAGCTAGCTAGCTAGCTATTGAGAGAATATATATCTCTCTCATAAATGATATGGTTATATCTATAGAAGGAAAGAGAAAGGATGGCTCAGGAGCACATGCGCATAGTAGAGACAGCCAACCCATGAATGGAAGAGATCAGATGAGGCTTCCAGAAGGAAGTGATAGCTAAACTGAACATGCAAAAGCAGCAGGACTTTGCCTGTCAAAGGGGACAATGAGGGATGAGGGCATAGCTGGAAGGTACAGGAAGAGTGTTTAATCAGAGGAAACAGACTGAGAAGAGTTGAGTGAATGGGAAGTGATGAGGAGGGAGGCTAAAGAGATGGACAAAGCCTCATGAGCCATATTATAGATTCGGGGTGGATCCTAAACTGGAAGCTTGCATGGTTTAAGCAGAGGAATGACATGATCAGATTTTTATTTTAGATAGAATGCTCTGACCACACATGGAGAATGGATTGGAAGGGGCAAGACAAAACCAGTGCTTAAAAAAAAAAAAAAAGGCAACAAGAAAACACTCAGAGGGGCAGAATCATACGGATAGGAGGTGGAGAGAGTATCAAGAAAATGGGAGGATGGTCAGCCATTTGAAACTTTTCAGAGGGGTTAAGAAAAATAAGGCCTAAAGAGAGGTCATCAGTGGCCTCATAGAAAATGCTTGTAAAACAGTGATAAGGCCCAGCTTAGACTGTAAGGACAGTGGTCACTGGAAATAAACACAGAGGTTAATTTCAAGAAAATTTGAAAGAGAAGCAGAAGTTGAGTCATAGATAAGTAAAACTGGAACTGAATAGAGGAGAAGGAAGCGTAAAGGAAGCAACTCACAAGGAGAGAGAAGGGGGATAGTTGATGGAGATGGTCACTCAAGAAGGCTCCAAGGAACAGGATCCAGAGAAGAGTGCTGGGTCAGCCTTGGCAGAAAGGAAGGCCTAACCCACTGTGGCATGCAAAAAAATGTCTTAGAGTAACAACAAAAATCAGTCTGTTGTGGACAAACGAGAGCCAAGAAAACTACCCTAGATCTTCTAAAATACAGGATGGAATATGATTTCCTAGGAGTGGGAAGTGGTAGCATCCGGCTGAGAACCTAGGGGTGGAGGAATAGGTCTGAGTCAGACACCATGGAGAATGTGATGAGATAAAAAGAAAAAAAATGAAACAAGATTTGAATCAAGTCTTGAGGTCTCAAATCAGAGTTTGAGAGCATAAATACATGGTGGACTCTGACAGCACCATCTGGTGATTTCTCCCTGCAAGCAAAGGTCTCACTTCTCAGCCCAGATCCAGAAAAGACAAAACAGAAAATGTGAGTGACCCAGAGGTGTGAACTGGCTAGGTGGGAGTTGCAGAGAGCTTCTGAGGAGAGGGTGGTAGAGTGCTGGATAGAGTACTGTGGGGAGCATAAATGAACGACCCAGGCCGAGGAGCCTGCCAAGGGAGGCAAGAAGCACAGGGTGGCTACAGGGAATGTCACGGATGCCCAACCTCAGTTATTACAGTCATTAAACTGGTTTTGTTTCATTTCATAACATTCACTAGAATGAATTAATTTCCAGAGCTTATTGGGCTGTCATTTTGTGATATAAGAAAACAAAAGAAACTTACTCATTACAGTGACTAAAGAGAAGGGAGGTAACTTCCAACTGTTAGTTAGTTGAAATGGAATTCCCTATCTGATAACTATTTCACAAAAGTAGCATTTCAAACCCAGCTTGTGGAGCTCTCCATTGAATGAGAAATGGGGCAGAACCATCTGTCAGCACATCTTCTTGAAGCTTCCTTCTAAAGGAGAGCCCTTCAGGCTGGGTGTGCGGCCCTCACACCCAAGGCACACTGCTGACCTCCTTCCCTGATAGCCGCTCTTCCACTTAGTCATACCAGTGCTTCCTGACGTTTAAAATACCTGAATTTTTGGTAGCACATTTGAGGAAATTAAAAGGCAAACACTTTTTTAAAAAAATAAAAGCAAATTTCAGAAAACTTTCTATAATTATCCTGTTATTTTTTCGTTTGCCCATTGACACCATGTAGCTGCTTGAGTGGAAATGTTTACTGGCCCAATAAAGTTCTCCTGTGCCCTCTTGGGAGTAGAGCTCTTCTGGGTTTCAGTAAACCTGGGCTCTTTCTGTGGCCCTGATTTCCTTTCCCATTTCTACCTTTGCCTATCGCAGCAAGTTGACCCCTGCCCCACACCACCCACCCAAACAGCCTTGCTCCGCCAAGTACCCAGCCCCTCACTGACCTCACCTCAACTGTGTAAAAACAAATTAGTCACACTGATCCAAATGTGTCTGGATGGATTGCCCCCCCACACATAGAATATGAGTCGAGGGGGAACTTGTTTTCCATCTCTGGAGCAGCCTTATAGAAAGGCTTAAAAATCTTCAGCCTCACAACTTTCACAGAGCCACAGAGCTTTCCTCTGTAGTCGGTGATTGTCTGTATCTGGAAGCCATTTTTAAAAATAGAAAAGGAAATGTCTTTCACTGTTTTAAAATGCACACACTGGCAGGTAGTAGTGATAGCTATTTCAGTACCGCAGACACCACACTGAAAACACTTTCTATACTTTACCTCATTTACTCCTCACAGCAACCTTTACCTACAACAACAGCCAGCATCTAAAAAGGCACTGTTACTATTCTGTTTTTCACATGGGATGACTGAAGCTTAGAGAACAGTAAAATGACGCCCTAAAGTCACACAGCTACTAACAGAGCCATGATTTGCACCCAGCCAGGCTGAGCTCAGAGACAGCACTCTGAAATGCCTAATTCAGTGGCTATTTCATTTATACTCATTATTAATGATTGAAGTTTTCTAGAACCTAAGACTGCGAGCTTACCTAACCCAGGTTCTCCTTTCCACCTGGCTACACTCATTTCCTTATTTGATACAATGCCTTCTTCCTTATATGGTTCTTTACGAAGTGTAGTCAACAGGCTTTTAATTCATTGCTTCCTGCCTCTTTAGTCCTCTCCCACCTTCAATTCTTTCCCAAGATCTCGGCCACAATACTGTTTCCTCTCTACTGTTTTTTACTCACATCTTCCACAAGGGGGCACATTCTGACCATAAAGCTTTGAGGCTCTCCAGTCAGCTAAAATACAACCAGCGTCACCCTAATGCTTTCATTCTGTTACAAGAAATGCCTTTATTCAAGCTACATTCCTCATTGTTATTTCACGTAGGGGAAACAACAGTAAAAAAGGAAACCATATAATTTTTGTAGACTGTTTGACCATAATTCATTCACTGGATTTCTATGTTAGGTATGGAATCCATTAAGCAGGATATTGAAGCTTATGAATGGAAACCTAGTAATTCCTCTTTAATAAACATGAGTTACTTTTATTTCTTAAACTTTATTAGGCATTTACTCAAAACATTACTCAGAAATGTTTGTTAATAATATGAATGATGATTTTGATTCCGTTTGCGTTGTTACTATGTCTAAGGGTCCAAAACACAAAGTCTGGATTATTCATAAAGACTGAGAAAATGGCTGGCATTTGAATGTAAATCTTAGTGCTTGAGCCTAACTCCATCTTGACACTTCTCACCAACCCTAAGGAAGGAGTGGCTGCTACCACAGTGGCCTTTTTGTGTAGCTGAGGAAACCAAGACATGAGGAGATTCGTTCAGGCCTTATAAGAGTCACATATGGGGAATAGGCCCGGTTCTTGTCAGCTCCCTGAGGCTACACTGGTCACCAAGCAGAACTACCGCAAGAGGAAAATGAAGAATGAAAGAAATATGAAGACAATTCTAACATTAAAGGCAGGCTCACCTTGTCCTCTTTGCCTGCCAGACTTCTAAATGGTGGATTCCTCCCTGTTTAGTTTCGGGCTCTCTTCTCTTCTCCTTCACTCTTCTCCTAAACAATTGCATCCACTTGCAGGACTTTGAATATCTCCCCAGACCTCTCCTCTGACACACTTCCCCTGAGTCATAGCTAACTGCCTGTCTGAAAACTCCATGTGGAGGACTCCTTGCCGTAGTAAACTGAGTAAGTCCAAATTGAAGCAATTGATTTCCTGCCACGTCCCTGAAAAAGCATCACCATCCTCCCAGCATCCTCCTTTCCCAATTTCAGAAAACGGCCCTGATGTCTACCCGGTTACTAAAAGCAGACCCCTGGGAGCCACACTGACATCCACCTGTGCCTCTTCCCACACTCAAATGCATCAGCCAGTCCTCTTGATTCTATGTCTAAAATAGATCTTGTATTTTTCCACTTTTTTTTTTTTTCCATTTTGTGTTCAAGTTTCTGCAGTCTCTGGCCTGGACCACAGCAGAAGCTTCTCCCTGGAGCACTGTTTCCATTCGTGTTCCTCCTTCCACAATCCAGTCTCCACACAGAAGCCAGATTAGTCTTCTTAAAATATAGATTTGACTATTATTTATCCTGCTTAAAACCCTTAACTTCTCCTGACACATGAAATAAAACCTCAATTCCTTATTATGGCCCACAATGTCCTGTACCCTCTGGTCCCCACCACCTGTCCAGCATTAATCCACTGCTCACTTGGCTCAGCTGCCTTCTGTGGGACCCAGAGCAGGCCATGCTGCCTCGTACCTCAGGGCCTCTGTGCTGGCTGTTCCTTCAGGCCTTCCTTCACCACCCTAGCTAGGTCAGTCCTGGTTATTTTCTAGTATCCTAATTTTTTCCTTTCTGACACTTCTCACAGCCAATAATTATTTTGTTAATTTAGTTGCTTACTCATTTATTATCTCCCTCCCAAACTATGTAATTCCAAAGCTGGTTCAGTCAATAAAATCACTATTCATAACAGAGATGGATAAAAATGTGAATAGTCCAATTAAATTAAATAGTAGTCAGACTAATTAAATAGTCCAATTTTATTTGCAAATCCCTGTTCTGCCAAGGTAAAAAATGTAATATGAATTGAAGTGGTCCCCTATCCATTTCCATGGGGTTGTGCACAATTTGTAAGGGGATTACATGGGCACCCCATTAAGATGTCCATGTTCTCTGTCCACACAGCACCTGCAATGACAACTATTGTCCTTCCAGGTCTCTGTCAAGTGTTCACAAAGGCCACCAGAGGGACATTCTCTTCTAATCACAGGCGTCCTCCATCCAGTGAATCTCACCACTGTTTCTATCAGGTGCAATCCACATCATTTTGCAGCTCCTGCACCATGCTGGGGTCTGGACAGACTGTGTTGTTGGATGAGGCGTGGTCTGTCTCAACATGACTCTGCAGTCTTTCCTACCTGGAACAGGCACTAAGCCCCTTTTTCAAGACCCATCAACATCTGGACTCCTATTACCCCTCCTCCAACTCTCCTATATTTTCAGTTTAGTTCAGTGAATCATTTCCTAGAAGGAAGAGTGGAGGGGACAGATAGGAGCCTTGCTCTTATCTTTAAGGTTTCTTACTCAAATATTTTATGCTGTATTAAGTCTGTGTGTTCCTCTGAGGGCCTAATTTTTTGAAACACAAAATCAAAGAGAAGCTTTTTTCTCTGCTTACTGTTTTCATATCACTTCCCCAAATCTATGAACCCCAAAAACATAATTAGTTGAATTGGGGGAAAGAACTTAAAAAGGAGATGGGAATATATATATAAATAAGATAAGTTAAGGGTTCAAAATATCTCTCCCTTACACTAGTATTGTGCCTGGTACATTGTTAGTGTGTAATAGGTATTTGTAAATTAAGAATTAATAATAATAAATGAATGAATACATATTCAGCATTGTCAGAAAACTGCAGTTAGGCAGGAAGTCCAGATTACAAATTAAGAGGGACAAGTTCTATTCTTTACCTTCCTGCTGAGTGCTTGATCCTCTACAGTTCACTTAATTATTCCATTTCGAGCCTTCACAATAGACACATATTTATGGTTGATTCTTCATAGATGTGATAGCCATGTTGCTGAGTTCTTTGAACTCCTTACAACAAAATATAAGAATATGATAGTTTATAGCCTTTTTACAGATCAGTTTATTATACTGTCTTCTCTATGAGCAGAATACTTTCAAGGATTTTTCCATTGAATTGTTTTATAAGTTTACGCAAGTCCTTATGTGTTAGGTGAGTCTCTTGAAGGCAGCAGACGGTTGATTGGTGAATTCTTATCCATTCTGAAATTCTGTATCTTTTAAGAGGAGCATTTAAGCCACTTACATTTAGTGTTAATATTGAGATGTGAGGTACCATTCCATTCATCACGCTATTTGTTGCCTGTATACCTTGGATTTTGCTTTTTTGTTTTTAGTTTTTAAATTGTATTTTTGTTTTATAGGTCCTGTGAGATTTATGCTTTAAAGAGGTTCTGTTTGATGTGTTTCCAGGATTTGTGTCAAGATTTAGAGCTCCTTTTAGCAGTTCTTGTAGTGTTGGCTTGGCAGTGGTGAATTCTCTCAGCATTTGTTTGTCTGAATAAGACTGTATCTTTCCTTTGTATATGAAGCTTAGTTTTGCTGGATACAAAATTCTTGACTGATAATTATTTTGCTTGAGGAGACTGAAGATAGGGCCCCAATCCCTTCTAGCTTGTATGGTTTCTGCTGAGAAATCTGCTGTTAATCTGATTTTCCTTTACAGTTTAACTGGTGCTTTTGTCTCACAGCTCTTAAGATTATTTCCTTCATCTTAACTTTAGATAACCTGATGACAATGTGTCTAGGCAATGATCTTTCTGCAGCGAATTTCCCAGGTGTTCTTTGTGCTTCTTGTGTTGGATATCTAGGTCTCTAGCAAGGGCAGGGAAGTTTTCCTTGATTATTCCCCCAAATATGTTTTCCAAACTTTCAGATTTCTCTTCTTACTCAGGAACACCAGTTATTCTTAGGTTTGATCGTTTAACATAATCCCAGACTTCTTGGAGGTTTTGTTCATATTTTCTTATTCTTTTTTCTTTGTCTTTGTTGGACTGGGTTAATTCCAACACTTTGTCTTCGAGCTCTGAATTTCTTTCTTCTACTTGTTAAATTCTATTGCTGAGACTTTCCAGAGCATTTTGCATTTATATAAGTGTGTCCATTGTTTCCTGAAGTTTTGATTGTTTTTTATGTATGTTATCTATTTCCTTGATTATTTCTCCCTTCACTTCTTGTATTGTTTTTTGGATTTCCTTACTTTGGGCTTCACCTTTCTCTGGTGCCTATCTGATTAGCTTAATAGCTAACCTCCTGAATTCTTTTTCAGGTAAATCAGGGATTTCTTCTTGGTTTGGGTCCATTGCTGGTGAGTTAGAATGATTTTTTTGGAGGTGTTAAAGAACTTTGTTTTGTCTTGTTACCAGAGTTGGTTTTCTGGTTCCTTCTCATTTGGGTAGGCTCTGTCATTTGGACACCCAAAAAGTGTCCAAATACTGTTTAGGACTTTGAGTACAAAGGACACCACTGACTGCTGGTAGAGTGCAATGGTGCTATCACCTTTAGAAAAATTTGATAGAAAAATTTGATCACCTTTACAAAAATTTGTAAAATTGAGGTGATATATACCCATGGCCCAGTATTTCTACTTTGTATTAAGATCCCTGAAGAAACACACATATATATATGAACCAGAAAATGCATAAGAATGTTCATAGCATCATTTCTTTAAACACTTCCTGTCAACCATCCCAAAAAGAAAACAAAAATAAAAAACATAAACAGAAGACTAGGTAAATAAATTGTAGAATATTCACTCAATAAAATAGTATACAGCAGGGAAAATTAATGAACCAGAGCTATAACTTTCAATATGGATGAATCTCACAAATGCAATTAAGCAAAAACAAGCATATAAAGAGTGCAAATATTTGCAGACTATAGTTGTTCACAGACATTCTCGACTTTCCACTTTGTAATCAAATACCAATATTATTTGGAAAATTCCTTCCCATAATAAAAGGGATCTTGCAGCTTGGTGTGGTGATGTGATTTAGTTCTAGAAAATGAGCTGCAAGTGGAAGTGATGATTATGATTTTCAGGAACTTCATAAAGGGGTTTTACTGAGCTGCTAATGACCCTTTCTTTTGCCCTTCTACATTTTTCCATTCTTCTAGCTCACAATGTGGACATAATGATTGAAATTCTAGCAGCCTACTTTACACTAGAAGATTACTTTAAAAATGGAAACTGTGAGCTAGGATGATATAGAAAATAGGTACCTGGATTCCTAAATGCCACCATGAAAGCTCTGATTGGCCTACCTCCAGATTTCTCTAATGTGATAGAGGAATAAACTTGTATGTTGTTTAGATTACTGTCCTTTTGTTGTTTTCTGTTGTATCTATTTGTTTCTATTTATGTCTGATACAGATGTGCATAAAATACAGAGGTAAATAACATCTAAAAACATGTAAAGCAACTAGCATGTGGCAAAGGCATGGGAAAGCACACAACGGCAAACTACAAATTTAGGACAGTGGTTACTTGTGGGCTAGAATATAGCGGGAGAAGATGGGAGATGTATATCAACTTCTATCGCATTTTGTTTTGTTTTATTCTTTATGCCTTTTTGTGTATCTTAAATACTAGCACAATATTGTTTAAGATGTTTAAACAGAAAAGGCCTCTGGAGTTCTTGGAGTATAAAGCATATGGAATTATCATTATGAACTCTGCATTCTATCTGCCCTTCTCAAAACTCCTTGGCCTCTGATGATCTGAGTTGAATAAACTGCTGATTCTCTTGGCTTTTTAATTTTATTTTCTGTTTTAGACAGAGTCTCACTCTGTCGCTCAGGCTTGGGTTCAGTGGTGCAATCTCGGCTCACTGCAACCTCCACCTCCAGGGTTTAAGTGATTCTCGTGCCTCAGCCACCTGAGTAGCTGGGATTACAGGCACCCAGTAATATTTGTATTTTTGGTAGAGAGGGAGCTTTGCCATGTTGGCCAGGCTGATCTTGAACTGGCCTCAAGTGATCTGCCTGTCTCAGCCCCCCAAAGTGCTGGGATAACAAGGGTGAGCCACTACGCCCAGCCTTGACTCTTCCTTGAAGGCCAAAACAGTCACTCTGCTTACTCCCTCTCCTCTAGCCTACTCTTGCCCCTCAAAGATATTCAGAACTTGCAGAGAAGGCTTTCTTCAGCCAAAAGTCTTTCCAGTTTTATAACACATTCATACTTCTTTTCCAAATGTCACCTCAGTCTGTGTTTCTAGAAAGGAAGGAGTAGAAGGAAAAGGCAGAGGGCCTCTATCATCTCTGTGCCTAGAGGTGGAGTTTGGTTCTACTTCACATTAAGCTTTCCTTTGTTCATATGGCATTATTCCAAAGGGCTGGCAAAGCAGTTTTGTTATGTGGCTGGTGCTTGGTGCTTGGCACATCGGGCTGCCATCTCCCCACCATGCTAAGAAGATGTCAAACATGGGGGGTGTTGAGGAGCATGCCAAGAACAGAATAGCTTCTACAATGACAGTAAACAATTTCCCCTCTGGAATGTTTCACAAATGGGCTGATGGGATTAGACAGCATGCCTTTCTTAGAAGACTTTATAGACACAATCACTTATATAAAGATGAAAGTGGTGTTTGGGGGAAAATGCCAAGTTGCAAATCTGAGGTGGAGAAGACATTCCATTAACCTTGTATCTACGAGGCTGTCTATTAATTTCAAATGATAAAGGGATGTCAGATAAAGCCAATTAGCATAAAACACTCCTACTCAGCTTTGCAGACCTTCGACAAATAGCAGCAAGGATGAAGGACATTTGGGGATGGAGCTTTTCCAAGGGAATATTAAAAGTGATTATGTCTTCACTTTCTTTCATCTTGTGTTTTCTATGTGCTAAGTCCTAAGGAAACTACTAAGTGATTTCTTCAATCCATTCTTCTTCTTTTCTTTCCTTTATGATTTAATGCCCTGGATCTTTGCAGAAAAGAGACAAATGGTGGCATATTCTTCTCAGGAAGAAAACACATGATTACACCTGATGTCCAGAATGACTGGAAGTTCCTCTACCTGCTGGGGAGCTGCCAATTTGAAATTCTTGGTGCAATTGTAGTGATGAGATTTTTACCTGGGATTATTTCAGCACTTAAGAGTGAGGATTGAGGCATGGGTGAACACATACAAATTTGGTTTGTGTGGTGGTGACTCTGTATTCCAAATATATCTGCAGGTATACTATTGCAGGTACATTTATGAGCATTCACCTTATGCTTGTCTCCAGGTAGATCAACATGGGAGACACAGGAGGCATCTAAGGTATGAAACTTTTTACTGCTGTAAAGAACCTGGGAGCAAGGACCATGCCTTTCTCATCTCTGTTTCCCCAGTGCCTGATATGTAGTGGGTGCTCAGTTATAATTTTTGAGTGAATAGAGCCATAGACATCAAACAACTAAAAACATAAATGTTAATATTATATATAATAACTACCAAAATGTGATATTGACCGTAAGAGCTATAGAAACTAAATAATTTAGAGAGACAATAATAATTACTATAGCTAGAATTTAATGAATGTGTTTTATATACCATGTGCTTTTCTTAGTGGTTTACATTCTTTAACACATCACAAGAGGTAAATATTTGAATGACTTAAGGCAATGCTTCCTTCTCTAACAAATTCCAAAATGTCCAATGTCCAGTGGCTTCAACACAATGCAAGGTTTTTAATTAATCAATTTATTTTTTGTTGCTTCATGATCAGTATGAGTATTCCTGCAGGCAGGTAGGTTTTCCCCAAATGGAGATCCAGAGGGCCCAGGATCCTTCCATACCTTCTTGCGCTCTCATTTCTAATGTGTAGCTTCCTGGTATGTTCTGGGCACTGACATCAAGCTAGCAAATGAGGGAAGAACAGGTGGAGAAGGTGTGCCGACTTCCAAACCACATTAACAGAAAGCAACATACATCACTGCTGCTAACATTTTCATTGAAATAACCACATAGCCCCACATACATGCCAAAGGAGGCTAGGAAATGTAGTTCCTTGTCAGGCAACCACTTCACAGAATAATTCTACACTGTGGATGGGGAACAAAAATCATTTGTCCTTGAGTATTTTTTTCATTTCCGTTTTGAGGTTGAAGACATTGATGCATAGAGAAGTCAAGCAACTTGCCTGAAATCAGAGTGGTGGAGTGTATTGTATTCCTTGGAAACATTCTCTGCCTTTCAAATCACTGCATATTCTTGGGTGTTTACTTTGTCGATAATTACAGATGCCTATTGCTAAATCAGGCACTACTAGATGTAACAGGAAGATAATACAGAGATCAAATTAAACTGAAAAATAAAAGTTCATAAGGACTGTCCCATCCATGCAGCCTCTCCTCCCCAATCTTTGCCGGGAAATGTGTGGTTAGTTTTGATTGTCACACACACTGTGGTACTACTCTAATTTAGTGATCAAAGCCAGGGTTGCTAAATGCCCTATAATGCCTAAGACAGTGTGATTCTGTGAAGAATTGTTCCATCCAAAAATCCAGTGGTGTCCCTATGTGGCACTAGACTAAGGCTGTCCCTTCTGAAATGTCCTCAAATGTCAGTGTGGAGAAAAGTTTGCTGAGAACAAACTAATCGAGTGGTTTAGTTGGAGTGTAGACTCTGGGGTTGGACCCTGACACTTATAAGCTAGATTAGGGGAAGTTAGATTATGAAAACTGTTTAACTGAGAGAATGACTGAAGCGGATCAGGGAGCAGAAGGAAGAGAAAGCCTACTTGGAAAAGATTTAGTACTGTGTGGATACAGGCCAGGGTTACGGTAAGGAATAAGAGTGAGCCTCATTAGGCAGAGAGAGGCATAGGGAGTGAAGTTCAGACCCTGTCCCCTGGATGTTTCCAGTCTTGAATGGAAGCACGTGTAGCACCGCTGGAGGGAAAGGAAGAAGGCAACTGGGGCTTAAGAAGGATGAACAAAACACTATTGTGTTCTGAGGGTAAGAAGCCTCTTTCAGTTTTTTTTCATTCCTGTTCTTTTTTGTGTTCTCTCTCCATGAAGTGCTAGTTTGACCTCCCACTGAAGTGAGGCTCAGTGTCAAGACTCTGATGATGATTATTGCAACATCTGTGGAGCACTTACTGTGTGCCAGACAGGTGTGGTTCTAAGAGCTTTTGCTATGTTCTGTACTTACAAAAGGGTGTCTCATTTAACCCAGCCTCTGGAGCTGTGTCTGGCACATGGTGGGAGGTGATTTATTAATTGGAAATAAAAGCATGAAGGCATGCACGAGTGCGTCCTCACAATAATCTGCCCATTTGGTAGGCATTCTTTCTAGGTTAATAAAGATGAAGAAACTGAAACTGCTAAAGGTTCAGTAACTTGGCTCAAGTTAAATGGCATGATCCTAATTTCGATCTCAAAGACTGCAGCATGCTGAGCTGTGGGTGGAAAGTGTGAATAGGAAACTATTAGTTTCCTATGGCTGCTGAAAGAAATTACTACTTGGTGGCTTAAAACATTCTCCCACAGTCCTGCAGGCCAGAAGACTCAAACGAGTTTTACTGGGCTGAAATCAAGATATTGAAGTGCCATACTCCTCCCCACAGCGCTGTTACCTCCTAGCCTCTTCCAGCTTCTGGTGGCTGCTGGCATCCCTTGGCTTGTGGCCACATCACTTCAGTCTCTGCTTCCTGCTCACATTGCCTTCTCCTCTTATATGCGGAAGCATGGAAGGGCCCTCTGCCTTTCTTTCTAAGGATGCTTGTGATTGCATTGGGTCCTACTGCTAACGCCGGAAAATCTCCTATCCCCAAATCTTTAATCACATCTGCAAAGTCTTTTTCTTTTTTCCTTCCCTAGAATATAAGGTAACTCTTCACAGGTTCCAGGCATAGTACCTGGATATCTTGGGATTAGGGATAGAGGGGGAGGGCATTATTCAGTCTACAACAGAAAGCCTAGTTTTTTATTGTATGCAGTACAAAGTGTGTGTGTGTGTGTGTGTGTGTGTGTGCGCGCGCGCGCGCGCGCGCGCGCGGGCACATGTGATTGTGTGAGCTTGTGCATACGACTACGTGTTTACGTGTAGTGTGTGTGAGTTCGGTGTACTGCAACTATGCGTGTGCAGCCCGTGTGTGAGTGGGAGTGCTTTGACTGCTGCAGGGTGTGAGCACAGAGGGAACGCAGCTTGCAGTGGCGGGGGGCCGGTCCTAGGCCAAGTTATCGTCCAGTCACCTGCAGGGGTCACTGTTTGGTCCCGTTGTCGTGCCATCCTCTGCCCTGGCTTGCCCTCTTCTCCGCATCTGTGGGCCGCGCGGTAAGCGCGAAGAAGCCGGCTGCTGCGTGGCACACGGGCAAACTGGCGGGCTTTGGCCTTGGGCGCGGCCCGCAGATGCGTGCAGCATGCGGGGCTGTGGAGCGCTTATTGGTTTTTCTGTGTGAATCTGGGGGTTTTCAAAGAAGGGACAAGGCTGGACAGGACCTTAAATCCTGCTCCAGGCGGAGGCAGCTGTTGGCCAAAGTCTCTCCACCCCCATCCCCAGTCGGCTGGGGAAAAAAACGAGGCGGGGTGGGGGAGGTCGTGTCCCAGGGTTCTGACAGTGGAGCCAGGACGTCCGGGAGCTGACAATCTAAACGCGACCTGGGAAGGGGCGGTAGCGGGAGTGGCTGCTTCCTGGGAGGTGGTGCTCGCAAACCTGGCAGCTGACTGGGTGGGGCGTGCCTTCCCTGGCAGTCGCGGAGGGGAAGGCTGAGGGACCCGGTCCCCGCCCCGCGTGCTCAGGCTGAACAGCTTTTCTTCCCTGATCTCTCGGAGGCGCCGGCTGCTGGCCAACGCAGGGCAGCCTCCTGCGTGCGTGCTGTGGGTTTCTCCTTCAGTTTCCTCTCATTGCCTGAGGTTGGGCCCGAACACGGCGGTACATTTCCTTGAGGTTAGTAAACTGCCCCTGTGCCTCTCTGGATTTTGCATGGGTAATCTCGATATTCTTTCTGATGGGAAACCTAAGACCACCTTTGTACAGAATGACCCCCAGTCCACTGTGAATCTCGCTCATGAGTGTCTGAAAGTACCGGCGCGGGGTGGGGGCAGAGATGGGGTGGTGGAAAATTCAGCTTCTCCGGCCCAGGGTGCCGGCCCAAGTGGACCAAACTTTGAGAACCGTGCCGTAGAAACATGAGACTATCTTGAGGCCAGCAGGACTCCTGGAGCTCTTTCTCCTTTGTAGAGCGCTTGGTGAGATGGGAAGAAAGGCTACTTTGCCCAGTGAGCCTGTGCAATGTTGTGTGACCTCATAAGAGCATACCACTGCCAGTCCCTCCCCTCCGTGGCCTTATGATCTTGGGCAAGTCACTTAACCCCACCAAAGCCTGACTTTTCCCCTATCTCTGTGAGAACTGAAGACAAATCTGAAAATATCGCATACAGTGCCTAGCACGTTGCAGGCACTCAATAAATGCTATTTATTATTATTATTATTATTATTATTATTATTATTTTGAGACAGAGTCTCACTCTGTCACCCAGGCTGGAGTTCAGTGGCACAATCTCGGCTCACTGCAACCTCTGCCTCCCGCTACCAGCCATTCTCCTGCCTCAGCCTCCCAAGTAGCTGGGATTACAGGTGTGCACCACCACACCGGCTAATTTTTAAATTTTAGTAGAGACAGTTCCACCATGTTGGCCAGGCTGGTCTCGAACTCCTGGCCTCAAGTCATCTGCCCGCTTTGGCCTCCCAACATGCTGGCATTACGGGCGTGAGCCACTGCACCTGGCCTAATCATATTATTAAATTACATTGTCATCTTATTAAATAAGTCCTCATTGAATAGGGGTTTATTCAATGCATGGAAATAAGGAAAAAAGGTGGGAGATGGACAAGGGAGAGGTGTCATGGTTTAGATTTCATTCCTGGCCTGCAGGTACTTAACATCTATATGTGCTGAGAGAGGAGGCATCTCACCTGGTTGCCATTAATGGCATATGATGGCAGTGGTGGGTACTTTCAGGGGACAGAGATGTACAGAAAGTGTGTGATTTTGTGTTGGCCTATTTAGATGGGAAGGTTTCCAGCACCAAAAGTGCTGCATGGCTGATTCTCTGCATCATAAAGTGCTCAAGAAGAGTTTCCAGGCCAATAGCTCTCAAACACCCCTGCTTCACAATACTAAGAGCTACACCTAGCGTTATCTGACTGCCAAAGTGGGACAGGCATGGTTGTCTTCCAAATTACAGGGGTAAAAATTAAGTTAACAAAGCTGTCTTATTTTTAAGTTTTCCTCACACACATTTCTTAATGCGTTGATGCTTCTTACAACTTATTGGCCTGTGAGTATGAACAGAGGGCAAAACGAGTGACCAAGGAGCAGATGACTTGGCAAGATTCAGAAGCAGCTGTGAGATGTGGTAACTCACATTTTTTTCATGTTCCAGCTTATGATTTTTTTTTTTTTTTGAGACAAAGTCTTGCTCTGTTGCCCAGGCTGGAGTGCAGTGGAGTGATCTAAGCTCACTGCAACCTCTGCCTCCTAGGTTCAAGCGATTCTCCTGCCTCAGCCTCCTGAGTAGCTAGAATTACAGGCGCATGCCACCAGCCTGGCTAATTTTTGTATTTTTAGTAGAGATGGGATTTCACCATGTTGGCCAGGCTTGTCTTGAACTCCTGACCTCAAGTGATTCACCTGCCTCAGCCTCCCAAAGTGCTGGGATTACAGGCGTGAGCTACCGCGCCTGGCCTTAGTTTGTGATTTTTATACTCCTCACTTGTGTGATAAAGTTACATATCATATATTTCATGGAGTTTCTCAGAGAGATTACCACAATTTTGAAGACTCTTCTTCCTAAACCCTATTGAGAGCTTCGGCTCTAGAATTGAGATATAAATGACTGCTTGAGAGACTATGATCCCTTCTTGACCGCTTGGGAAAGACTCAAACTCTCTGAGTCGCAGTTTAAGCATATATAAGTTATTCATAATAATTTCTACTTTTGTGAATATTAGAGAATATAGATACAAAGTATCTAAAATTATTGGCACACAAAACATGCTCAATAAACAGCCCAACTGACATAAACAAGAAAGTCCCCAAATGACACAGTACGTGAACTATAGCAGAGCTTCTCACACTTTAATGTACATAAGAGTCATCTGGAATCTTGTTAAAATGCAGATTCTGATTCTCCGTAGGTCTGGACTGGGGCATTGCTAACAAGCTCCCAGGTGACGCTAATGCTGCTGCTCTGTAGACCAATATCAGTAGCAAAGAACACAACTTTACTATATAGCAGCAGCACAGGTGATGGGTGTTGAGAGATGGGCTTGACCAAGCAGCACCTTGTGAGAAGCTCTAGGCAGGAGATACAGGATTCATAGAGAGGAGGTCAAGGTATAAGGACCAATGTTGCATGTGGCAGTGGCTCTGTCTTTTAAATTGAATTTTACTCTTGAGTTCCCCAGGCTGATGGTTTTCTTTCCTTGCTGTTGATGTGGGTTGTGTATTGAAGTTAATGTAATTCCTAGCATTTCCTGTGCAGACTCCTCAGATGTTCTCTCCATATCACTGAGAAGGCTAGGATTTCTGAGGTTTGGCTCCAGCTGTCTGTAGGATATAGAAATAGGGAAGGAACCAGTCTTTTTTGTTGTTTTTTAAATGTTTTCATTTTTTTATTATTACATAATAGATGTACATATTTTGGGGGTACATGTTAAGATTTGATACATTCATATAATCAAATTAGGATAATTGGGATATCTATCACCTTAAATATTTATCTTGCCTTTGTGTTAACATTTGAATTGCTCTTTTCTAGCTATTTTGAAATGTACAATAGACTAATGTTAACTATAGTCATCCTACTGATCTATTGAACATCATATCTTATTTCTTCTATCTAACCATTTATTTATACCCATTCATCAACCTTCTTCTCCCTCTCCCCCACCCTTCCTTGCCTCTGGTAACCACCAATCTACTCTCTGTCTTCATGAGATCTTGTTTTAGCTCCCATATATAAATGAATACATGCAATATTTGTCTTTCTGTGCCTGGCTTATTTCTCTTTACATAATGACCTCTAGTTCCATTCATGTTGCTGCAAATGACAGGACTTCATTCTTCTTTATGGAGGAATACTATTCCATTATCTATAGTTACCATACTTTTGTTGTTGTTTTTGTTGTTGTTGTTGTTGAGATAGGGTCAGGCTGGAGTGCAGTAGTGCAATCATGGCTCACTGCAGCCTCAACCTCCTGGGCTCAAGTGGTCCTCCCACCTCGGCCTCCTCAGTAGCTGGGACTACAGGTGCATGCCCACCATACCCAGCTAATTAAAAAAAAATTGTAGAAATGGGGTCTCACTATGTTGCCCAGGCTGGTCTCAAACTCCTGGGCTCAAGCAATCCTCCCACCTGGGCCTTCCAAAGTGCTGGGATTACAGGTGCATGCCACCACACCCAGCCTGCATTTTCTTCATTCATTTATCTATTGATGGGCACTTAGGTTCATTTCATATTTTGGCTACTGTGACTACTACTGCAGTAAACATTGGACTACATATATCTCTTCAATATATTGATTTCGTTTCTTTTAGTTATATACCCAGTAGTGGAATTGCTGGATCATGTAGTAGTTCTATTTTTAGTTTTTTGAGGAAACTCCATACTGTTTTCTGTAGTGGAAATGCACTAATTTACATTCTTCTGGGTGTGTTTATCCAGTTTTCCCAGCACCATTTATTGAACAGACTGAACTTCCCCATCGTGTGTTCTTGGCAACTTTGTCAAAAATGAGTTGGGTGTAAGTGTATGGAGTTATATCTGAGTTCTATATTCTGTTTCATTGGTTTGTATGTCTGTTTTTATGCCAGTATCTTGCTGATTTGGTTACTGTAGCTTTTTAGTATATTTTGAAGTCAGGTAGTGTGTTGCCACCAGCTTTGTTCTCTTGCTCAGGATTGCTTTGGCTATTTGGGGTCTTTTATGGTTCCATATAAATTTAAGTTTTTTTTTCTATTTCTGTGAAGAATGTTATTGGCATTTTGATAAAGATTGCATAGAACCTGTAAATTGCTTGGGGCAGTATTTTCATTTTAACAATATTAATTCTTCTAATCCATGAACATGCAATCTCTTTTCTTTTGTGTGTGTGTCTTCGTCACTTTATCAGTGTTTTATAGTTTCATTTTAACAATATGAATTCTTCCAATCCATGAGCATGTAATCTCTTTTCTTTTTGTGCGTTTGTCCTCTTCACTTTATTTAATCAGTGTTTTATGTGTTTTTTAAATAGATCTTTCACATCTTTGGTTAAATTGATTCCTAGGTATTTTATATTCTTTGTAGCTACTGTAAATGGGATTTTTTTTAAACATTATTTTCAGATTACTTGGCATTGGCATATATAAATGCTACTGATTTTTGTATGTTTATTTTGGATTTGCAACTTTAGCTAATTCATTTATCAGTTCTAACAGTTTTGTGGTGTAGTCTTTAGGTTTTTCGAGATGTGAGATCATGTCGTGTGCAAACAAGGCTAATTTGACTTCTTTCTTTCCAATTTGGGTGCCACTTATTTCTCTTGCTGAATTGCTCTGTGTAGGACTTCCAGTACTATATTGAATAAAAGTGGTGAAAGTGGGCATCCTTGTCTTGTTCCAGATCTCAGACAAAAGGCTTTCACTTTTTCCCCATTCACTATGATGTTGGCTCTGTGTTTGTCATATATGGTCTTTATTATTTTGGGATATGTTTCTTCTATACCCAGTTTGTTGAGGCTTTTTACCATAGTAGGTTGAATTTTATTGAATGCTTTTTTTGGCATCTATTGAAATGATCATATAGTTTTTGTTCTTGGTTCTTTCTGTTAATATGATGTATTACATTTGTTGACTTCTGTATGTTGAACCATCCTTTCACCCCTGAGATGAATCCCACTTGATCATGATGTGTGATCTTTTTAATGTGTTGTTGAATTCAGTTTGCTGGTATTTTGTTGAGCTTTTATTTTTATTTATTTATTTATTTTTGCATCTGGGTTCATCAGTGATATTGGCCTGTAGTTTTCTTTTTTTGTTGTATCCTTGTCTCGTTTTGGTATCAGGGTAATTCTCGACTCATAGAATGAGTTTGAAGTACTCTCCCCTCTCCAGTTTTTTTGAAGAGTTTTAGGAGAATTCAGTATTCATTCTTTCAATGTTTGGTAGAATTCAGCAGTGAAATTATCATGTCCTGGGCTTTTATTTAATTGGAGACTTTTTGTTATTGTTTTGATCTCATTACCCATTATTGGTTTGTTGGGGATTTCTATTTCTTTATGGTTCAATCTTGTTAGATTATATACATTCAAAAAGTTATCAATTTCTTCCAGGTTTTCCAATTTGTGGGTGGATAGTTGTTCATAATAGTCGCTAATTATCCTTGTGGTCTCAGTTGTTAGGTATCTTTTTTAATTTCTGAATTTGTTCATTTGGGTCTTCCCTATGTGTTTTTATTTAGTTTAGCTAAAAGTTTGTCAATTCTGCTTATCTTTTTAAAAAACCAACTTTCATTTCATTGTTTGTACTTTTAAAAATATCAACTTCAGTTATGTCTGTTCTGATTTATGTTATTTCTTTCCTACTACTATTTCTGGGTTTGATTTGTTCTTGTTTTTCTAGTTCCTTGAGGTGCATCATAAAGTTGATTATTTGAAGTATTTTTACTTTTTTAATGTAGATGTTTATTAATGTAAACTTCCTTTTTAGTATTGCTTTTTCTATATTCCATAGATTTTGGTGTTTGTATTTACATTCTTATTTGTTTCAAGAAACTTTTAAATTTCCTTCTGAATTTCTTCCTTGACCCATTGGTTGTTCAGAAGCATGCTGTTTAATTTCTATGTGTTTGTGTAGTTTCTGAGATTCCTCTTGTTATTGACTTCTAGTTTTATTCCATTGTGGCAAGAAAATATACTTGAAATGATTTCTTCTTATTTGAATTTTTTGAGACTCATTTTGTGACCTATGATACATTATATTCTGGGGAATGTTCCCTGTGCTGATTGAAAGAATGTGTTCTGCAGTTGACGGGTGAAGTGTTCTGTGAATGTCAAATAAGTCTATTAGGTCTTGAGTGTAGTTTAACTCTGAGGTTTCTTTGTTGGCTCTATGTTTGGTTGATCTGTCCACTACTGAGTGCAGTGTTGAAATCCCCTACTAGTACTAATTGCCTACTGTGTGGCAATCTACCTCTCCCTTGGTAGATCTGTTTGCTTTATATACTTGGGTGCTCCGATGTTGGGTGCATAGATATTTATAGTTGTTATATCCTCTTGCTGAATTGACCCCTTTATCATTATATATTGACCTTCTTTATCTCTTTTTACGGTTTTTGACTAGTAGTCTATTTTATCTGTTATAAATATCGCTATTCTTGATCTTTTTTAGTGTATCTTTTTCCATCCCTTCACTTTCAGTATATATGTATTTTTATAGGTGAGGTGGGTTTCTTTTGGCAGCGTGTAGTTTGGTCTTGTTTCTTTATCAATTCAGCTATTCTGTGTCTTTTAATTGGAGGCTTGAATCCATTTATATCCATGTTATTATTGATGAGGACTTACTACTGCCATTTTGTTTCTTGTTTTCTAGTTGTTTTGTAACTCCTCTTTTCCTTTCTTACTGTCTTCCTTTTGCGGTTAAGATATTTTCTCTGGTAGTATGTTTTAATTCATTGCTTTTTTTATTTTAGTGTATCTATGATAGGTTTTTGCATTGTGGTTACTATGAAGCACACAAAAAACATCTTTTAGATAATACGAATTATTTAAAAAAATGACAACTTATCTTAGATCACAAGGGAAGAATAGAAACAAAGAAAGAAAAAACTAAAAAAAAAAAACTCTAAACTTTAACTCCATCCCTCCTCCCCATTTTGACACTTTGTTGTCTTTGTTGACATGTTTTAATGTTACCCATCTCTTAATAGGTTGCTTTAGCTATTCTCATTTTTGATAGATTTCTCTTTTGGGCTTTATACTAGAAGTAAGAGCAGATTGTACATTGAAATTACAGTATTGGATTTTTTTGAGTTGTCTTTGTACTTAATTTTACCTTAAGTTTTTCTTTTTTGCACGTTATTATTTTTTATTTCAGATTAAAAAACTCCCTTTAGCATTTCTGTAAGACAGTCTGATGGTGGTGAATTCTTTTGGCTTTTACTTACCTGGGAAAAACTTTATCTCTGCTTCATATTTGAAGGATAACTTTGCTGGATATAATATTGTTGGATGACAGTTATTTTCTTTCAGCACTTTGAAAATATTGTCCTACTCTTTCCCATCCTGCATGGTTTCTGTTGAAAAGTCTGTTGCCACACTAATTGGAATTCTTTTATATGTTATTTCTTCTTTTATCTTGCTGCTTTTAGGATTCTCCCTTTGCCTTGACTTTTGAGAGTTTGATTATTATATGCCTTGGGGTAGTCTTACTTGGATCAAATCTGGTATTCTCTGACCTTCCTGTATCTTAATATTTGTATCTTTCTCGAGTTTTAGGAAGTTTTCTGTTATTATTTCTTTAAATAAGCTTTCTGCCCCATGCTCTTGCTCAATACCCTCTTGAACACCAATAATCCTTAGATTTGGCCTTTTGAAGTAACTTTCTATGTCTCGTAGGTAATCTCCATTCCTATTCATTCTTTTTTCTTTTTTTCTCCTTTGACTGTGCATTTTCAAATAGCTTGCCTTTGAAATCACTGATTCACTGATTGTTTCCTCTGCTGTATCCATTTTGCTGTTGAGAGCCTCTACTGAATTTTTTCAGTTTTGCAAATGTATTTCTCAGTTCCAAGATTCTGATTTTCAAAATTATTATTTCAATCTCTTTGTTAAATTTCTCTGAGGAATTTCTAAATTTCTCTTCTGTGGTTTTTTTTTAGAGATCACTGAATGTCATTAAAACTACTGTTTTGAAATCTTGACTGGAGAGCTGACATATCACCGTCTTGTTAGGGTTAGCCACTGGTTTCTTGCGTTGTCCATTTGAGGAGGTCATGGTTTCCTGATTGTTGATTTTCTTGTGGATGTACATCTATATGTTCACATTGAAAGATTAGTTATTTATTCCAGTCTTCTCTCTCTAGCTTTAGTTTTTATTAGATATAGATGCTTGGAGATTCTTTGTAATTTACCTATTAAATTTCTTAATTTTTTCCCTGCTAGGTCACTGCCTCCTTTTTGATACTAGATGATATTGAAATCCCAGTTTTGCTCAGCTCTAACAAACGATTGGACCACTGTGTGTCCTGAGTGGGGCAGGTCTCAAGAGGGATATCCCAAAACAGTGTGGGAAGGCTGGCTGAGTTTCATGCTCAGAGGAACTTTGGAACATACCTGCTGTAACACGGTGCTGCTCAGCAGCCATTCTTTTGGCTGAGTTACAGAGCAGTTTTCACGGATGGGAGTGGGTGTTCCACCTTCTCCCATTGTTTCTGGCTGTCTTAAGGATATTTCTTCCTTCAGGCACTCATGATGCTTCCTGTGGGTTGAGGCAGGGACAGGCCTCCTACCAGAGAACTTAAGATGGTAGAGAAGCTTGTCAACCTCAGTTTCACTTTTTCTAGTGTAGAAACCATGAGTCAGGGGGAGTTTTTATGTGTTTGATGCTGGGCAGATTTCAGGAAGAGGTGCTGCAGACATGAAAATCTGATTGTCTTACCATCAGCATGGAGCTCTTTTCATTTCTCTGTGGCTCTGGGACCTGACTAGTACTCACAATTGAGTTCTGGGATATTATTAGTGATAATCTCAGTGCTGTATATATATTTTTTGGTTTTCTGTAGTGGAGAATGAAGTCAGCTTGCTTCTATGCCACCAGTTTGTAATCCAAGGAACTAATCTTATTAAGTCCCTACTGTTTTCCAAGCACAGTATTGTTTGCTTTACATATGTTCTCACATTTACTCTTCACTCATAAATACGGGAATTGATGCTCAGGATTTCACTTAATAAAATCATTTGATAAAAAATGGCAGAGACAAAATTTTAACTAGATCTATGTCCTATCCCCAAATTAATGCTTTGCCTTCTAAACCTTGTTGCTTTATCATTCACATCTTTATAGAAATAATTTTCTTATGGCAGTTAAGTATTATTTGGTGCCTTATTAAAAGTAGAACCATGCCCTCCATTAATTCTGCTGAGCCATGTTGATGTTTTATGCCAGATCATAAGGAAGGGGCAGAGTGGAGTATGGAAACAAGAGTATTATCTGACTTGGAAGACTTGGGGCCTGCTTTTCCCCTTGTTCTGACACTGAGAAAGAAACTGTTGTACTACTAAGATGGGGAAAGCCAACCACAGATATCTCAGATATGGCAGTATGATGGCTTTTCAGGAAAGGAGAGAAATTAACAAGACAGAAAAGTTATCTGTAGCAGTTTAACAAATAGCTTTAATGAAGTGAGGAGCAAAAAGTAAATATATATATATATATATATATATATATATATATATATATATATATATATATATATATATGCTCCTTCAGCAAGTGGGCAAGGTAAGATTTAAAAACATTTTGAGTAAATAAGATGAATAGGAGACCAGAGATTCATACTGGGCCAGTTTACTAAGACACAGAGATCCATGCTTCCCATTTTGAAAATACTGTCTTCCTTACAGAGTCTTCTACATTCATGCTGTAGAAGCTATGAAAGTCGTGGGAAACTATAGAGTCAACACTGCAAACTCAAGCACTGATACGTCCGGAGAGCACTTGACCTGCCTTAGAAGGTATGATATTGTGATTATACACATTAGATTTTATTCATGGTTTCTGCCTCATAACTCCCATAGCCCTTGTTATAATGTTGGGGTGCTTTAGGCCTCAGAAGTTGGCTTCAGAAAATAGAATCTCTCTCTCTGACCTTCTTCTGCTTGCCTTTCACCTGCTTCTTTTTCTCCCCCAGGCAGGCTTTTCAAACTAAAAATATACTCTATCCCTTACCTTTCTGTCTAGGAGCTGATCTTAAAGAAATTCTTTGACTTATCTTGTCTGATTGTGGGTCATAAGACCCTCATTTCAGAAGGGGTCCTGCTCCATACCTGAAGGAAGGAATGTATACAGAGAGGCCATGAAGAATCTGAACAGAAAAGGCCTGCTGAGTTTGTCCATTCAGTCTATTAGTATTAGATTATGCACTTTTTGTCCAGTTACATTTCTATACAGTTGTCAATTATCGCTGTCCAGTGAAGTGTCTGTAAAAGGATCAAGAGAACAGGGTTTGGAGAACTTCCAGGTAATTGAACACATGGAAGTTCCTGGAGGGTGCTGCACCCAAGAAGGCATAGAGGTTCTGTGCCCCTTTCTCCATACCTTGTCCTGTGCATATCTTCTATGTGGTGTATATGGGTATCCTTTGCAATATTCTTTATAATAAACTGGTCAACATAAGTTAAATGTTCCCCTGAGTTCTGTGAGCCACTTTAGCAAATTAGTGGACTCTGAGGAGGAAGTCAGAAGCACATGTAAAGCAACCTGGAGCTTGCAATTGGCATCTGAAAGGAGGGGACAGTCTTGGGAACTGAGCCTTCAACTTGTAGAATCTGACACTATTTCCAGGTAGACAGTGTCAGAATTGAACTGAATTAGAGGACACCTAGCTGATGTCTGCACAGAATTGCTTTCTTGCTTGTTTGGTGTCTGGGGACAAACAAACACCACACATTTGGTCACATAATTCTGTGTTTGTTGGTGTGACAGAAGAGGAAGGTCAGTTTGTGTTTTTTCCACTCAGGGAAGGTGAAGCTCCTTCTCAGCTCCAGCCCATTGCAGTTGTGGAAAAACTACCTCAGTTGCCAGATCTTCCCATTTCTAAGAGAAGCCCACATTTTCTACTGATATTTGGAATTGCCTTGTTTTTAGATATTGACAATAAATTTTTTAAATTTACAACCAAAGCTCAGAAAATTACCCAGTTCCAAGCTATATTAGGCCACAGCCCTCTGGTATTTGCCTGCAAAATAGATCTTAGGAGAGAAGGATACAAAATTGAAGCTAGTACCAGAAGAGGTTCAGGAGGAGTAAGGTGTGAACTGGGTGTACTGCCTTGGCAAGGTGGCCTGTGATTCCTGGCCCCACCAGTGCCTGTTTCTGGGTTGTCAGGAAGGACCTTATTTCAGATCCTAGTTTCTAAGCTCCTCTCCTACCCAAGGTGGGTCCCAAGGCAGCCCTCCACTGTCTGGCTTTAGATAAGACCCTATAGCAACAAGCCAATGGATGACCCTCTCAGACCTATTGTTATCTGTATGTGATCTTCAAGGCTGTGGTAGAGAATTCCCTTGTAAATAGAATGCAAAAGCAAGTGGGAAAATTTTCTTTTTTCTGTGTCAATCAATAGTGACCATTAGCCTTCTCCCCATCCCACAAAATGCCTCTTCCTTGCAAGAACAAGATACTGTAGCCTGGAACTTTGTTTGATGGAGATGAGGTACGTACTGAGGTGCCCTAGAATAAAGAAAAGTGGAAATCTCTCTGGATGAGATCCTCATGCTAGACTGTAGCCCAAGGACCAGCAACACTGACCACAGGAGTAGAAATGTTTATGATGCTTGACCTACATTGTCTGTCATTGATGTCTGTGCGCTTGGCAATTTGTATATGGTGATCAGACATCACCAGGTCTCATACCTGTACTCTATTATGAGTTCAAGACTCTCATGAAGTCAGTGAGAAGAATAGAAAGTAGGATGCTATATGATATTTGAACAGTATAGAACAGAGTATAAAATTTTTTTGTGTGTGCTATGAAAATTCTTTATCTGATACTTCTAACTTTGTCTTAATGTCTTTCATTCAGTGACTTCTGTTAAGTTTGCTCTTATATGGTCTGAGGAAATTGTGAAAGTGTGTTTTTTAAGCAAGGGAGAGAGTCAGTACAGAATTTCTGTTGAGTACTATTTACCTTTTTGGTGTATGAATGACTTTGATCATCAGTATAATGATTGCGATCTACAAAGATTGGATTTTATTTAGAATTTCTGGGAAAATACTAATGTCATAGCACATCACTGTGGAAGGAGTGCTGTAGAACTTTTTACAGAAACCTATTTAGCACTTTAAATGCCAGCAGATTTTTTAAGGGTTACCTAAACTATCAACAACCATAACAAAATCTGTTTTGCCACCCTACCATGGTGGCTGTGTAATTTGTAGATGAATTCTGGTCAGAAAGCTGAACTGACCTAAATATAAGTATATCCTTTGATGCCTAAATTGCATCTTGAATTTCTAATAACAGGATGGCACATATGAAATATTCGCAAGAGCCTACTAACATGCTTCATAGACTAGCACTTACTGGCTGTGGTGGATTGATATTGCTGTGTGTGATGTGTGAGATGTGTGAGCTTTCTCCTTTTATACTAGCAAACAATTTAGAAGAGTTTAGAAAGATTGAAACTGTCTGAATATTTGTGTCTGAATGAGAATTTTGGAATAAGACTGGTTTGTTTTTAAGAAAAAGATATTTAATAACACAATTATATCCCAATTCTTGTAACAAATGTCCAAAAGTCAATGGAAATTAATTTTTCTGTCCTCTGTACCCTTCATACCATTTTTTTAGAAAATGACTTTATCAGAGAATAGAAAAACAACAGGGTCAAAATAAAAACAAAAGATAATTCTTTGAAGAATTCAACAAAGTGACAAATCTTTAGCTAAACAAACTAAAAAAAGAAGAGAAGATACAAATAAATAAAATCAGAAATTAAAGTGGGAACATTTCTACTTACCTAACAGAAATAAAAATGATTACAAGAAAATAGTGTGGACAATTGTAGGCCACCAAATTAAATAGGCTGGATGAAATGGACAAATTGCTAAAAACACAGAATCTACCAAAACTGACTCAGAAAAAATTAAAATTCTGAACATATCTGTAACAACTAAAGAGATTGAATTAGTAATCAAAGTTGTTTTCTTTTCAACAAAGAAAAGTCCAGGATTAAATGGCCACAATGGTGAATTCTACCAAGCATTTAAAGAGCATTGACATCAGTTCCTTTCAAACTTTTTCCAAAACATAGAAGAGGAGGGAACTAACTGATCCTATGAAACCCACTTTAACCTGATAGCAGAGCCAGACAAAGATAACCACAAGAAAAGAAAACTAGGGATCAATGCCCCCTCTGAATATAGATACAAAAGTCATTAACAAAATACTAGCAATCTGAATTCAACAGCATATTGAAAAGATTGTACACCATGGCCAAGAGGGATTTATTGCAGGAATGCAAGGGTGGGTCAACATAAAATTCAATGTAATGTTACATTGAAAATTAATCAATGTAACACACCATGTTAATAGAACAAAGGAAAAATGCCACATGATCATCTCAATTGATGTTAAAAAATGCATTTTACATAATCCAAAACATTTTCATCATGAAGATACCCAGACAGCTAGAAACACTGGGGAACTTACTTAATATAATAAAGGGAATTTATGAAAAATGCTCAATGGTGAAAGACTGAACTTTCCCTCTAAGACCAGAAATAAGACAAGGATATCCAATTTCACCACTACTGTTCAAAATTGTACTGGAAGATCTAGCTAGGTCAATTAGGCAAGAAAAAGAAGTAAAAGGCATCCAAATTGGAAAGAAAGGAAGACATCCAAACTATCTTTTTTTACGGATGACATGATCCTATGTATATAGAAAATAAAAAAAAACTACTATAGCTAATAAATGAGTTACCAAAATCTTAGGGTACTAAATCAACACCAAAATCAGTGTGTTTCTACACAACAACAATGAACAATCTGAAAAGGAAATTAAGAAAATAATTCCATTTACAACAGCTTCCAAAAGAATAAAATACCTAGGAATAAATTTAACCATGGAAATAAAAGACTTGTACACTGAAAATTACAAAACATTGCTGAAACAAATCAAAGAAGAACTAAATAAATGAAAGGACTATGTTCATGAATTAAAATGCTTAATATTGTTAAGATGCAATACTACCCAAAGTGATCTATAAATTCAATGAAATTCTTATGAATATTTTAACAGCCTTTTTTTAATTTACAGAAATGAGAAAGTTAACCCTCAAAGCCATATAGAATTGCAAGGAGCTCCAAAATGCCAAACAATATTGAAAAAGAAGAATAAAATTGGAGGACTCATAATTTCTGACTTCAAAACTTAACTATAAAGCTACAGTGATAAAAACACTGTAGTACTGTATAAAGTAGACATAAAAAATCAATGGAAATAAACCAATACATATATGGCTAATTGATTTTTGACAAAGATGCCAAGACTATTCAATAGGAAAAGAATGGTCTCTTCAATAATGTTTCTGGGATAAGTACACATGCACACACAAAAGTGAAATTGGACTCCTACTTTACACCATATGCAAAAATTAACTCAAGATGGATCGGTGGCCTGCATGTAAGTGCGAAACCTTAATACTCTTAGAAGAAAACATTGGGGTAAGTTTTTATGGCCTTGGGCTCAATAATGGATTTTTAGATAGGACACCAAAAACTTCAGCAACCAAAGAAAAATGAAATAAATTGACCTTCCTAAAAATTAAAATCCTTTGTGCATCAATGAATATTATCAAGAAAATGAAGACAATTCATAAGATGGGAGAAAATATTTGCCAGTCATATATCTCATAAGGGTCTAGTATCTATATTACATAAAGAACTCTTACAACTCAAAAAGAAAAAGACAGACAGCCCAATTTTTAAATGGCCAAAGGACATGAATAGATATTTCTCTAAAAGAATATACAAATGTTCAATAAGCACTTGAAAAGATATTCAAAATCATTCATCATTAGTTATTAGGGAAATGCAAATCAAAACCACAATAAGATAGCATTTCACATCCACTAGGAAGACTATAATTTTAAAAAATGGAAAGTAGCAAGTGTGGACAAAAATGTGGGGAAACTGGAAACTCTACTATTTGGCTGGTGGAAATGAAAAATGGTTTAGCGACTTTGGAAAACATTTTGATTGTTCCTCATAAAAATAAGTAGGTTTACCATATGACCCAACAATTCCACTCCTGGATATAAATGCCAAAGAATTTAAAATAGGTGTTCAAACAAATCTATGTACATACATGTCCACAGCAACACTATTCACCATAGCCAAAAGGTGGAAACAACCTAAATGTTCAGCAACAGATGATGGATAAACAAATTGTTGTGTATGCATACAACGGGATATTATTCTGCTATAAAAAAGAATGAAGTGTTGATACATGCTACAATGTAGATGAACCTTATCAGCATTATGCTAAGTGAAAGAAGCCAGACACAAAATGTCCCATAGTATATGACTTTATTTATATGAAATATTCAGAATAAGTAAATCCATAGAGATAGAAAACAGATTGGTGGTTGCCAGGGGCAGTAAGATGGGGAATTAGGTATTACTACTTAATGGGCATGGAATTTCTTTTAGATGGTGAAAATATTTTGGAACTAGATAAAGAATATAGTTGCCCATCGTCATGAATGTACAGGAAACCAGTAAGTTGTACACTTTAAAATGGCTAACTTTACATTATGTAAATTTTACCTCAATTTTTAAAAATCTACTTAGGAATGATTCTCATGTACTAAAATGCACCCAATTTAAATGCATGTCAATAAATTTTGACATATATACAATTTCATGTAACAACCACCTCAATCAAAATATAGAACATTTCTATTCACCTGAAAAGTTTCTTTGTGCTCCTTTTCAGTCATACTACCACCTTGAACTCCTAGCCGGACAAACACTGATCTTTTTTTCTCACACCATATATTAGTTTTTCTTATACTAAAACATTTATAAATCAAGTATGTGCTTACTTTTTGAAGGCTAGCTTCTTTCACAGTATGTGAGATTTGTCCAATTTGTTGATACATCAGTAATCCATTCCTTTTTAATCCTAAACAGATTCCATTGTATGACTAAGACACAATTTTTTTACTCAGCTATCTATTTGTGTTGTTTCCAATTTTTGGCAATTATGAATAAAGCTTTGATGAACATCTGTGTACAAATCTGTGGTTGGTATGTTTTTATTTCTTTTGGGTAAATTCCTACAAGTGGAATTGCCAGATCATAAGGTAAGTATATATATGTTTAGCCTTTTTTTTTTTTTTGTTTGAGTCAGAGTCTCATTCTGTTGCCCAGCCAGGCTGGAGTGCAGTGACATGATCGCAGCTCACTGCAACCTCTGCCTCCTGGGTTCAAGAGATTCTTGTGTCTCAGACTCCTGAGTAGCTGGGATTACATGCATGTGCCACCAGCCCAGCTAATTTTTGTAATTTTAATAGAGACAGTGTTTCGCCATGTTGGCCAGGCTGGTCTTGAACTTTTGGCTTCAAGTGATCCACCCACCTTCGCCTCCCAAAGTGCTGGGATTACAGGCGTGAGCCACCATGCCCAGCCTGCTTTATTTATTTATATTTTTAAGCCAGCCTTTTTTCTGAATACTTGAAACATTTTACACTCCATCAGTTGGGTATGAGTGTCATATGTTCCAAATCCTCACCAAGAGTTGGTATGATCAGTCTTTAATTTTAGACATCATAAGAGGTGGGTAGTTGTATCTCATTGTGGCTTTAATTTGCATTTCTATAATGTTATATGATGTTGAGCTTATTTTTACATTCATTTGCTATCCATATGTCTTTGGTGAAGTATCTGTTCAAATTTTTGGCTCATTTTACAATTTTTTTTTATTATTGAGTTTTAAGAGCCCTTTATATATTCTGGCTACAAGTTCTTAATTAAATATGGGATTATTCAAATATTCTCTCCCAACTTATGGCTTGTCTTTTCCCTCTGTTGAAAGTATTTCAAAGAGCAGATGTTCTTAGTTTTAGTGAAGGCCAATTTATCTTTTTTTTCTTTTACATTGTGCTTTGGTGTCTTACCCAAGAAATCTTTGCCTAATTCAGCATCACAAATTTATTACTCTGTGTTTTTTTTCTAGATGTTTCATAGTTTTAGATTTTACATTTGGCCTGTGAGGTATTTGGAATTAATTTTTGTATAGAGTATGAAGTATGGATGGAAGTTTCTCTGTGTATAAAGTATCTGGGTTATTTTTTGTTGTTATTTTTCCTGGCAGCTTTTAAGATTTTTTCTCATTATTATTTTTATTACTGGGTTGTAGCATTGTGATTTTGATATGCCTTAGTATGGTTTTCTTTTATTTTACTGCTTGCAGTTTTTTGGTTCTTGAATTTGTGGATTGACATTTGTAATCATGCTATTGTAAGAGATATTGATACTTTAATTTCAATTTTCAATTATTTGTTGCTGGTGTGTAAAAATAAAATTTGATTTTTATATATTGATCTTGTACCCTGCAATATACTAAACTGACTTGTTAGTTCTAGTAGTGTTTTCATAGATTCTGTAAGTTTTCCTTCAGAGAGAAACAAACCCATTGTCTGTGAACAAAGACAGTTTACATCTTCCTTACATTCTGTTTGTCTTTAATTTCTTTTTTTTTGTGTGTTATTGCCCTGACTCCAACCTCTGTTACCATGTTAAATAGAAGTGGTGAGACCAGATTTCCTCACCTTGTTCCTGATGTTACAGGGAGCAGTTTTTTGTATGGGCCTAATTTTGCCTCACTATTAAGGCAAAACTTTTCTTAGTACTCTACCCAATGTGTTGTGAGTTATTAGTTTTTCCAGTCTGAATAGTGAAAACAGGCACTAGTCCTGGCTCTGCTGGAGATCCAGAGAGTTTTCCTTCTAATCTTTTAGGATGTTTTTCCTCTTGATCTTAGGTAGTTCCTTTACATGGATATACTGATAAGTATTTAGTTGATGATTTGAGAGGGATTGTCCAGAGGTCTCTCTTTGTGCAGTTCTATCCTTGCTGGTACTCTATTCTGCAAACTCTAGCTCTGTGGCCTCCCTGAACTCCCAGTTCTTTCTCCTCAGGGCGATCTCCTGACATCCTGGCTTTCCAATATTTGTAACACAACCTTAAGACTCTCTCCAGGCAATAAGTTAGGGTAATCATAGGGTTCATTCACCTCCTTTGTTTGAGGTTTCTCTGGGTTCTCTGTTCTTCATTGCCTGATGTCCAATGCCCCTAAATCATTGTTTCATATATTTTGTCCATTTTGTGATTTCAGGCATGACGGTGAATGTAATCCCAACTTATCACTGTTGAAAGCAGATGTCCCAAATATCTTTTGTTATTTCTTTCTCATTTATTTTTGTTGTGGCCAAAAAACATAATCTGTATTATTGTGATACTTTAAATTTATTGAAACTAGTTTTATGCCCTATCATGTGATTTCTCTTGATGAATGTTCCATTTACTTGAAATGAATGTATCCTCTGAACATTATAATGTGTGTAATGTTCTATAAATGTCAATTAGATCAAGCTGGTTGATAGGGTTTTTTTGTGCCTTCTCTACACTACTGTTTGTTAAGAAGACATCCTTGCTGAGTCAATAAGAAGTTAGCTAACAGCACTGTTCCATCAATCACTGAGAGAGAAGAATTGAAATCCTGAATATAGTACTGGATTTGTCTTATTTCCCCTTTTAATTCTTTCAGTTTTGCTTCATATATTTCAAGTTTCTATGTTAGGTGCATAGACAATTAGTATTGCTATGTCTTCTTGAGGAGTTGACTTCTTTATCATTATAAAATGTCTCTTTTTTCTTTAGTAATATTTATTGTTCTGAAGTCTACTTTTTCTGAGTATTATAGCCAACTTATTTTTCTTATGATTTGTATTTTATGGTACACTTTTTACAAAATCTTACTTTTAACTTTTTTTTTTTTTTTTTTTTTACCATGTTTGTATTAGTCCTTTTTCATGTTGCTGATAAAGACATACCCAAGACTGGGAAGAAAAACAGGTTTAACTGTATTTAAAGTTCCACATGGCTGGGGAGGCCTCAGAATCATGGTGGGAGGTGAAAGGCACTTCTTACATGGTGGCAGCAAGAGAAAATGAGGAAGATACACAAGCAGAAACCCCTGATAAAACCATCAGATCTCACAAGACTTATTCACTACTGCAAGAACAGTGTGGGGGAAACTGCCCCCATGATTCAAATTATCTCTCACTGGGTCCCTCTCACAACATGTGGGAATTATGGGAGTACAATTCAAGATGAGATTTGGGTGGGACACAGAGCTAAACCATATAATTCCACCCTGGCCCCATCCAAATCTCACGTCCTCACATTTCAATACCAATCATGCCTTCCCAACAATCTCCCGAAGTCTCAACTCATTTCAGCATTAACCTAAAAGTCCACAGTTCAAAGTTTCATCTAAAGCAAGTCCCCTCCACCTATGAGCCTGTAAAGTCAAAAGCAAGCTAGTTACTTCCTAGATACAATGGGGGATACAGGTATTAGGTAAATACGGCTGTTCCAAATGGGAGAAATTGGCCAAAACCAAGTGGTTACAGGGCCCATGCAAGTCCGAAATCCAGCAGGGCAGACAAATATTAAAGCTCCAAAATGATCTCCTTTGACTCCACATCTCACATCCAGGTCACACTGATGCAAAAGGTGGGTTCCCATGGTCTTGGGCAGCTCCGCCCTTGTGGCTTAGCGGGGTAAAGCCTTCCTCCCAGCTGTTTTCACAGGCTGGTGTTGAATGTCTGTGACTTTTCCAGGCAAACGGTGCAAGCTGTCAGTGGATCTAACATTCTGGCATCTGGAGGATGGTGACCCTTTTCTCACAGCTCCACTAGGCAGTATCCCAACAGGGACTCTGTGTGGGGGCTCTGACCCCACATTTCCCTTCTGCACTGCCCTAGCAGAGGTTCTCCATGAGCGTCCTGCCCCTGAAACAAACTTCCACCTGGGCATCCAGGAGTTTCCATGTTCTGAAATCTACGTGGAGGTTCCCAAACCCCAATTCTTGACTTCTGTGCACTCTCAGGTTCAATACTATGTGGAAGCTTCCAAAGCTTGTGGCTTCCACCCACTGAAGCCACAGCCTGAGCTCTACGTTGGCCCTTTCAGCCATGGCTGGAGTGCCTGGGATGCAGGGCGCCAAGTCCCTAGGCCACACACAGCACAGGGACCCTGGCCCTGGCCCAGGAAACCATTTTCTCCTAGGCCTCCAGGCCTGTGATGGGAAGTGCTGCTGTGAAGATCTCTGACATGCCCTGGAGACATTTTTCCCACTGTCTTGGGGATTAACATTTGGCTCCTCATTACTTATGCAAATTTCTGTAGCTGGCTTGAATTTCTCCTTAGAAAATGGATTTTTCTTCTTTCCTTTTTTTTTTTTAAGACCGAGTTTTGCTCTTATTGCCCAGGCTGGAGTTCAGTGGTGGCACGATCTCGGCTCACTGCAACCTCTGCCTCCCGGGTTCAAGGGATTCTCCTGCCTCAGCCTCCTGAGTAGCTGGTATTACAGGCGCCCACCACCACGCCACCTGGCTAATTTTTTTATTTTTAGTAGACACGGGATTTCATCATGTTGGCCAGGCTGGTCTCAAACTCCTGACCTCAGGTGATCCACCCACATTGGCCTCCCAAAGTGCAGGGATTACAGGTGTGAGCCACCATGCCCAGCTGGATTTTTCTTTTATATCACATTGTTAGGCTGCACATTTTCTGAACTTTTATGCTCTGCTTCCCTTATAAAACCGAATGCCTTTAACAGCACCTAAGTCATCTCTTGAATGCTTTGCTGCTTAGAATTTCTTCCTCCAGATACCCTAAATCATCTCTCTCAAGTTCAAAGCTCCACAAATCTCTAGGGCAGGGGCAAAATGCTGCCAGTCTCTTTGCTAAAACAGAACAAGAGTCACCTTTGCTCCAGTTCCCAAAAAGTTCCTCATCTCCATCTGAAACCACCTCAGCCTGGACCTTATTGCCCGTATCACTATCAGCATTTTGGTTAAAACCATTCAACACGTCTCTAGGATGCTCCAAACTTTCCCACATCTTGCTGTTTTTCTTCTGACCCTTCCAAACTGTTCCAATCTCTGCCTGTTACCCAGTTCCAAAGTTGCTTCCACATTTTTGGGTATATTTTCAGCAATGTCCCATTCTACTGGTACCAATTTCCTGTATTAGTCCAATTTCACACTGCTGATGAATACATACCCAAGGCTGGGAAGAAAAAGAGGTTTAATTGTACTTACAGTTTCACATGGCTGGAAAGGCCTCAGAATCATGGTGGGAGGTGAAAGGCACTTCTTACATGGCAGCGCCAAGAGAAAATGAGGAAGATGCAAAAGTGGAAACCCCTGATCAAACCATCAGATCTCTTGAGACTTATTCACTACCGTGAGAACAGTATGGGGGAAACCGTCCCCGTGATTCAACTTATCTCCCACCAGGTCCTTCCCACAACATGTGGGAATTATGGGAGTACAATTCAAGATGAGATTTGGGTGGGAACACAGAGCCAAACCATATCAATGTTCATGTTTTCTTGTAGCTTCTTCAACATATGGAATATATCTATAACAATTAAATGCATGCTAATTTCAACATCTCTATCATTTTGGTGTCTGTTTCTATTGACTAATTTGTTTTTCTTCATTATTGGACACATTTTCCTGCTTCTTTGCATGTCTTCAATATTCAGTTGGATGCTGGACATTATGCTCAACAATGTGACAGTCTTCCTTGAAAACTTTAAGAGTATTGGTGTTTACTTGGGCAAGCAGCTACCTTATTTGAAAATAAGTTTGATAATTTTAAGGCTTGTTTTTAAACTGTGTTACAGTGGGTCTAGCATAGCCTCTACAGCTTGTTTACCCTTACTCTGAAGGCACAGTCTTTTTGGGTGCTTTATGAATGTTTCTTGTCTTCTAAATAATCTCTTTCCCCTGCCTGTTCAGAACTCAAATGTCTCTTAGTCCTGTGTGAGCCGTAGTAGTTTTTCTGTTAATAGTACCCCGGTAGCTTTTCTCTCCCTGGTAGTTGTTTTTTGCCTGACTTAAAGGAGTTTTGCCCTACTTTGCCTTCCTATTCAGCCAAAGGCACAGGTAACCTATGTGCAGATTTCTGGAGTTCTTTTTTGGAGCTTCCTCCTCTTTAGAACTCTGAACTATAATTTCTGTTTCTCACTCTCACAATGTTTTATTTATTTTTTTTGTTGTAAAAATCACCTCACATAAAATTAGCCCTATTAATACATTTTTAAGTGTAAAGTATTTTTAACTATATGTGCATTGTTGTACAGCATATCTCTAGAACTTTTCCATCTTGCATTGCTGAAACTCTATATCCATTGCACAGCAATTTTCCACTTCCCCCTCCTCACACCCTTGTAACCACCATTTGACAATTTGCTTCTATGAGTTTAACTAGTTTAGATACCTCATATAAGTAGAATCATGCAGTATTTGTGCTTTTGTGACTGCTTTATTTCACTTGGGATAATGCTTTTTTCCACAAGAGTTTGAGAAGGATTGGCATTAACTTTTTAAGTGTTTAATAGAATTCTCCAGTGAATCCTTCTGGTCTTGGGCTTTTCTTTGTTGGCAAGTTTTTGGTTACCGATACAAACTCCCTACTTATTGTAGGTATAGTCTTGTATTATATTTGATCAAGATTCAGTCTTGGTAGGTTGTATATTTCTAGGAATTTGTCTATTTCTTCTAAGTTAGACAATTCATTCACATATAATTGTTCATAGTGGTCTTTCATAATCTTTTTTATTTCTGTGACATCAGCTGCAATGTCTTTTATTTTTGAGTTCATTTATTTAAGTTTTCTCATTTTTTATAGTCTTGCTAAGTAAGAGTTTGTCAATTTTGTTAATATTTTTAAGAAATCCTTAGTTTTGTTGATTTTTTCTTACTGTCTATTCTGCTATTTAATTTATTTTTTCCTAATTGTTATTATTTTCATCCTTCTGCTAACTTGGGGCTTTATTTGTTCTTCTTTTTCTAATTTTTTTGAGGTGTAAAGTTAAGCTGTTTATTTGAGATTTTTTTTAATGTAGGCATAAAAGTTCTTTCTTAGTACTGATTTTGCTGCATCCCATAAATTTTGGCATGTTGTGTTTCCATTTTCATTTGTCTCAAGGTAATTTCTAATTTTCCTTTGGTTTATTCTTTGACTCAATTGTTATTCAGCAGTATGTTAGTTACCACATATTTGTGAATTTTTCAGTTCTTTCTTCTGCTATTGTATTGTAGTTACATTTCATTGTAGTTGGGAATAATACTTGGTATGATTACAATCTTAAATTTGTTAAGGCTTGCTTGTGATCTGAGGTGATTCATCCTGGAGAATCTTCTGTGTGCTCTTGAAAAGAATATGGATTCTGCTTCTCTCGGATGGAATGTTCTGTATATGTCTGTTAGGTCCAGTTGGTCTATAGACTTGTTCAAGTTGTCTTGTCCCTTATTAATCTTTTATCAGGTTTGTTGTATCCATTATTGAAAGTGGGGTATTGAAATCTCCTACTATTATTGCACAAGTATTTCTCCCTTCAGTTCTGTCAATGTTTGCTTCATATATTTGGATGCTCTGATTTGGGTGCATACAAACTTATAATTGTTCTATTTTCTTGATTAATTAATCTTTTTGTGGTTATATATTGTTCTTCTTTGTCTCTTATGACAGATTTTGACTTAAATCCTATTTTGTCTGACACAACTATGGTCACATCTGGTCTTTTTCAATTACCATTTAAACAGATTATCTTTTCCCATCCTTTTACTTTCAGTCTATGCATGTCCTTAAATCTAAAATTGGTCTCCTATAGACAGTATATAGTTGAATCTTTTTTCAAAATCCATTCAGTGACTTTATGGCTTATTTGAGGAGGTTAATCCATTTATATATAAAGTAATTACTGATAGTAAAGTACTTATTATTAACATTATATTAATTATTTTATGTTTATCTTGTAGATTTTTGTCCCTTGTCTCCTCCTATCTTTCTTTGTGTTTCATTGATTTTATTTTTCAAGTGGCACATTTTGATTATTTTCTCTTCTGTACTTTTTATAGATGTTTTCTTTGTGGTTACCATGGGACTTACATAAACTATCTTATATTTATGACAATCTATTTTATGTTGATAACAACCTTAACATCAATTGCATACAAATACTGTATTATCTTACTTCTACTACCCCACATACTTTATATTATTGATTTCCCAAATCACATCTTTTTATATTGTGTATCTATTAACATTTTAGTTATATTTATTTTTCATACTTTTATTTTTTTAATTAAATACCAGAGTTAAATGTTATTTATTCACCATCATTACAGTATTTCAGTATTCTGCATTTGTCTATATATTTACCTTTTCCCATGAGTATTATACTTCCATATTCTTTCATGTTGCTTTCTAGCATCCTTTTATTTCAACTTGAAGGACTCTCCTTAGCGTTTCTTGTGAGGCAGGTCTAATGGTGATGAATTCTTTCAGCTTTGGTTTATCTGGGAAAGTCTTTATTTCTCCTTCATTTCTGAAGGACACCTTGTCAGATAGCATATTTTTAGTTGGAAGTTTTAACCTTTTAGTACTTTGAATATATCATCCCACTTCCTTCTGGCCTGCAAGGTTTCTGTTGAGAAATCCACTGATAGTCTCATGGGGGCTCCCTTGGACATGACTCTTTTCTCTTGCTGCTTTCAAAACTCATTCTTTGTCTTTGAATTTGACAATTATACTGTGTCTCATTGTGATCTTTTTTAAAATTTTTAATTTGTATTATTTTTTACTTAATTGATGTACATAATTGATGTATATGTTTATGGGGTACATGAGATACTTTGATTCAGGAATGCAATAAGTAATACTCGCATCATGAAAAATGAGGTATCCATATCCTCAAGCATTTATCATTTATGTTATAAACAATCCACTTATACTCTTTTAGTTATTACAAAATGTACAATTAAATTATTGTTGGCTATAGCCACCCTGTTGTACTATCAAATGCTAGGTCTTATTCATTCTGTGGGTTGGCTCTTCACTTTTCTTTATAATGTTCTCTGATGCACAAAAGCTTCTAAATTTTGATGAAGTCTAATTTATATTTTCTTTTGTTGCTTGTGCTTTTGGGGTCATGTCTAAGAATCTGTTGTCAAATCCAAGCTCATACATATTTATCCCTATGTTTTCTAGATTTTATAGAGTTATATAGATTCTCAAATTTAAGCTTTTTATCTATTTTGAGTTAATTTTTTTATGTGATGTGAGGTAAGAGTTCGACTTCATTCTTTTACATGTAGTTATCCAGTTGTCCCACTGCTATTTGTTGAAAAAAGTATTCTTTCCTTATTGAATGGTCTTGGCTCCCTTGTCAAAATCAATTGACCATAGATGTATGGTTTTATTTTTGGATGCTCCATTCTATTCCGTTTATCTATATGTCTTTTCTAATGCCATTACCACACTGTTTTGATTACTATCTTTGTCATACATTTTGAAATTATAAAGTATTATTTCTCGAACTTTATTCTCTTTATTCAGAGTTGTTTAGACTATTTGGTATTCTTTGCAATTACATATGAATTTTAGGATCAACTTGTGCAGTTTTGTAAAAGAGGCAGTTGGAATTTAAAGAACTGCATTAAATCTGTAGATTACTTTGGGTAGTTTTGCCATCTTAACAATATTAAGTCTCCCAATTCATGAATATGGAATGTCTTCCTATTTATTTAAGTCTTCTTTAATTTCTTTCAACAATGTTTTCTAAGAAAAAATATTACACAATATTTATTTTTTTTACATTTAATTTTTACAGATTTGAAAACAATTTGTAGCCAACTTCAGTATGAATCAAAGCATTGTTTTAAAAGGAAAGATTCCTTCTGACATTAAATTGCATTTTCCAAGAACCAGCAACATCAACCATCCAGACTTTAATTATGGAATCACAGGTGCAACTGCGTATCTCCTCAGTAGAGGACAGGAAGATTTGTGTGACTGGGACTTTATGGATTTGGCATCTCCTGCAAGATGTGTGTCCAACTCCTGGGAATACTGTAGCATGATTATAGAATTGGTTTCTATTGTCTGTTTTCTGTTTGTTGCTCTCTCATAAGTTAAGAATCTTGGATTTCAAGTCTATAGTGTAACACTCTTGTTCATAATTTCTTATTTAAAAAAATGTTTAAATATTTCTATATTAAGTATTTTTTCAAACTATTTGGGCTTGCTATTGAACAAATGTTCTCTTTGTATTGTATATTTTGAAGGTGCTAAAAAGCATCACTAAAACATTTTGGAATATAACAGAAAGATGGTTAATACATTATACTGACTACTTTTTTCTCAATTAAGATATACAAATCTTTTATATTTAGTAATCAGAAAGGCAATAAAGCATATGTACCTTACCTCTTCACCATCCTATGTTGAATTCCTTTTCAATATGTTCTTTGATAAGAGTAAAAATTTAAATAGTCTTTGGTGAGATATTGCATTATGCTATTCTTTTCTTCTGGGCATGGGGATAATTTTTTTAAAAAAATCCAAGCAGTTTAGTCCTACAGGGGAAAGTTTTCCATTCTTGCTAAGTTTATTTATAACTAGAAGTCAGATACCAACTACATCTACCCTGGAAAAAAAATCTCAAGCAAAAGAGAGCTGCCTCAAAGGAATTTGTAAAATATGTGTGCATAGATAGGTCATCTGTTTATAAAGTACTGGGAAAAGGTAGAGAATACAGTCAATCCTCAGATGCTTTGGAAATCTGAAACATAAACAAAAGTCTTTTGAAAGTCACATTGGTATATATACCACCGCTTAATGGAAGAATAACTCAGCATTGATGTGAGTGGGATTATGGTCTCAGATGTGAATTCTGGAAATATTAACTTTTAGCTAGTATATGTGGTAGTGAAAGATTATAAATTTGGAGTCAGGAGCTTTAGGCTGATTCCCAGTTCTACCACTGGTGGCTTATGGTCATCATTTAGCCAAACCTTGGTCAACTTCCTGCAATAAACACTTCTGGTTTCAAAAGTTAATCTTACTTTATGGATATGGAAAGTGAGATTCTGAGAGATTAAGTAATTGTCTGATGTCCCACAGGTGATAAGCCATGTCTTCAGGTCTTTTGGATCCCAGGACCCAAGATTTTTAAAAATGTTTCCGCATAAGTGCTGGCATCGTAGGGAGCCAAATAGATTTTCACATTAATTTATCTGTTTGTCCACCTGTCTACCTGCATGTGGGCAACTTGATTAGAAGTCGATTTAAAAGAAAAAATAGATACTGGCTTTGAAAATGTAATCACTGATAAACACTATTCTTATGTTTTAGTGATATATCTATTCTCTCTAATTACATGACTTAATATCTTCCCCCACTATGAGGCCAAGAAAGAATAAACATGTACTTAGGACATATATATAAATTCTAATAGAAAATATAAAAGGCGAGATAAAAGGCATTAATGTTTTAGTATTGTCACTGAGCTTCTTTTAGGTTTTAGATATGTTTGCTCTGTGCTATGAATGAAGACGGGTTAAAAAGAGTCCTAGAGGCTTAAATGGAAGTGAATGAGATGTCTTATTGCTGTACATCATTGGTTTTGTTTTTATCTGGTGTTGAGTTGGCTCATTAAGTTCTGTGTTCCAAGTGTTTATTTGTCTATTGTCACTTTCCAGTCAGCTCTTTGTAGCCTACAGAAATGGAAGAGTGGATGAAGCAGTCTCTCTGGGTTTTCTGGATTGCTGGATAGGTGGAGACCTGACAAATTTCAAAGGCTGCTACCTGACTAACCAACTGCCTATTCAGGTAAAAGTTTCTCCAGATTTATCTTCAAAACAGTGAAGGTTCTGGGTTATGTGTGTATGGAGGGCTTCATGTGTAGAGTTGACAAATTTAGCAAACAAAATACAGGATACCCGGTCAAATTTGGATTTCAGAAAAACAACAAATACTTTTTTAGTATAGACCTGCTCTAAATATTGCATAAGTGTTCTGTGTCTGACAACCCTCTTAATGTGGCAAATTTTTTTATAGTAGAATAGAAGTCTGTCTGTTTTCAGATATATTTTTAAAGTCTACATCCAGTTTTAATTCCTTTTCTTCATACAGTTTTAATATTTTCTTGCCTCAAGGTAGCTGAACATGATATGTTGCCATTAGCGGATTCTTATTCTTTTCTATACTAAGGTTGAACAATAATCCACTGTTGCTGACACATAGTTTACAATGAGAGTCATGATTAAAAATATAGTCAGTGGCTATAGACAAATATTTCTACAGTAGTATTCAAATGAAAAAAATAAAGTGGAATATTTGTAACCTTTTAGAATACTTTGTTAATGTTTTTAATCATGTAAATGACTTTGTCACCTTCATACACTATCCTATATATATTGCATAATGGTGGCCTTGGATTTTATGTTTATGGATGTCCATCTTTATCTACCACTCCAGATTTTTACAGCCATCTTCGACATGAACACGGATGTAATCATACTCTCACAATTCATGTACTACAGGTTAAAGAATCAGAAGAAAAAAATGTAAGATTGATAATAGTTCACTCAAATACTTCTGTCTGTAATAGAACATTTTCTCATTTAAAAACTGATAGAGCATTTTCGAGTTATTTTTAATGAGTAAGGCGTATTTTGATAAGACATAACATTTCTCTCAACCATCTAAGTGAGTCCTTTGAGAATTTTCAGATGTGGCATATTTAGATTCCATGTTATTACCTTTTTTTTTAATTGGTATGTGTCATTGGACACATTAACACATCTATGTTATTGGAAAATAAACAGAAATGATTAATCAGAAAAAGGAAAGAGAGATTGGCAGGAATAGTCAAATGCTTTTAGAGGTTCCTGCAGGTGATAGGCAGTACCACTTTTCTCTTGTGGCTAATCTAAAAACATATCCTCCACAGGATAATAGCCACAAATAGTTTTTAAGTGCTTACCATTTGTCACTCGCATTGTAACTTATTTAATCTTCATATCGCCCATTGGGACAGGCACTATTTTAATGTTCAGAGGCTGGTGCAGAATAGGCCTGCAATATAGATTTGCTGAATAACTGAATATTATTTTTATTTTTGCTTTGTCTGCTGTGTTTTTAAATGACTGTTTCTTCACGTGTGTATTTATGAGCCAGCCCAACAATGAAATTTGCTTTTAGCTATGTACCTATGAGAGTGGCTCCATTTTTCCCCTTGGGATGGGTGGAGCGTATTTCTCTACTGCCCCCTGGTGGTTGTAACTATTACAAGGGTGGGAACAGCTACTCAAATCTACAAATCAAATACAAATCCCACTGGATACTAGAGTGGGGAAGGCAGGAAGATGACCCCCAGTTGTGTACCAGGCATGGTGAAAGACCTTTTATATGTGCTCCTTGAACTCGCTTATTTTCCATGGCAAACTCATTTATACAATTGAGGAAATCGAGGCATCCACAAATTGGACTGAGGTCACATAGCCAGCTGGTAGAGGGATTAGATTTCAAAATCAACCTAAAGTGATATGAGGTATATATCAAGCTGATTTACAGTGTAATTGGTGTCATGTGACTCATAAGCTCTATAAGAACAGGGACTGTCTCAATCTTCTTCCAGACTGAGTACGTAGCCGACATTCGGCAAATAGTGGTGGAATGAATGAATTGTGAAATATATGGAAATCTCCAGTAAAGCATTTGGTACTTAAAGGGCACACAATCAGTTCCCTCCCCTGTGTTGCCCGCTACCCCCACCAAACCTACTTTAAGTATATTAACTAAATAATGGCACCAAGAACTAAAATAAAGGAGCCATTTGGTAAAAGGTCACTAAGATAAGGGACATATATATATAAATAGTCACCACCATAACTAGTTTAATCTATCTGGAACTAATCCTGAATTTCTGTGGCAAACAGTCTAAAACAGTATGACAGCCCAGCTCTCTTCAATTTACTCCCTCAGGGCTAAATTGAGCAACTCACACAGTTTATGAGATTTCTGGAACAGAGTTTTGCTTAGCTGCAATATCTTCTGTGGGCAAAGTAGACTGAATTTGGAATGCTGTTAAACTTAGGGTCAATGCAGAGTTCAAAAAAAATTAAGTTTCACCAGGGAACATGTGCTCGATGGGCTATCCAACCTGGAATGTTGAGGGATAAAGCAAATCCTTCAAATATAAAATGTGTCTGAAGGTAATTTTTTATTGAAGTCTATTGTCTTAACATGTGGTTGTAATATATGAGAAGCCATGAGCCCTACCTTTGCAGTTATAACTCTACAAATGTTTTAAAATAAATGCTTCATCAGTTTTTATGTTAAACAAGTGGGAATGATTTAGCCAGAATGTTGCAGTCAGATATCTGTGTGTCTGATGTCTGCTGATGCTAACCCTGGTACGGATGCAACATAACTAAGAAATTAAAAATAGAATATAGAGGTTAAAGCTGCATGGACCTACCCTGCCCCTACCAACCCATGGTAGATGATTGTCTGGTTTATAAGGAGACATGTTTCCTACTTAAACATAGACTTTTGTATGTTTGTTAGCTTGTGGTTTTTGGTTTTTTCTTTCACTTTTACTAAGATTCTTCATCCCAGTGTTTCCTAGCTTCCTGAATGAGAGTGTTCAATTTGACCACCACTCCTGGAAGTTCTCAAGCTTTTATCATTAACTGATAGAGTAAGAACATAGCCAGCCACTGCCCATGGAGAATGAGTCACTCTGCTCTGTGTATTTAACAGTTATGGATCAGGTGCTTTTTGATTTTTTCCTCAGAGAGCTTTCCAAAATGTACCTTGACCTGGCTCTGCTGATTTAAACCTTGAGTCATCTAGATGCAGATTTAGGAAATAAGATCCATAGGATGTAATGATTTAATTTACAGTCTCTTGGAGTAGGGGCATAAATTATTTAGTTTTGCATTCTTGGTTGCTAAGAATGTAGGCATTTAGTAAGAGTTTGTCAATTAAATGACTGCTCTTCCATATCTCTGGAAACCTGCTTGGCATGTTCCAGTGGTGCCTGGGTTTTTCATAGTCTCCTTGCTTTTTATCTGTCTTAAGCTCAGGGCTTTTTGCTTCCTCTCTCCTTCTCTCAGAGGCCTGAATCACACTCCCTGTTGCTGCCTTTAATTTCTGTTGGCTACTGTTGCCACTGACACCACTTTTAATCTCCTCTGATCCTATTCTGTGTTATCGTCCTGCTTCATTTCTGCAGTGTTCTTCTTTCTTGTCTGCTGTTCCCTCCCAAGGCCTGTCAGCACTAAGATGGATGCATCGAGCTTGTAAATGTGTAACTGGGCAATTAAAGTAGCACTTTCCTTTCCTACAATTGATCCAGCCAATCACAACCGTCCATCAGGTGCTTTCTGTGGTTATCCTATTCTCAGATGCACTTAGTGATCTTGAATTCTAACTAAACAGCATATTTTTTTCTGGATGATGTTTGTTGTGTAACCATTCTGAAAACTCAAGTATTCTGGAGATTAAATACCAGATAAGGGGTATTTAGCTGCAGTAAATATGTGTGCCATTGGACATCATTTCAGCAGCTTGTGGCAGTTGTTCACCATTGCCCTGGTTGCTTTTAAGCACTAGGGAGTAGAAGCCTGCAGAATTTATGTGTGACTTGGGTGCCAGTGTGCATTATGCTGTCGGTGGCAATACCAAGTCTATTTTTGATGAAGAATCAACATGAGATTTCAACAGAAGCAAAAAAGGTAATCTTTATTTGAAAAGCCCATCAACTCTTTGTTTTATATCCATTTTTTGGTCACTTTAGAAATATTTTTGCAGAATTTTTCGTTGTTAATTTTATAACCTCCACAAAAATATTGTAGAAGTGCTGAGGTTAGTCCAGGAAGTATTTTATTTCAAAAATGAAATGACAGAATGCCAGGGCTCAATCCCCACCTCTCTCCATGTTCTCCCAATAAAAAATACAAGAAAGAATTTTTATTAACTTTTAGAAAAACTTCTAAGAAACTTCAATCCTTTGGGATTGCACTGGTAGTGTGCTTTAATATGTTAGAATTGACTGGGGCTCAGTAAGTTCCTGAAAATCCAGAAAGCACCTTCTTTCCTTTTGGGATGCAGGCTGATGGGCAGAAAGGCTTGACCCAGACTGAAGAGACCCATTCTTCTGGTGAACCTGCCCACTTGGCCCATCTACAGGCAGGTACTCAGAGAAAGAGTTCTGTGGGGTTGAACCAGAAATCCAGATGGAAACCCCATAGATACACTTACACTGAAGTTATTTTTTCCAAATCTTAAGTGCCATTATTCAAAGCAGCTTAGCATATCCACATGCATGAATAAATGATGTTACTACTTGATTAGGGAATACCACCCATCCTAGAAAGATGATTAATATTCATTGGCCTCCAAAATAACAAGGCTACAGAGAATAAATACTTCCACCCTAGTTTTGTCCAATGACCTTCCATTTCCCTTAAAATATTTAGATTCTAATGTATGTTTAGATTGATCCTTAATACTATCAATCTTTTTATGTTACTGCTTTCAGGATGCTGTTGGCATAGTTGAAATGTTAGGCTTTATTTGTGGCTATGTATTTTGTGTATTCTACTTGGGATCTCGATTTCCCCAACTATATAGAAATGTAAGTACGTTATTTGCTCTGTTTGTTCTGATGAATCAAAAGTGCTTCTTATGACTTTGTGTCTACCTTTGGAAGAGATCTTGGAATTCTGAGTAGTGCTTTTGGGACCAAAATATGGAAGTCAAAGTCACAAGAATCGATTCTTGATCAATTTTTTGTTTGTTTGTTAAGCTCCTTCAAGTTTAGGCAGCAGAATTTAGATCAGCTGGAATTGTTGTCTAAATCTGTTTTCCTGGGTTTGCATATTAATGGCAGAGTAATGAAGTCACAATAAATTATGCAAAGCATTTGGCATGGATGTTGTGGTTGTGTTCAACTTGTGAAAAAGACATGATTCCCTTGCACTTTGCAACTAATATACTTCATTGTGGCAACCTAGAAGGGACCCAACGTGTACATGTGTACTTTATCTCTCTGAATTTTCAACCACCCACGGTTTATTCGAATTTCCAATAGTATATTCTTTTATTTACCAAAGGTCCTGGAAACTGAAAACTCTAACTGAATTTCTGAATGTTTAATGGGAGTAAAAGAGTAATTTTCTCTAATTCATTCACTTGAGTTTCCATCTGGTCAAAATAGTCTCACATGTTTGTCAATATTTTGAAATGAAGTATTGCAAAAGGTAATATGTAGAAGAATAAATAATCCAGTCATCAACAAGGGAGTACACTACAGACATTGAATAAAGAAGCTTCATGCAAGCAGTACTTTTTTCAGGGGAGAATATTATAGTCTCTCCCTCAGAATTGCCTTAAAAATGAGCCCAAGAGGCAGCTTCACAGTAGATTAACATTTACTAACTCCCAATCCAGTACTGGACTGCATGATTAAAAGGATACTAATTGTTATCATTATCACACATAGATAATATTTTAAATGTTTATATCTTAGTACTTTTGAATCTTAAGAGAAATGGATAAGGGAAAAAATTTATAGAATTAACTATAAATATTTAATGTCTGTACATCAAATATAGGTATAAAACCAAAACATACAAAATAGATAGGAAGCACATATGGCAAAGAACCGAATGTTAGTAAGAATTTCCATAAACCAAAAGGAAAAAACAGTCCTATATAAAAATTTACATAGGACTCAAAAATGGATAATTAAAAAAAGAAGAAATGGCAGTGGCTCACGCCTGTAATCCTAGCATTTTGGGAGGCCAAGGGGGGTGGATTGCCTGAGCTCAGGAGTTCAAGACCAGCCTGGACAACATGGTGAAAGCCCATATCTACTAAAATACAAAAAATAAAAAATAAAAAATTAGGCGGGCGTGGTGGCATGCGCCTGTAGTCCCAGCTACTTGGCAAGCTGAGGCAGGAGAATTGATTGAACCCAGGAGGTGGGGGTGGCAGTGAGCCAAGATTGTGCCACTGCACTCCAACATGGGCAACAGAGCAAGACTTTCTCTCTAAAAAAGAAAAAAAAACCATGAAAAATAACAAACATGAAAAATAATTTAACTTCTCTAGGAATTAAATAAATGTGAAATAAAATAACAACTTTTTAGTCTATAAATTAGCAAATATAAAGAAATTACAGGAATCACAGCTGATAAGAATAGGGTTTGTTTGCACATTCATACACTGCTGAGTAGATGTTTAAAAGTCTTTCGGGAAGACATTTTGACGGTTTGCGTCAATATCCTTAAAAGTATGAATTTCACATCTAGATATCAATTCTATGGAAATTACCAGAAAGATGGAGAAATATGTATGTACTGAGGAATTTGTAAAAATGCCATCTATAAGTTTGGGGACAACTCAAATGCTGAATACAGTGGAATATTCTGGAGCAATTTAAAAATGTTGATAAATAATTTTTAATGACATGCAAAAATTATTATAATATATAATACGGGAGAAAAGGATATAACAAAATATTATGTATACTGTGTATAGTCATGTACCTTGCATAAAAAGAAAGAAATGAATCAGAATATTTTCTGAGTGTTGAGATTATGGGTGATATTATTTTAACCTTCATGTTTTCCACCTCTTCCAACATTTGTACAAGAAACTTTTTTTTTTTACAATCAGAAGATATTTATGATAATGAAATACAATTTAAAACTTGGGTGATTTGTGAAGCTGTGTACTGTATAGTGAAGAGAAAATAACAACTACTGTCATCCTTGCTTCTATTGTTAGTTCTGAAGAAGATCTACGGAAGGAACTTCATTTCTGCTGTTTGCATTGGCCATGATTGGGAACTTCACGTATGGACTTGGTGTGGTTTTAAAGGCACCAGCTGCTACGTGTCACAAGAATACTTACTTTGTGCATCATCTTCCTTGGCTTATTGCAAGTTTTGGAATCTTATTCCTTAACTCTTTTGTGTCTTTTGCCATCAGATTGCCATTAGAGAATAAACATGTATAGCTACTTAATATATCACCCAAAAAGTACATATATATATATATATATATATTCTAAGAAGTGTAAATAGCTAATGCTATAGTCATTTCATTATTATATTTGAAATGTTCATTTATAAGGAAAGTCTTCTCTCTCCCAAAGTCTCCTAATTATTATTATTCTAGCAAACGATCAAATTCAGATGAAGATTTCTTGGTTTCTTTGGTTCTTCTGATAAAAAAAAAAAAGTGGGGCCAAGTTTAGAAGCATTGAAATTAACACATCTTAGATATTAAATTTTATTAAAATTATAATAGCAGATATTAAGAAAAAACCATACCATCTCTGAAAATCTCTACAGAGAACACTTTGAATTAATAAATGATAACTGATGCCTTGCCTTTTGTTGATAAAAGTGAGTCTCATGAATTAATAGTCTATGGTAAATAAAACATTTAGAATGATTGGTTAATGAATTTAATGAAAATTGGCAATAATGTTTAAAACTACATTTATCATTTGTATGTAGGAAACAAATACGAGGGTGCTATTAGTTCTCAATATCTAAACTTACTTGTGATGATTAATACTGAGTGTCAACTTGATTGCATTGATCCTGGGTGTGTCTGTGAGGGTGTTGCCAAAAGAAATTAACATTTGATTCAGTGGGCTGTGAAAGGCAGACCCACCATTAATCTGGGTGGGCACCATCTAATCACCTGCCAGAGCAGCTAGAATATAATGTAGCAGGACAAGCTGCAGACAAAACCCCTCAGACACCAAGTTAAAGAAGGAAGCGGTTTATTCGGCTGGGAGCATCGGCAAGACTCCTGTCTCAAGAGCCAAGTTCTCCGAGTGAGCAATTCCTGTCCCTTTTAAGGGCTCACAACTCTAAGGGGGTCTGCTTGAGAGGGTTGTGATCGATTGAGCAAGCAGGGGGTATGTGACTGAGGGCTGCATGCACAGGTAATTAGATTGGAACAGAACAGGACAGGGATTTTCACAGTGCTTTTCTATACAATGCCTGTAATCTATAGATAAGATAACCAATTAGGTCAGGGGTCGATCTTTAACTACCAGGCCCAGGGTGTGGTGCCGGGCTGTCTGCTTGTGGATTTCATTTCTGCCTTTTAGTTTTTACTTCTTCTTTCTTTGGAGGCAGAAATTGGGCATAAGACAATATGAGGGGTGGTCTCCCTTATTCCCCGGCTTTGAGAATCTCACTCAATAGTGGGAGTTCTCACTTTCTTTCTCACTACCCATGTCTTCTTGCAAGGCAGGTCGATAATGATTCATATAGTACACCTGTGCTGAAGCATTTTGTTGAACTAAGGTAGTGATGAAGCTTTTTATCATTTGAAGAAGTACAGGTAGCAAACAAGGGAGCAGTAAGCAGGTTTCTATTACTATTATAACTCCTATTATAAGAGTTTGAAATCCTCCTAGCGCTGGGAACCATTTTCCAAACATGGCCCCAGGATCAAATCCATGCCACACTTGCACAGGCACATGTGCCAGTTTTGTCATATCTCTATGTCTTCAACTACTTGCCCTTGAACATCTATGTGTAGACAGCAATTAGTAAGGTTAAATTTCCTGCAGACCCCTCCTTCAGCTGCTAGCAAGTATTCAAGAGCCAATCTATTTTGGTAGATAGCATTTCTCATCTGAGTTTCTTGCCAGGCCAGAACAGTCAAGGCTCTGCCAGTTTTATTAGTGATTATTTCTAAGACAGCTTGTAACCGTATGATTTGGTTGATCTTGTAAATGGGGGTCCAGTATCCCCATGAGCCATCTTGTGCCCAAGTAGCAGCCCCATAATATTGTATGAGTCTCTCAGGGGGCCATTCATCATCTTTCCAATTTTCTATAGCTATGCTTCCCTTTTTGTGGGACGCATAGACAGGGAAGCCCAGGAGTTCACCTGTTTTTATGGGCTAGGAAGAAAGATGGTTTAATAGTGCCAATAACACAACTACTTGCCCACTGGTCAGGTAATCTGGCATAAACTCTATGCCCACTTACCCAGTATAATCCAGTGGGGGCTGTCCAGTCCCGGTGGGACTCCAGGTGGGTCCATACGGTTTGCAACTTTGGGAATTTACTAAATGGATTCCTCTCTGTGTGATTTGAACTCCAACAAGTGACTGTTTTTTTGGTACCATTATACAGTTTCTGTCCCAGACAACTAAGTCGTCTTACAGGGTGAGTGAATTATTTCCTTCTCTAGCTATGCAATATTGTCCAATAATTGGGAATTTTAGGACCCAGAAATTATGAGGGTGATTCTTTTGAGCCGGAAATTCATCAGGAACTGGGTCTGTAGGTACTAATTCTCGGGCTTTCCATGGCCATTGATCTCCCATTACAGTTCCTCCACATACACAGCAAGAAGTGATGTTGAGAGACTGGGCTACATGCTCGGCTAATTGCAAAAACAAATTCTTGTTTTTCCTGGAATTTCTGGTACTGGCACATTTAGTTCATCATAGAAAGTTTGAAACACTGGTTCAGGAGAGTGTTTGAAACTTCTCCTTGAACCAAGATATTTACTCAAGGATCCAGTCCAGCCTCGTCGATTCCTAAGGTCACACGCTCCCCTTTTTTCCAGCGAGGATCAAGGGATTGGTTATTACCAGCTCTAAGGGGTTACATTGTCCCTTAGTACAGGAAGGGCCATTTTTCCCTTTCTGAAAGTGGACTGGATCCTTTTCATTTTTTATCCAAGTGGCCCAAATGACACAAGACCGGTATCCACATTCATTTCCACACAGTCCTAATTCATGACAAATGTACTATTTTCGGTCATATAGCCTTTTTCCCAACTAAAAGACCCACATCCCCTTTCTAACTTATTGCTATTAATGACAGCACAGGCATCAAATTTCAATATTATGCATTTAGGCACCCCTTTTCCTTCTGTTCCGGCTAACACTTTACTTGTATCATTTAGGAGTCCCCACTAGTCTTCAGTCTTTAATCTTATTTCAAAAACTGTGAACATGGGAGAGTCAGAGGGGTCATAACACACATCTGGTCTGTCGTTTCCCGGGCTACATACTTTGTACTGAGTGTCATTATATAAACATGTTCCTTTTAAAGATCCTAAGCATTCATAGTAACTATAGAACAGAAAGATTGTTTTAACTTGTTGCCTTACCTCGAGTAACCTGATGTATACACTGAGAGCAGTCCTCCCTGCGGGGAATATCAGTGGAAGTTTTTACTATACAAGTCCAAATTATAAGAAAAATGAGTCCCATGATGATTCTCCTCATGCTTCAGCCATGTGTAGACCAGTTTCCGGGTGTGACTGGAGCAGGGCTTGTCGTCCTCCTCAGAGTCACTTTGCAGGGATTGTCCAGGCTTGGTTTTGCCTCCCAGGTTTCAGCGGCTGCAGGTTTCACATGGCTGTGGTGGATCCAGGCTGGGATTCCTTCTACCTTTACAGCCGTGGGGGTGGTCCAGATAACGGTCTGAGGTCCTTTCCACCATGGCCGCAAAGGGGCTCTGTTCCAGTCCTTGATCCACACGTGATCACCTGGAGAGAAAGGGTGAACTGGGGAGAATAAGCTGATGGGACACCTCTCATTTACCCAAGTTGAGATTGTTTGTGTAATTTTTCCTAAAGCCTGTAGCTGTCGCTGTAATTCAATTTCACCTAACTCTTGGGGAGTGCCTGGAAGCTCCCGTGGTATAGGAGGAGGCCTATGATACAGTATTTCATAAGGGGAGTATCCTTTTTTCTTAGAAGGAGTGCATCTAATTTTAAACAATACCATAGGAAGGGCCTGTATCCACTCTAATCCTGTTTCCTGACATACTTTCCCTAAACTATTTTTGATAGTCCGATTCATTCGCTCCACCTTTCCAGAACTCTGAGGTCGGTAGGTGGCACATAGCTTCCAAGTGATTCCTAATGCCTTTGCTGTCTTCTGTACCAAGACAGCCACAAACGCCGGCCTGTTATCTGAGCTGATTCATAAGGGCAGTCCAAACCTAGGAATAAGATCTCAGAGAAGCACACGGGTTACCTCGTAGGCCTTTTCAGTTCGTGTTAGATAAGCCTCCACCCACCCAGAGTAAGTACACACAAGAACCAGCAAATATGTGTTACCTCCACATTTCAGCATTTCTGTGAAATCCTCAAAAGCATTTTCTGTGAAGATCCTCAAAAGAAGCAGCTCCATAAACTTGTATGCTGGGTGGAAAGTGGGGCCTTGCCTCGCATTGTGCTGTCAGCAAGTAACACACTGTTGTGCTACTGCTTTGGCAAGGGCTGGCAAGTGTGAGACTTAGAAGTACCGGCCTAACAACTTTTCAAGTGACTCTTGTCTAGATGCATGGTTTCGTGCCTGGCCAATAAGATTGTGGCTCCCAGCAACTGTGGCACAGCTACCCTCTCATCTGGCAGTCTGATCCATCCTCCTTTTATTGCTTGACCCCCTTCTGCATGGAAGAAGTCTTTTTCTTCCTTAGAATAGGTAGGTACCAGGTCAGGTGTTTGAGGGAGTAAAGGGGCTGCTACTGATGCCCAGTAAGGGGTAGATGTTGCTTTTCAAGCTTCTGAATCAACTTGAGAGTTTCCTAAGGCCACTGAGGTGGAGGCTTGCTGGTGTCCCCTGCAGTGCATAACTGCCACCTTCTGAGGTTTTCACACTGCCTCTAATAATTGTAGAATTTCTTGTGATATTTTATGTCCTTTCCCCCAGAGTTTAACAGGCCCTTTTCCTTATATAATGCTCCATGCACTTGGAGGGTTAGAAAGGCATATTGAGAGTCAGTGTAGATGTTTACAGTCTTACCTTCACTGAGTTCTTGAGCCCTTGTTAAAGCAATGAGCTCAGTCTTCTGGGCTGAAGTGCCCTGTGGCAAAGGTTTGGCTTCAATGACAGCATCCAAAGTTACCACCGCATATCCTGCACATCTTTCTCCTTGTGGGTTGATGAAGCTGCTCCAGTCCACATATAACTCCCAGTCTACTGATGCCCATGGCTGGTCCCGAAGGTCAGGTCTGCTAGAATAGGCTGAATCCAACACCTCTACATGGTTATGCTTGACTGGGCTCTCTCATACTGGGAGCAGGGTGGCGGGATTTAGGGTGTTACAAACTTCAATAGTTATGTGGGGATTTTCACATAGCAAGCTTTGGTACTTGGTTAATCTAGCATTTGTTAGCCAATGATGTCCTTTGGTATTCATCAAAGTTACCACAGCATGGGGGACCTTTATATTCAGGTTTTGCCCAAGGGTTAGTTTATCTGCTTCTTGTGCTAACAGGGCTGTTGCTGCCAGGGCCCTTAGACGTGGTGGCCAGCCTTTGGAAACCCCATCTAGTTGTTTTGAGAGATAGGCCGCTGGCCTTGGCCAGTGCCCCACAGTCTGGGTTAAAACTCCAACTGCCATTGTTTCTCTTTCTGACACATAGAGTGTAAAGGGCTTTGTCACATCTGATAGTCCTAGGGCTGGGGCCAACATAAATTTTTCCTTTAACTTACAAAAGGCTTGCTGTTGTAGAGGCCCCCATTCAAAAGGCTCCCGGTCACCCCCCTTTGTCACCCTGTACAAAGGTTTGGCTAGTACTGCAAAGTTTGGAATCCATAATCTGCAAAACCCCACAGCTCCTAGGAATTCCCTTACTTGCCTTCTGGTTCTAGGTTGCTCTATTCATCACTCCAGTAGGCTGCAGATGACCTGCTTTCTTTCTGACCCCAGGCTGCGCTCCCCTTTCCGAATAGTGAATCCCAGGTAGCGTACCTGCTGTCTGCAGACGTGAGCTTTCTTCTTGGACACCTTATACCCATAGTCCTCCAGGTGCCGAAGCAGGGCATCCATCCCTTTTGCACACCAGACTGCTGTGGAGTGTCCCAGCAGAAGGTCATCCACGTACAGGAGCAAGACGCAGCCTAGGTGTTTAGCAGGAAACTTTTGCAGGTCTCGAGCCAGGGCCTCCCTGAAGATAGTAGGGGAGTTCTTGAACCCTTGGGGAAGCCAGGTCCAAGTGTACTAAGTAGTGACACCTGACTCCGGATCTTCCCACTGAAAGGCAAATAGCTTCTGGCTGTCGGGAGCTAGTCTGATGCTAAAGAAGGCATCTTTTAAGTCCAGACAGGTAAACCAGCAGTCCTCAGCCGGCAGCAGCCCTGACAATGTGTAAGGGTTAGGAACTGTTGGGTGGAGAGTCACTGTAGCTTGGTTGACCAGGCACAAGTCCTGTACTGGGTGATAGTCCTTTGTCCCTGGCTTATGGACAGGCAGGAGGGGGGTGTTCCACAGAGCCTGACAAGGAACTATAATTCCATAGGCTTTCAAGCGCCTGAGATGAACCTGGATTCCTTCGAGAGCTTCTCTGGGAAGTGGATACTGCTTTTGTCTAATTGGTTGGGCCCCAGGCTTAACTTCTATGAGTACGGGGGCTTGGTTGACCACCAGTCCCGGAGGATTATCCTCTGTCCATACTCGGGGCCATCACTTAGCTAGAGCTGGTTTTGTCTCTCGGCCTGGCTAGATTAGAAAAAGTCTCCATTCTTCTTCCCGGGGGACCGTAAGGGCCATGATAACTCCTGTTCCCAGTAACTTTAGCTGTAAAGGGCCCTGTTTTGTAAAAGAGATGGTGGCTCTCAGCTTGCTAAGCAAGTTTCTTCCCAGCAAGGGCAAGGGATAGTCAGGCATGTACAAGAACTAGTGAACTATCTCACATCCCCCCACCAAGCAGGTCTATGGTAGACAGAAAGCCTGCTTAGTGGAAACTTGTGTTGCTCCGATTATATCAATGGTTTTCTTGGATAAGGGGGCAACCAAGGTGGTCACTACTGAATGTTCAGCACCAGTATCAACCAAAAACTTAATGTTCTTGTCCCCAGTTGTAATCCTGACCATGGCCTCCTTGGAGGCGCTTGAGCCCAGTCCCCTTCAGTCCAATAGCCCTTCAGCCAGATTGAACAAAGCTCCCTCGTCTTTATCTTTATCTGAGTTCTTTTGTTCCGAATCACCTTGCTTTTCCTCCAGTCGGGGACACTTATCTTTCCAATGTCCTATTTCCTTACAATAGGCGCATTGGTTATGTTGCAAACGTGGGCGATTAGACTGGGTATTCTTCCCGGAACCCCCCTTTCCCTCTCCTTCTGGGGGAATTCCCCTAATGGCCATGGCCAGTAAGTTGGCATTTTGCCTAGCCTGGCGTTCGCCTTCCTTATGGCTTTCTCTGCGGCTCGTTGCATCTCTATTCATAAACCCTTGATCGGCTATTTCCAGTAACTGTGAGGTATTCATACCCACAAACCCAGCCTGTTTCTGCAGTTTTCTCCTGATATCTTCTGCGCTTTGATTAACTAAGGCCATGTTAATCATGCGCTGATTTTCAGGGCTATCTGGATCAAAAGGAGTGTACATACAGTAAGCCTCACACAGACTTTCATAGAATTGCACTGGACTCTTCTTTTCCTTGGATGACCTCAGAGACCTTATTTACATTTGTAGCCTTTTAAGCCCCTTTGTTTAGACCTTCTATTAATGCCTCATGGTACCGTCTTAGCCTCTCTATGTCTGGTCCCTCGTTCGGGTCCCACTGGGGGTCTGTTCCTGGCAGCTGAATTCTTATATATTCTTGGGGGTTTTGGTAATCAGCTGGGACGTGCTCCTATAGCCACTTAGTTGCCACCTGGAGCACCCTTTGCCTTTCATCTGTATTAAAGAGGTACATGAATAGCTGGTGGCAATCAGCCCAAGTAGGATTATGAGTCTGTATAATAGTTTGGAGCAAGTCAGTTAAAGGTTGAGGCTTTTCAGCGTAAGATGGAGTATTATTTTTCCAGTTGAGGAGGTCAGCAGAGGTGAAAGATTGATTACACAAAGGCACGCCTTTCCATCGTGTGTCCGTCTTCATCTACCCCAGTATATCACTGCTCTTTCAAGGGCATTTGGATTCCAGTCTTGGGCCATAAGTGAGCTGCCAACAGAGGACTTTCTCCTGCTGCTTCACTTCCTCTTTTGCCTACTCTGGGTGGTCTAGGAGTGCGGTTATCTGGTGGAGGTGTAGGTGCTGTGGGCTCAGGGGAGGGGAGCCCTTCCTCTCTATAAGGAGGGGGTACTGCTGGTACCAATTCCTGCCATGATTCTTCTGGTGTTGGGTCGGACAGAACTTTTGGTGCTGACTTCCCTTGGCTGGTGGAGAGAGAATCTTCCTTAACTAACTGTCCCTTTGCTACTAGTACTGTTGCTGCCTATCCTCTTAACCACTGTAGGGGGTCCAAAACTAGCTGTAATCAAGTGTCTGTGTATGGGAACTGGTCTGGGTACCCTGGCTTACAGGACACCTTGTGCCATACCTTTGAGAAAAGGGACCTGTCCAGGCTTCCTTCTGATGGCCAACCCACCTCTAATGTTGGCCAGTCTATGTCACACAAAGTTCTAAGTTTTCCTGGTGTCATGGTGACTCCACAGTCTTCCTTAAATCCCTTTTTGAAATTTTTCAACATAGTTCCTAGTGGGATGGGCTTACTTTGTGCCTGACCCATGTTTCCTCGAGGCAAAACACCACGCTCACACCACATGCACACCACAAAACAAAGAACGGGTAAAAAGGACACACACACTTTTACAGTTTACACCAAACCAGAATCAAAACCAAAATCAGAGTATCAAGAAATCCAAGCCAGGTCAAAACCAAAACCAAAGTATCAAGCAATCCAAGTCAAGTCAAAAACAAAAACCAAAGTGCCAGTACAGGCACGCCGTAGGTGATCAGGCAATGCTTCCACTCAAATGGAGTGGGCAAGTTCCAAAGACTAGTCTTACCAAGTTTCAGATGTCTGGACTCCAAGTGCCTGTTCCTTCCTGGTGTTCAGTCACTGTGTTGATCCTCCACGGGGGCCTGCCATTCACTGCTCCGGCGAAGCCTTCCACCGGGGCAATTGCCTACCCGGGAGCACTCTCAGGATCCGCGTCACTCAAGCTGGCTGGAGTCCCCCACAGGGATGCTCCACAGGGCAGGCCTAAGCCACCTAAGGGGCTGCCTCGACCATCCGTTAATCACCTCGCTTCTAGGTCAGGGAACCAAGAAATGTAGCAGGACAAGCCTCAGACAAAACCCCTCAGACACCGAGTTAAAGAAGGAAGCGGTTTATTCGGCCAGGAGCATCGGCAAGACTCCTGTCTCAAGAGCCGAGCTCTCCAAGTGAGCAATTCCTGTCCCTTTTAATGGCTCACAACTCTAAGAGGGTCCACTTGAGAGTGTCGTGATCAATTGAGCAAGCAGCGGGTATGAGACTGGGGGCTGCATGCACCGGTAGTTAGATCGGAACAGAACAGGACAGGGATTTTCACAGTGCTTTACTATACAATGTCTGTAATCTATAGATAACATAACTGATTAGGTCAGGGGTCGATCTTTAACTACCAGGCCCAGGGTGTGGCGCTGGGCTGCCTGCTTGTGGATTTCATTTGTGCCTTTTAGTTTTTACTTCTTTCTTTGGAGGCAGAAATTGGGCATAAGACAATATGAGGGGTGGTCTCCTCCCTTAATAAAGCAGGGAGAAAAATGTGAAAAGGAGAGACTGACCTAGCCTCCTGGCCTACATCCTTCTCCTGTGCTGGATGCTTCCAACCCTTGAACATTGGACTCCAAGTTCTTTAGTTCTGGAACTCAGACTGGCTTCCTTGCTCCTCAGCTTGCAGACAGCCCATTGGGGTACCCTGTGATCATGTGAGTTAATACTTAGTAAACTCCCCTTTATAGATATATATTTTATATATATAATATATAATATTATTTTTTATTTTTCATATATATTATATATGAACTATAAATAAAAATATATATTTCATATATCCTATATTTTTCATATATTATATATATATTCTATTAGTTCTGTCCCTCTAGAGAACCCTGACTAATACATTACTAAAATTTATCATAGTTATATAGTTAAATAGAAATATCTCTGTGTTCTTTGGCTCATTGGTACTTTGAGTTTCAAGAAACATAGGGGTATATATTTATGATAGGCTTGATAAAATTGGCATAAGCTGTCAGTCTGATTGCAAAGTGAGGAATCCAAGGTTTATTTGATGGATTGTCAAAAATGTCAAATAATCACTGAAGAATTCTTGGCATGAATTTTATTTTTATTTTTTGGACTCAGCCATTAAAGAAAATGAAAATGGTCCCTTGCACTTTAGCAGCTCTTTATGATTTTCAGTACTTTGTGACAGATCACTAATGAGTTCACCAAAGATGTTTCTGAGAAGCAGAAAAATAAGAGCCTCATTTAAAATAGAATACTTTGAGGCAGATAGTTAGGAATACATTGAGTGAGCAACAAGGTCTGGATGATTCCTGAGCACCTGTGCTCAGCAGGGAGTCCCAGAAGAGAACAAAGGGGAAATCTTGAGTCATCTCTCCTTCTTCAACCTTCTAGTAAGATGGGAATCAGGGGAAGGTGAGCATGAATGGAAGAAAGGGGCTTCTTGCCATTGAGAGACTAGCAGAGAAAAATTGTGGTTAGATGATAGTGTTGTTTCCATTTCTTTCAAAGCCTGACTTCACCACCATGCAATATATTCATGTAACACAATTACCCCTTAAATTTATACAAATAATAATAATAATAAAACAAATTGGCAGAGTAGGGTAGATTTATGACCTTTTCACTGAACAACCCAAAATTCTGTTTTTATTTTAACTTGATCATGTGAATGCTTAATCTTCTGCTCCAGATATGGAGCACATGGGAGGGCATTGTCCTCTAACTGACCTTTCCCAAAATCGAATCCTGTCTAAAAGCTGTAACCTAAAACCCAGAATCATTGGCCTTAAAGAAGTTTTCCCAAGAGAATTAGACCATTCCTTTTTCATTTCTAAATGTATGTGCCTCATGCATGCATTCAGGAAGTGTGGTATCCTTGGCCTCAAGCCTCCCTGAATTTTAGGATACGTGTATAAGCAATAATCTCTCTGTTCCAACTTGATTGGAGCCTGAATCCAATCTCTCCTGAAATTAGTTTCAAATCCAAATTCAATTAAAAACAGATGTTTCCAAGTAAACTGAAAAAAGTCTATAAAGAAAAGGCAGGCTCACTGCCTTGAGAATTGGTTGAATTCTCTAGGTACTTATAATCATAAGGAAGAGAGAAATCAGAGTTGCTCCGGAGAGTTAGCTCTTCCTTTCACACTGAGCCATCCAAGTGCTCGGAAACAGTGTCTTTTAAGGAGGTGTGTTATTTGCCAGGCTAGACTTTTCTACCCGAGCCACTTTCTGATTTATTCCAGGTCAGGACAAATTTGAATCTTGGGTTAGGCACTTAATAATTCTTATTGCTGAGAATTAATTTCTACATACAGCAGAAGGGACACATAAAAAAGAACTTATTTTCTAGAAGTACTGGCATATCAGGGATTCTTGCACGGAAAGTTTCATTTAGCACATTTTTAAAAACTCCTTCTAAAGTTAGCCTGATGGCAATTCAGAAAACATTAGTGAGTTTTGGAAGGTTTTTTTTCCCCCATTGAAATCAAAACCCCATTAAGGAATGCACGGTGGGAAGAGGGAGAAGAAAGCTTACTTGTAGACAAATAATACCCATGAACTTTAATGCATTAAAATGGATTCATAAGTTTTTCAAAGATGAGAAACATGTGTCCAATTATTGTAAGATTCACCACTCCTTACAAATTCAGAGCAGACAGTCCTCATCTCCTTGTCTTAAAGTGCATAGGTCTATTTTCAGAATAATTTTTAGCATTAAGTCTGGGCCACCATTTGATTTTTAATCTCCTCTTTTATCCCTGGAATCTTGCATTCCTGGTGTACTTCATCTTTTTTGTGTGTAATAATATCCTTCAGAAATCTTTGATGCATCAGTGAATTAAAAGAAAAAGAAATGAGATGTAAGTGCTTGCTCTATTTGTCATTTTTAATACGTTTTGAACTACTTGATTTATGATTAAGCATTTCTTGGGAGAGGAGAATGTTTAAGGTGGTATTTTGAGCTCCATTTAAAGCAATTTAGTTGTCATCAGGCCTCCTCACCCCATAACCTTTGTAGACCTTGCTTCATAACTTGGACCCAAACAATTGGCTTGTGTTTCAAGTAGACAAAGCCTTATGGAAATGATACTTGTTAAGTGTTTTTATTGGACATCTGGGTAAGAGTTAGCCTTTGTCAGACCAGTCACAAACTACAGCTAGCCTGACTCCAACACTCTTGGTGACAATTTCTGTTCTTAGCAAACTCTTTCTAAACTTTATTTTAAATCAAGAATGAATGATATTATTTGTATTCATTTTCTCCTGCTTTCTGCTTTGGTTCCTGATTCAGTGGCTAAGGTTAAAAATATTCACTCAATTTTCCCCTCATCTTTAGGTCAGATCTCTTCCCTTCATCCTGTGGGATCCTACCCTAGCATCAGGTGGAATCTCTGTAGCCTATGTTTTGTTCATGCTCTGCCAGGATGCTGTGGCTCTGCTAAGAAGTGGCAGAGGGATTTCAGGTCCTGGAAGTACTAAGTTGAGCTCAGCCACCTTAAAAGATAACCAGGATTGTCTTCACTCTCACTGCCTCCTCTCAATGAATTATCTAAATCTAAACTAATATTAGATTACAGTAGCATACAACCTCCTCAATGTCTATGTGATCAGATGAGAGACAGGAGAGGTTAGTACAATTTCACTCTCTTTCCTTTCTTTCCTTTCCTTCCTTCCTTCCTTCCTCTCTCTCCCTTCCTTCCTTCCTCTTTCTTTCTTTTTCTTTCTTTCTTTTTCTTTCTTTCTCTATTTATTTCTTTCTCTCTCTCTTTTTGTCTTGCTCTGTTGCCCAGGCTGGAGTGTAATGCTGCGATCTTCATTCACTGCAACCTCTGCCTCCTGGGTTCAAGTGATTAAGTGATTCTTCTGCCTCAGCCTCCCGAGTACTTGGGATTACAGGCGCCTGCCCAGCTAGTTTTTGTATTTTTAGTAGAGATGGAGTTTCACCATGTTGGTCAGGCTGGTCTCAAACTTTTGACCTCAGGTGATCCACCCACCTCAGCCTCCCAAAGTTCTGGGATTACAGGCAAAAACCACCACGCCCGGCCCAATTCCACTCCATTTCTTAATAGCAAAATTTACCTTATATTTTAAATAAATGAAAGCAGTGAAGGCAGTATCCCTTGGGTGATTGTCAGATAGAAAAGGCTGAGGGGCTCCATGCAGTATTTTTCATTGCTTGTATGGAATGTTATACCTGGAGAACACTGCACAGCCAGAAAATTAATTCTAGAAATTCCTGGGCCAAAGGCAGAGTATCTATCTCAAATTTGGAGACAAGGCCAGGGAGTGGCTTGGCTCAATATGAAGCAAAAGCAAAATAAATAAACAAAAGGGAGTGGGAAGATGCTCAGAGTATTCAGAAGATGAATTTTCTTCTAGTTTAAAGTGAAAAAAAAAAAGTCTGTTTCCCCAAAGACAATGGATTCACCAGTGATCCAGGGAGCTGACAAGAGTAACACTTTGTCCAAGCATGTGATACCCTCCTTGTTATTTTTCTCCTAAAAGTTCTGGGGCTTTTTGATAAGTGTGAGAATTTTTAAGGTGTGCGACCTATGGAGGTGTTGATTGAACTCCTTTCAGTGAGGATGCACACCAGAGATCTTATTAAATAAAGTTTTCGTATTCACAAGCCCTTAACTTTGCCTAGATGTGACTTCAGAAAATTGAGATGCAAATGTCATCCCAGTCTATAGTGATAACAGTGTTTTAAAAAAGTTTTTTAGTTGACAAAGCAGTTTTACACATGACACCTGAGACTTGCTACTTTTTGGAGGAAAGGCACTTGGTGAATTCAAAGAGAGCACAGCCTGGTCTGTGCTTCACCAAGTCCCTGTCCTAGTAGCAACTGGAGAGCAACAAATATGAACAAATAGAGCCAAAGAATTCTGCTAGAACCAGCTTTGGCCTCTTTGCACCTCAATTTGCTAGTCAATAATGAAAATAACTGAATTAGGTCTTTTTTTTTTAATAGTCTTTCTGGCTTTAGAATTCTTTGTCTATTCTCTATATTCAACTCAAGAGGTTTTTTTTTTAAATTTTTTTGTTTTAATTCCTTTGGTGTAGGATTTAAAGGAAAATAAGCAAGCCAGGGAACATGCGAGGAAGGCAAAGATAAGGAAAGGGAAACAACACTGAAAAAGAACTTGGAGAAGAACAAAAGGAAATAAGCTTATAGATAAGTAATGGGGTGAGAGAACTATGAGAATTGGATCAATTTCCTGTATCTCAGATTTAATATAGGGGGGAAAGACCTGATGATTTGCAGTGTAATTCTGTAAATCATGTCAGAATTAATAAGCCCTTTAATTTTTCTCCTTAAGAAGAACACACTAGGTGACTGCACAGTTCATTCCATAGTACAGGCAGAGGACACGACGACCCAGTTTGGTGGTGGTGCTGGAAGGAGAGCCATTACCTGCTAATGAGGATGAATCCTAAAGCCTGCACTGCAGCCTCTGTCCATGGTGTGTTGAGGAACTTGCTGTGTTGATGCTTTTCTTGGTGAAGGGATGAGTTCTTGCCTTTTCTCCGTGCAGCACATTCATTCTATAACATGCTGCCCCAACCACAGGCATCGGTGACAGAATAAAAAACATGTTTATCGTTAATGTTTTCTGCAACCGAAAAATTGTAGTTGATCTGAAAATCTGTAGAAATTACTATCTGAAAATCTGTAGAAATACTAATCTGTAGTAAATTTAGTTTACTACAAAGTAAATTAAATTACTTTGCTGCCCACAGCTTAGCAAATTGTAAAGTTTCTAACTTTATTCAATAGTGGTTCTTTTATTTTTTTTTAATGTACAAAAAATCACCTAGATGTGTTTTGTATGACACCTTGGTCTCTTAAAGCAGACTCTGGTTGAATGTTGTTGCACATACTTTGTGTTGTAGGTAATTATAAAATGTCTTGTTTCCTATTGATATAAATAAAACATATTGATAAACTGTGGATTCAACACATTCTGGAAAAGATTGCAAGCATTTTTAAAGTGCAAGTGGCTGATGCAGAGTAGGTCCTTTGCAAATGTTGGATGAAACGCTGCAGAGTGGACTTCAACCTGTGCAGGTAGGCATGGCTGGGAGGAGACCCCAGTGCAGACATTCCTCCTCAGGCCAGAGAGGTGAGGGAGCTGTGATGTAACTGTAACCACTTATCCAGAAAGTATGTCTCTGTTATGATGGTGTTTCACAGGCAGTTGCCCTGAACTCTTTGTTTGGAAAGAAACTGTATTAATCCTCAAGTCTGTCAGATGCTGCCCAGAGCTTAGCAAGTCATAAAGGCAGCTCTTGCGTCTTCTTTGCTTATGAAAATCACACCTTGATACAATCCTTCATTGGCATGGCAGCTTTTTCAGTAGTGTTCCTATTAGCTTATGCAAGAGGGATGGGTAGTTGGATGATTAATTGAAAAGTTAAATAAACTGAAGAGTCATTTTTTAAAATCCTAATACATAATATATACTATAAACATTTATTTTAACTTAAAATAATAAATTGTATATTCACTTAAGAATAATTTGATGGGGAAGGCAAAGTCTTTCCTTGGAGTCTAGGTCTGATATTGGAGTTGTCTTTCATAAACCACATTTACAATACATCATTTACAATTTCCGGTTTTTGATTTCTTTAAAGTTACAGTTTTGTTAGAGTAGAGTAGGAACTTAAAGACACTCGTAATCTGAGAACAGAGGCCTCTAGATTATAATTATTATTTTCTCCTGACTTTACAGTTGTTTCACTGACACATAATTCAAGAATACTTTTAGGAGCTCCCTTTTGTCAAGCCTTTCCAAAGGAAACATCTTAATTTTTCATAAACAGTCTCTCCCTTTACACTCATATTTCATTGCCTCACACAATTTTTAGTTAAATTATTTAAATATATTAAGTCCAACAGGGCATACACAGGGTTGAGATCAAGCACAACTGATTCTTGGTAAACTTACAACCTAATTGGCCAGAGTAGAAGCACACAAGCTCCAGAAAGCCTGCTCTCTGCTGGCCCTTGGGGTACTAGCGGCAAGCAGAAGGGAGAACTGCGGAGGGCATGAAGGAGACAATTCATCTGCAGAATTTGTAAGTGGGGGTCGGTTAAGCAGCTTCTACTCTAATAAATTCTTACTAGGTATTGTGCAATGTGCTAGTCCCTAATTGAGGAACAAAGATAGAAGTACAGTTGCTGCCAAGTATTGTGTGCAGTAGAGGCTGTCGGCACAGAGGAGGAGAAATCCCTTATGGCTGAAATGAGCAACCAGAAGCAAGCTGTTTTGGACTGAATTGTGTCCCTCCAAAAGTTCATGTATTGAAGTTCTAATCCCTAGTACCTCACATTGTAACCACAGTTGGAGGCAGGGATTTTAGAGAGGTAGTTCAATTAAAATGAAGTTATTTGGTGGGGGGAGGGGGGGGCCTCATTCAATATGACTGGTCTTCTTATAAGAAGATAAAATTTGGACACAGACATCGACAAAAGGAGGACCAAGTGAAAACACAGAGAGAAAATGGCCATCTGCAAGGCAAGGAGAGAAGCCTGAAACATAGCCTCCCTCACAGCCCTTAGAAGGAACAAAATTTGCCTGCCGACACCTTGATCTTGGGCTTCCAGCTTCCAGAACTATGAAAAATTAATTTCTATTGTTTAAGCCACGCAGTCTATCGTACTTTGTTACAGCATCCCTAACAAAAGACTACAGAAGCCTTCAAGGAGTGGGGAGTATTTGAGGTGGGATTTAAAAGATGGGTAATTTATCAGTAGCCCAAGATGAGAGGAAGGAAATTAGAGGCAGATGGAAGAGTCAGAACAAAGACTGAGAAGTGGGCCAGTATTTGAAATATAAAAAACAGACCGTTTGGCTGGAGGAGAGAGCCCATGTAGGAAAGGAATGGAAGAATAGGCTAGAAGAGGTAGGTCAGATCCGCATATCCTTGAGGGCCATCTGTGGGCAGTGAGGAGTCACTGAAGGCTTTGGAGCAGTGATACAATCAAAGCAGCATTTTGGAGACATTGTCTCACATAGAGCTGTCAGGGAAGGCTGTCTGCTACGTGCTGGAGTCCTTTATAGCTGTCCTTTATAGCTGTCCTTTATGGTAACGTGACTTTGTCTGTCTCCCTGGCATGGCTGACGATACTGCAAGGTGATGGGTGGGAGAGGGTCAGGACTCGCTGCGGCAGAACCATAAGAAAGCATGACTGCCTTACTAAACTTCCAAACTTCCATCCTGCCCTCCCCTCCAAAGACAGGCTTAACAGACTTCTTAACATTATTTGCTTCTTAGTCGAGCAGAGAGTGGACAATGTGAGTGGCAGAATTCAGGAAGTATGCTTGGCTCTGGGCTTCTTTCAAAAGTCCCAGCCAAACCATGAGTGAAGACCTAGGCTTCAGTTCACCTGTGGGTTGATGTGACGTTTCTCATATTGAGGTGTTAAAGTTGAAACAGTGTATTATCTTGCATGCAAGGTAGAAAATAAAGTTCCATTTCTTGCACATCTAAGTTTATGGACAATATTCCCACCTGCTACATTTTTATAAGGAATTTAGAATTTCAGCTTAATTGGGGTTATTCGGGGGTAGTTCTGGGCAGGGACTTGTTTTGGCAAACAGATTTTGTGTCTTTTATTCAAGCAGTTTGTTTTTTTGTTGTTTAGAGCTCAAGGAAATCAAGAAGAAGAGAAGATCCTCTTTAAATTAGAGTTGAAAGCAGAAGGCTCTCCTAGAGGGCCCATGAAATTATTGATATTTAATAAATATTTTTGAATGAAAACAGTAATGGCCATTTCCACAGTTTTTGATAATGCTTGCAGCCAGTGGCATTAGACGAGGTTTCTCAGACATCCATTGTCACTAACTATTCTACAGCCTTGTGACATTTTTTAAATGACTGCCCAGAAAAGGCCCTACCAGGAGAAATTATGATTCAGCAGGTCTGGGATAAGACCTGGCTGTATCTACTTACAAAAAAATTCTAGTGATGACTTTGACATATACTTAGGGCTGAGAAATCACTGACGACATGCAACGTTTTAGACTTTTATAACAGTTCTGAGAGCAAGATTATATTTGATACCAAATAATTTTATACTTTAATCCTTATGATTCTAATTTTAAATGCTTTTTTGGCTTATCTTGGTAAAAGTCATTGCCAATCCAGGATTCATACTAGTGACTTCCAAATGACCACTTCTGGTTTTGGCTGTAAATTAAAGCCTTCTCTTCCTTTTGATTCCTTCAACCTCTAAACAACAAACAAACAAACAACCTGAATAAAAGATATAAAATCTCTTTGCCAAAACAAGTCCTTGCCCAGAACCACCCCAACTAACCCCAATTAAGCCAAAATTCTAAACTCCTTATAAAAATGTAGTAGGTGAGAATATTGTCCATACACTTATGTGTGGAAGAAATGGACATTTATTTTCCTGTAAGTCAATTTCTATTTCAAGCTCCCATTCCAATAGGTGATAAAATCTTAGTTTTAGTCAATAATGAGTATCTTCTACCTATCTCCTAGGGATTGCTGTAAGTTATTGGGAATTTAAATTATAGTAAGTCAAGGAGGTGGGGGTGCACAGGAGGGTGTTCCATCTCATCTGGATTATCATTTTTCCTGTTGGCATCCACTGAAATGTCCTCATTTCCATTTGATCCTTATTGCTATGTCATACCTCACACCCCAGTGCAAGTCTTTGGGTCTCCACTAATTTCCACGCATTTCCAAGACACAAGAGACTGAGCCTGCTCCTCCCACCCTGTCCTGTGCAGGGCTAAACTATGTGGTCACCTCTGGCAAATTTATGTTGACACAAGAGGCAGTCACCTCTACTCTGAGATATTGCTACTCCCCAGGCTTTTCCCAGGAAAGAGAGATGGGTCTCCTCTTTTATCAGGTCTCCAAGGCTCTGTGTGTTTGCAACTGCAGGCTCCCTCTGTTAAGGCCCCCAGCATCTACTCACTCCTTGCTGCTCCTTCCTCTGCTATGGGGAGTATTTCCTAATCTCTGGGGCAGCAAGTCTTGCACTTATACAACCAAGCATCCTCACAGATTTTTCATACTGTTTATGCACAAGCGTCTTTTCAGTTTTCCTTCAAAGGTTAGACTTTTGAAAAATCAGAGAACATGCTTTGATTTTCTCTTTTAGGCACCATCACTTGTTCCCGGACGCAGTAAGGCACTCAGCTGAAAGCGTGTGGATAACACTAAGGAGTAATGGGAATAGAAGGTTAAACCTTCTCTGAAATGCATTTGATTTAGCCTTGGCTGAAATTGTGACCAAAGCTAGAGGATCACAAACTTCAGCACTCAGTTTCATGGCTAATTTTGAAGAATGGGAGACTATTGGCATAGGAATTGGTGAATATGAAGGACTGAGTCAGCCAGAAATTCTTAATATATAATAGTGAAATACAAGAAGATTATTTTAAACACACTAAGAATATAAACAGCAAGATTAGGATGAAGGTCTCTTTTCTTCATGTTTATATTTCTTCTGTTTCTTGTCATAAAATTATTCCCTAACTGGTTTGCAGTAATTTCCTTGGAGAAGTACTGACTTTAAACTTTTATTGTTATCTTCTATGGACTATAAGTTTAATCTTAGAGACATGCTTGCTTGGAATGGGAAATTGCATTTACTCACTGTAAGTTTGTGAAAGGAAATTGAATTTGATAGAATTTTATTGCTGGAAATCAAGTCACTCACCTAAACATGTAATGTACACACCAGCTCTGTGTCCTCTCTAACTTCATTCTGTTATTTTACTCTTACATAAAGGTCTTGACTTCATTTAGTTAAAAAGTATCCAGCCCATCATTTAGCTTTTTCCTTGTAATCGTGTTGGAAAAACTCTGAGATTTAACAGAAATAGTTTTAAAGAACAATATGCATTTAAGTTTTTCTCTACTAGTGAAAAAAAGGAAATACCAAGGACAGGGGGAAAACATTGATTAATACTTCACACTGTTATTCTGCCACAAAAGCTTAAATATCTTTCTAACATGTCTTAGTGGCAAAAACACAACTTCAGAATTGTGCCGTTAATGGGAACATGAAAAAGCCACAGAAAAGCTGAGGAATTAGGACATGGACATAGTCAGTTTCTCAGGTTTAAAGTGCCCAGTTCTGTCTTGGTACTCGGGGTGATACTACTATAGAAGAAACTGGTAAAATCCATTCACATAAATGCATTGGTCATGACCTACTTGTCTCCTCCACTGTTACATAAGATTTATGGAGGCTGAGATTTTGTCTATTTGTTGGATCCCAGGATATCCTATAGAAGCATGGTAGGCAGTCAATTAATATTTGTTAAAATAAAATTTAAAAAAAGAATGAATAGCTTCTCCCAGGAGTCTGGGTAGACTTTCACTCTATATTTTTTAACATGCTGTAGAAAAATGGCAAGTCTTTGTGTGAAGGTGTTAAAGTGGTTGGCATGCCAACATTAACCATGGCTGTCCTTAGAGCAAGAGCCCTTCCCTAGATTCCTGAAACCACACACCTCGTTGGTCTGATACAGGAATTCTATGGAAAGCTCGCTTTGTGTCTGCACATTTTTTAGTAGGTGAGCTGCATCCCTCTGTCTAGTGGGACACACTTGCATATTCACAAATGGGTATTTTCCTGCGAGTAGTTTACGTAGTTTTGTCATATGAATGGTTAGTGAATTATGTGGATGAGGCCTGGAGGAAAAGGAGAAAGAAAACATCCAAACCACTTTCACTTGGCAGTATATCTCCACAAGGTAACACATCTGCCGGGGCTTGAAGAAGGTGGAGACACAGCTGTGTTGGGTCACTGTGAAAGGACATGATTCTACCTTCATGTCTTCATGTCCTTCCTTCCATTACCCTATCATTGCTCCTGAGCCTCTCTGGCCTAATTCTGAACTGACAAGTTTAAAATTTATTCTTTATATTTTTAAATGTTTAAGACGTATGCAAAGAATAAAAGTAACTCTACCCTCCCTTTTCATTGTACTGCAGCTCAGAAACTAGGTAGTAAAGCTTAATGTTTAGGTCAGGAACCAGGGGACACAAGCACACACCTGTACATGTGCATTGTTTCGTGTTTAGTAAAATATTGAAACTAAATTAACACTGATAATTTAAAATGGCCTAAGTGTAAAATTTAACATTCTTTCAAGACTAAGAAGCTGAGCTTCATAATCTTTACTTTTTGTTCTGTTTTGTTTTTTAGTATAAAAGCTAATTACAATTTGGTTTGAACGTTAAAGTTTTTTTTAATGTACTGCATCTACAGCACATTTTAAAATTTATGATGAAAGAACTTTGGTTCATAATCATCATCATATGTTTTTATAATTCATTATAACTTGTTATTCAATTTACTTTTCAATGATCAAAAAGTTTTCATTAGCAGCATGTTGACTACCATAAACATACCTTAAATGTACAAAGTTATCTGGTCTCATCCAGCTCTCGCTGTATCAAGTACATTTTTTAAGTGAGTAGAAGTGCGATGCCAAAAAGTCTTGTTTGTGAACAAGCAAATCTAGTTCACAAAATTTTCATGGAATTTTTCACATGGAATTTTTCACAAAAATTTCATGGAAGATTTTGCAAGTTGGTATTTTGTTTTGGGATGGAAATCAGCATTGTTGAAATTGAAATGTAAATATTGAGTAATATTTTATTTTCGATGTTCCCTTCTTTCCCCAGGATATTCCAACCTCAGTTATTCAAAGACTCCATCACCAGAGAGAAAGTCAGATTGTCACTTTGGGGAGTCCTCTGCCCTGTATATATCCCATATTCTTTCAGATAAGTGAAATTAGCATGCCTGGGTATTACAGTTGTTTATGCCATACTACTATAAATACTTCTAAGAGAAGATTTATCTTGACTTAAGACTTGGAATTTTGTTAAATTAATGCACAAATGTATATGACCATAACTTAACGATGATTTGTATATTAGCTGAGTCAAGTGGCATACATAAAAGCAATGAAGGTTTCTTGGACATTCTACACTGAAATGTTTAGAATGTTTAAAAAATTTATCTTTCTATTTTCCAATAGTGTGGTAAATGTAAAGTGCTTAGCACTTTGCGTGACACATGGTAGGGCCTCAAAAAATATTAGCTATTATCATTATAAACCACAGAGGCCCTGTTATGTGGCAGTTTGTATCTCTCTCTTGACTAATAGAAGCACTTTGCAGATGATATGTCACACAATCTAGAAAGGTAGTGCTTAAAGGAATAGACTTATCTCCTTATTTTACAAATGAGGACATTGAGGCCCTAGGAAGTTAAATGACTTAGACAAAATCACAAAGGTAAAGTGGAAAGCCCAGGAGAAATCCCCTGGCCTTCAGCCTGCTGTGATTTCTACCAACTATAGATTAGAACTTTTCAGACAAGTGGCACCTGCAAGTGTCTTCGAGCAAGGCCTCAACCTCCAGCACAGCTCTTGCCACCTACAAACACCAGGGAAGAGCAAGATTGAGTTACATGGCTTGGAAGAAGAGTGAAACACCTCGCAAGACCCAGAGAAAACTCCACATCCATTTGCAGCTAATTTTAAAGCCCAAATAAAAGCACAATCTTTGGAATCACTCTATCTTTGGTCAGGCAAATGTTTAAAGAGCAATATTATATACATCTAGGGTAAGAACAATTCATTAATTTAGATGAATGAATTGTCAAAAGGTTGTTTTGCCTGTAAATGTGAGTAAATTGAATATCAAGTCATCATGAAATGTAAACACGAGATAATGTTCCTGTTTCATTTTCCTTTTTCCCGAAAACATGGGTAACAGATTTTTACGTCCAGCATTACTTTTGGAAAAAAATTAAAGTATGCAGTGCTTCTTATGAAGAAAGTTATTTCCCTCACTTGATAGGAAATCTGATCCAGAGAAATGAGGGGCTGTGGAGATTATGTCCTGAATCTGGAGTTCATGATGAAAAAATATAAGTCAGTTTAAGTTCTGGATAATTGATAGTCTATTTTTAGATCAACATCTCTTGAGAATATTCTTTAACACCAAGGGAAATTAAAATGAAATATTGTCTTTGCTCTTTTAGAGCTTTTCTTTTCAAGAAAAGAAAGGGGATTTAGAGCTTCTCTTTTCAAAATATGCAATTGGTCCTAACCTGACTCCTCAATTCAGCAGCCTTAAATTGAGATAGAGTCTAGCAGGTGACCAGCAAAGCGTTTCTCTGACATCTCAGGGGTCAGTAACACCGCTAAGGAATTTAGATGTAAAGTTCAGAAAGCTTTGGACAGGGCATGGTTGGAAGAACATGGGAAAGAGGGCTTTTGAGCGTTTTGACTTTTTAATTATCCTTATTTTGAAATTAGAACCACATGGATGGTAGTTTAGAATGATTTACCTTGATTTTTAGATAAGATTTGTTTAAAAACGGAAATCAATTTACTTCTGCTCAACAAACTTCCAAGTGCTTCCATTTGTATAGCAATTTGATTATGAAATAGCATGGGATGAATGAATTCCTAGGTGGAATTTCTTGAAAATAATGGATAAAAACCTCCAACAGTCCACTAATGCCAGGAGATGCTACAATAATTGGTAAATATCTTGTCTGATGCCCTGTAATGACTGAGAGCAAATCACCAAGGTCTTCTGTTAATTTTTGTTTCCCAAACTATTGACAGACAAGAGAATCATATGTTTCCTATTGTTTTCCACATTTTTAAAAACCTTTTTTGTATAATTGTAAAAATAATGATTGTCACAAAAACTAGCAGAATAACTCTGGGATTTTATTTTATATTTTAAGAGACTATCCTAGATTTCCTAGACTCTATCATATTCCAATTTCTGCCACCTACATTATACTTGGGAGGTCTCATTATTGCAAAAATGACTGTTGGGTTTTCTTTGAATTTGGTTTATATGAATCTTTCTAGTCAATTCTTTTGACTACAGATATTAAAAGCCTTCTATATTATCAGGAAATGGAAAGCCAATGTTTTATTTTAAGTTTAATCTTTTTTTGTTGTTAGCACTACTTACAAATGGATTATTATTTCTTGGACTACCTTTCAACCTATTTCTTAACAGTTAACACGAAATGTTTATGAAATGTTGCTGATGCTTTTTCTAAGCCAGATTGCTGATTCAGCAGCTTCCCCTTTCATACACCACTTTTGGGTCCTTAAACAAAACAACACAAAATAAAAACTATTAACAGCTCTGAGAAAGATGACATTACAATCAACACCACTGATCATTAAAATGAGCCTAGCCTGAAGTAGTAATGAAATTTTCCAAATAGTGTACATTTGCAGTAGAGGATAGAAGTGGCCTTAATTTTCAGTCAGCAGACAACTACCAAGGGCTTGTCATTCACAAGGGACTGGAAATAAGAACATGTCATTGCTTATGAGCATCTCAAAGTGGGGCCTATAAAGTGAGGGACCTGCAACACACTTTCATGGAAAATGCAGATTCATGGCCTCCACCCAGACCTATTGAATCTGAACATCTAGGGGAAAGCCCAAGAACCTGAATTTAGCCATAGTCATATGAATTACAGTTTTAAAATGGTTAAGCTAGACGTTCATATTCTTTAGATTGGGAGACAGACTTGTGGGAAAATAATAGAAATCTTTTAAAGCCAGGAAGATGAACTAGGCTATAATGAAATTCCAAAAGTGTTTTTTGACAGAATGGGTCAAGAAGGAGCATGGTTCTACACAATCTCCTCCTGGGGAGCACTGAAAGATGAGACTTTATCAAGAGTGTAAGCACGTTATCATATAGTGAATATTCAGCAGCATCTGAGAAGTTGAGTATTTGTAGCCCAAGGAGGAAAGCCAATTTCCAAAATCATCCCAGCCGGAATACTTACAGCATCTTCCGCCCACGCAGTTTTCCTTTCTGTCAGTGACACCATCAACCTGCTGCCTCAAGGCTAAATTCATACAACCAAAATCTCCCTCCTTCCGAGCCAAAACCTATGGAAATAAGAGTGTGGGAGAGTTGGAAAAGTAAGACAGCTGATTGTGTATAATTTAGGCCCAGAGGCCGCATGGTATAGGCAGATAGAAACTTGATTTACTGGCCAGGCATGATGGCTCTCTTCTGTGATCCCAGTATTTTGGTAGGCTAAGGTGGGGGGATCGCTTGAGGCCAGGAGTTCAAGACCAGCTTGTGCGATATAGTGAGATCCCCCATCTCTACAAATACACACGAGCACACACACACATAAATTAGCCAGGCATTCATGGTGGTGCATTCCTGAAGGAGGCTCAGGTGGGAGGATCTCTTGAGCTCAGGAGTTCAAGATTGCAGTGAGCTATGATCCTGCTACTGCACTCCAGCCCATGTGACAGAGCAAGACACTGCACATCCGCCCCCACGCCCTGCCAAAAAAAAAAAAAAAAAGAGAGAGAGAAAAAGAAAAACCTGATTTATTGATCCAGTAGTAGCTGTGTGAGCATTGGTGCAATAATTCCTTCCGGGCTTCAGCTTCATCTCCTGTAAATCCTCGATGATTGCAGGATTTCAGATCTGCCTGATTTGATCTGTGAGCGTCAGTGTCTTATCTAATTGCATGGTTGTTAGAAAAACAAAGTCTAGAATCTCACAGGCCTCAAGCCAGCCTTGTAATATACTCAGGAACTGAAATCAGCATCAGCTTCTCCTTCTCCTGATGGCATGTTGTTAAGAGAACAAGCTTAGAATCAGGTAATCCACAGTGTCAGCCCAGCTCTGTCACTCACAAGGTCTGTAATCTGGAGCACACTTCTCCCAACCTCAGTTTCTTCGTCATTTAAGTTGGTATAATAATATCCACCTCACAGTGCTGGATAAAGTACTAAATAATGTTTGTAACATGTCAGCTCCATACCTGACATATAGGAAGGGCTCGATGATAGTAGTTACTATTATTTTTTAAAACTGCAGAATCAAATTTTCAAAAGACTGCAGACACTTAGTTCTTTCACTGTGAACTCCTGTCTTTCATCTCAGAGAAGTGCCATGTTAGAAGAGAAAGGCCACCATTGATGTCAATATCAATGTTTTAAAAACTTACTGTGTAATGCACTGCAGTGACATACCTAGCATATTTGATGCCTGGAGTGGATCATTTTTTAACATCCCTTCCTCTCTATGATAAAATTATTTTCAGTAATTATCACATAAGAATTAGTAATAATCATTATTTTCTCAAATTGTTCCTTCGTTTTAAAAACAAATAATTAACAATTTTATTAGAAAAGCAAAGTTCAATTTTAAATATATTCAAATTCAGTAAAACATTTCATGTACGAACTAAAATTTGCGCTTGCCAAACTAAAATATTATACCTTGAAGTTCAGAGTTTCCTTCTTCTAAATTTGAAACATAAAACCTCTGAGTGATTACACAGAAATGACAGAATTGGTGTAAATCAAGATCTTTGTGTCCTTGTTTCTACAATCACTGAGCTACCATCATTTTTGAATCTACCATTTAAACACAGGAAGAGATGATACCACCAGGGCTGGAGACAAAACCTTCAGGGGAACCAATAGGTCCATCAATTTCGAACCATTATACACTTGCTTTATACAAAACTCCTGAGGCTGAGTCCACTTCTGCTGAGGAGTGGAGTGGGGAAGGCACCTTGAATAACTGGGCATTCTTCAAATTGACTTCCTTAATAAAGAATACAATGTTTATTAAAGGATAAGTAATTAAAAACCAGGAGAATACATAGCTTACATATATTCTATTAAAACTCAATAGTAACCACAACAGTTCCCTGGAATTTAAACCAACAAGAGATTTTGGGGATAAAGTAATTTGATCACTGACATTGTTTAGAATTGTTGGCTTATGTTGATAATGAAAAGCAAATCAACCTTTTTTTTTTGAGACAGTGTCTCACTCTGTCACCCAGGCTAGAGTGCAGTGGCACGATCACAATTCACTGCAGCCTCCATCTCCTGTGCTCAAGCCATTCTTCCACCTCAGCCTCCCATATAGCTAGGACCACAGTCATGCACCATCACACCTGGATAATTTTTTAAAATTTCTGTAGAGATGGGGGTCTTGCAGTGTTGCCCAGGCTGGTCTTGAACTTCTGGGCTCAAACAAGCCTCATGCCTCGGGCTCCCAAAGTATTGGGATTACAGGTGTGAGATATTGCGCCTGGCTGCAAATAAACTTTTAGTCAGCTTTCCTATTGCTTTTAAATTCTTTACAGACAAAACACCTCTTACTTCCTACACCTGGTGCATCCTCCCTCTGTCCTGCCCTTGGCATTCTACCATTCCAGTTATTTCCTTCACCTGTGAATTTCCAGAATCTTCTGAATTCCCCACACCTAGTATAGCCCTTTCTACATAGTAGGTACTTAATGACTATTTGTTGAATTATGAATGCCAGCCATGCTACATTTTCTCATGCTCATTATTTTTAAAATGTCCAAGGGCAAGGATTTTTATCTGCATTTTACAATCAGTCTTTGAGATATTATATAACATGTCCAAATTCACACAGCTCATTAGTAGCAGAGCTGGGATTCGAACCGAGGTCTCTCTGGCTCATGTGCATTGAGCACACGTCCATGTACACAGCTTCTCATCTGTGCCATACTGCGCTGACACTTTTGACTACTGACTTCAGAATTTATAATGCATAATTAAAGAAGTACCCTTTGTGGGTACTATTCAAGCTTGTTTGCATCCTAAATGCAAGTTGGAAAAATATTTGGCACCAGTGACTGTCACATTCATTAGGCAACTTAAACCCATCTGCAGCTCTATTGATATTCATCAGCCCTGCTAAATCATTTACACCATCAGGAAATTAGTCTAGAATGACACTCCCTTTCAGAAAAAGGAACCAGGAAAATCCAGAGAGGCAAGAAGCTGAACCCTGATGGGAGGCGAATAATAGCAGGTAACTGCTCCAGGCCCCACTGCCAGGGGAACAAGGGAGTCGCTGTCATCCATAGGTTGGAGAAATAAAAACCCAGCCACAGTGGGATTTTCATTCATATGGCAACACAATCCAGTGCTTGGCAAGTCACTGAGCCTGCACAGCCAACCATCTGTTTCAAAGCCTCCTGCATTTTCCCATTCATGTAGCCATTTAATCTGCCCTTGGCAGGATTGAAAATAAAATTCGGGAGACTCGCTGAGAAATGCATGCCTCAGAGAAGCCCTGACTCAGATAAACCCAGACCTAGCACACCCTGGCCACTGCAGGAAGCTGCACAAAGTCCCTTCCAGCTCAGGGATCTTTTTCTAATCAGAAATTATCCCACACGCTGTCACCAGGGGGAGCCCCCACAGGAAGCTGCTGGCCTGCAAGAGCACTGCGGAGGGGCTCGGAGGACCTCAGAGCTTCTGACTCAGCCACCTTTGCTGTTGCAAAGGTTGAGACCAGGAGGGAGATTTGGGCCTTTTCCTTTTTCAGCTAGACGTGGCACGAATATGGGGAAATGAACAGTTGAGTTATCTTACCATATCTTCTATTTAAGGGCTCGGGAGTTAAGGGAACACCAGGTTGCAAATGTATTTTATAATGTCCACTTATAGACCAGACATCTTTTATTTTAAAAACTTTTTTTTTTAAAAAGTAAAAATTTGTCTAGAAATGCTCAGTCCCATGAAATGTCCTTGTGGCAGAGCTCAAATATGCATCCTACATAATTATAAATTAAAGGATTTGACGTTTTATAAATTCTCTGAAGTCAGTGGGTCCAGACCCAGAGGAGCATCCAAATGACCCAAGAACCTTTAAAAAACATAGGTGTGACTCAGCTGATATGAGTGGATGTCCAGGCAACTGTATTAGAAACTGATTTCAGAACAACTGCTTGAAAAGAGGCTCCATAACCCTATTTTATCTGCCTAAACCAGCAAGGGCTCTGAATTTCAGTTTGATGATGCCAAATAAAAGAGTTACTTGGTTCTTCTAAATAGACTTCTACCCCGGAATCTGTATTTCCCAGACTTGCTCGCTTTTACAGATTGTCTGGGAATTGGTTCTCAAACTTGACTGCACATCAACATCATCTACAGCTCCTTAAAAAGCCCCAGTGCCTAGGTGCCGCCCCCAGTGACTCTGATTTTATAGGTCTGCAATGGGACCTGGACATCAGGATATTTTAAAGCCCCACTGGCGGCTGTAATGTGCAGCACAATTTGAGAACCATTAATGGAGGGGGCTGTCAGAAGCACAGATGTCCAGGCCCCAAGCTAGACCCACGGAATCGGTGTCTTTAAAGAGGATCCAGGGTAACTGAATTTTTACCATGCATTACAAGTAGGCATTATGATCTGGCAAGTCTATGAACCAAAAGAAGCTCACATTTCTTTTTTGCAGGAGACCGTAGTCCTTCCCTGTCCCTGCAGTAGTGAGAGCAGTCATTTTGATAGAGCTGCGGTAGAGGAGGCCTGTGGCTGGTCTGGGGCCAACCTTGGGCTCCCACCCTCCCTCCTTCTGCCAACCATCTACACACATGTGGATGTTTCTATAAATCACTTCTGATCTGTGGTTCGTATTCAGGAAGTGTTCTGACTGCTTACCCATGTAATGATGGAGTGGAGGAAAGGTCTAATTTTGGAACAACAGTGGCTTAGGCAGCACCGTGTTCCCTGCAAGTTGAATTTCCTAAACACAGTCGCTCCACCACTCTGGCGGCTGCTCACCACAATTACACAGGCAGTTTAAGGCACTCTATCCATCACAGCAAATTACTGGCATGATCCACTCAAGAATCAGGCTGGACAGCCTTGCTGATGGCAATCTTTGCAGAACCTTCTTGATAACCAAGAGGAAGGCAAGGTGGGAGAGAGAGCTTTGCAGGTCAAGGCCATTGAATCAATTAACAAGAGCTCGCCCGATTCCAGCATGGCTTCCAATCTGACCGGGGAGACAAGATTTGTGAAAGCTGTTAGTACAGACAGCATCATACAAGAGTGTGAGTTCTTACCGCCTGGGTTTCACAGGTACAATAAAACCAGGGAAGGAAATTAACTTTTGTGGGATGTCTTACATAGTGCTAGGCTCTAACGTACATTGTTTTATGTAATTCACTCAACAGCCCCAGGATGCATCATTACTCTCATTTTGCAGATGAGGAAACTGAGGATCATTTTATCCAGATCACTCAGGTACATGGAGGCAGAGAGACACTTTCTCTGGGCCCCAAACCATTCCCCTTCCCGGTGGCTTAGGCCAGTTGAAACCCTACAGACGTTGGCCTCTGTTTCTTCAGAGATCAGCTCCCGGGGAGCCTGGGAAGCCAGGCAGGGAAGTCCGCTTTGACAGTAATAACTTGAGAAGGAGCTGCTGTGCTACTTCTCTGCAGGGCAGGACCAGGAAATGGAACTCCACTCCCCTGCCATGAACACAGAACACTGGCTCTTCTTGTCTGAAGCTCCTGGTTTGGTAAACTGGTAAGAAGATGCTCGTGCTGAACCCTTGTAACAGGAGTATCTTCCAAGCTAGAAAGGGCCTTCTCTTTCTGTTGCTGGGGTCTTTACAAATCTCAGCAAACAATGTCTTAAGACTCCTGACCTCATCCTTGGGTTCCTGGGTCTGTATTTTCTGGTAAGCACCCTATGATTTTAACCTTTGGTGATTCGTGGGTGCTGAGGTGGCTGAGGAAACTGTAGTGAGATAAAAGACATAGAGCTTTGTTTTAGGTTGGGCTCCCCAGAGGCCCACCATGAATCATGTATCTGGGCGTGGGGAGTTTAGGAAGCAATGCAAGGAGTATTGGTAAGAGAAGTTAGAAAGTGAGACAGAGAAGGGAAGAAAGAGAAGCCTATAAAGGGTACGTTCATTGTTAGGCAGTTTCCACTGTGGACAATTGGGGCTCAGTCCCACTGTGGACCTGGAGAAGACAGTGTAGATTATTGTATACACCTCTGATTTATCCCCATCCTTACCCAGGGGTGTGAGAGCTGTGGTATTGATCCTCCAATTCCCACCCATCATTGACTGAGGGCTGTTCCTGGGGAAAGGGAAACTAACTCCCTCTATGACATAAGCTCCAAGGACTAAGAGGCAACTCTCAGGCTGTTAGTGGGTCCTGACCACTAAATGAATAGTAGGAGGGACACAGCCAGGGCCTGAATCTACTCCAGGTTGGAGATGCTTATGCCATTCAGTGGCTCTGATGACACTGCCTTGAGGACATCTGGGCTCAAGGATAGCAAGGCTTAGACAGGGGTTGGCTGAGCAGAAGGAGGACAAGTAGCCACCGTCAGATCTGGCCCAGGCCTCAGACTCTGAAGGGGCCAAGGGGTCATTTGAAGGGGGCAGAAACTCACCCTATGCTTAGGGTTGACAGATAAAATACAGGCTGCCCAATTAAATCTGAATTTCAGATGAACAATGAGTGATTTTTAATTATAAGAACAGTGCACGCAATTATATGCTGTTCATCTGAAATTCAGATTTCATTGAGTATTCCATATTTTTATTTGTTAAGTCTGGCAATGCTACCTGTGCCCCCTCTCTGAGTTGGGAGTGGGTGTGGGCAGAGGCCACTCTGGTCTCTGGCATGCCAGAGTTTTTGACACAAAGCAGAGGGTAGAAGGCCGAAGGCAGCCTGAGTACATCTCCTCAGTTAGGTAAGGAGGGGCTGTGGCTGTGCAAAGGGAAGGGAATGAGGCTTCAAATAAGGAAAAATGTTGACCTTTGGAAATAGAGTTGCACAATCTACAAATAGCCTCTGGAGTTCGTGGTGTTGCTAATGGTTCTTTTTGGAATTCATATTTAACTGACACTTCTTGGATACCTACCATGTACAACCTTCTTCCTGATCACCGTGTCACTTCATCTTCATGACCGCTCTTGTTTATCCTTGAGGACAATGAAGTCTTTCAGAAGACAGCATTGTCCAAAGTGAACACATGAGCAGTTGAAACCCAATTTCTGGCCCCAAGTCCCAGGATCCTTTCTGTTGTAGCACAGCTGCTTCTAATGAGGGATGTCTGACCCCAAGTCCCATGTCCAACACTGCCATCGCTTGTTTATATCAAGTATAAGGCAGAGGCTTGGCTCAATCAGTATGATTTTTGGTCCATATGCAAATCTGATTTACGGTCAGTTTTTAGCTCACCAATGGATTGCCATCTAGGCCATTCCACAAATACAGAATACACCTGAACTGTATTCCTCATATTAATAAACAACACACATTTCTTTGAAAATATTGTCTCTGTGAGAAAACACACCCTGCATTTGAACTGAGAATGCAGGACCAACTCGCTCCTTGCATGAACCCTGTAAAAATGAAACTTTCTCCTTCCACAAAGTCAATCCAACCACCAATTCTTACAGGAAAGGGCTGAGGCTGTGGGGCCACTCCAGGTAAAGACTCTAGCCGGTGGGCTGGAGGATGAGATGCTTCCTCCTGGAGGTTGATATGATTTGGCTGTGTCCTCACCCAAATCTCATCTTGAATTGTAGTTCCCACAATCCCCATGTGTTGTGGAAGAGACCCAGTGGGAGGTAATTTAATAACGGGGGCGGTTACCCTTATGCTGCTCTTGTGATAGTGAATGCGTTCTCATGAGATTTGATGGTTTTATAAAGGGGGACTTTTCTCCCTTTTGCTCGCCACTTCTCCTTCCTGTCACAATGTGAAGGCTGTGTTTGCTTCCCCTTCTGCCATGATTGTAAGTTTCCTGAGGCCTCCCAAGCCATACTGAACTGTGAGTCAATTAAACCTCTTTCCTTTATAAATTACCCAGTCTTGGATATGTCTTTATTAGCAGCATGAGAACGGAGTAATATAGAGGTGGAGGCCCCAAGCATGAGGGGTTAGGAGGCAGTGGCAGAGGCAGGAGAGTTGGAGTCTCCAGACATGGCGCCTGTGTCATGAGAAGAGCTGGGGAAACCACAGAGAGGAGGAAGTCATCGCTGTGGGCTTTGGTCTTGAAACCTGGAAACTTCAGAGGCAAAAGAGGAAAAAGGAGGGAGGGCTGAGACAGATGAGGGGCTCCCTAGTGGCAGTTGCTCTGGCTAAGAGCAGAGAGACAGACATTTCTAGAAAGAAAAGAGGGGGCCAGTGGCCCTAGGGCAGTCCCCTGCATGTGCAGCAGCCCGACTCTGTGAAGATGTGGGCATGTTGGTTAGGAGAAGCAGCAGCCATTTTTATGGTTCATCCCCACTCTAGTGTTATTCACCTGGAAATTTCCAATGACTCGCTGTACTTCATACTGAGAGTTGTTCCTGAATCCTGGATAAACTGATGAGCTCAAGGAGCCTTGATGTCAAAAAAATTTTGCAACCATTCTTATGACCCTAAACTAAATTCTGAAATTAACCAACCAGTCAATGATGCAGTGCCTAATGGGGACAGGGGCAGCCCTGTGTCAGGTATTGATGAATTCAGAGAGTCACTTTATATCAGAGAAGCATGAGTCATGAGCTCAGCCTTCCAAGAAGGTCTGCGAAGGGGGAGCTCAGGGAGGGTGAATGTAATTATCTAATGCAATGGCAGCCTCAATAAAGGATGGCAGGGGGACGAACAATAAAAGGAAAGTACTGGAGCATCTGATTAGGACCCCAAATATTAAAAACAACAGGGAGGATTCTCAAGAGAGTAGAGACAAAGCTTCCTTCTGGGGCGATATGAAGCAAATAGCCCCTATTCCTCTCTCTCACTCTCTTCTGAAAACTCATGAACCCACCACAAAAGAAGCCTTGCGGAACTTTAAATCCAAAATCAGATTTGCACAAAGGACAGACACTGGCTTAAAGTCATGGGATGAAGGGGCCAGAAATTTGGCTTTGATAAGTTAGGTAAAATATTTATCCTGAAGGAAAAAAATACCACCAGATGTCTTTCCTTCTAGAGAGTAATCCAGGTAAGGCTGGTGACAGCTTCTTATTCCATAATGGCATCCCAGAGGGAAAAAGGAAAATGAAAGGAAGCTCTTTTAATCTTGGCATCATCTCAGATCTGATACTTGGAAAACAGGTTTATTTTAAAAAGCAGATCAGCAGCCCCAAAGGAGCATGCATAACAGGAGCCTCCAGCTTTGTTTGGGGCCCAGCTGTTCTTGGGCAGACTGACATGGCTTCTCTTCTGCCAGTGTCAGGCCAAGAATACGCTCCTTCCCCTCTGGTGCTACAAAGAGCAACAATGCACCCCGAGGGACAGAAGAATCAGCCAACAGGGCAGGAGTCTCTATCTCCCCAGCTATTACTTAGGCCTGTTGAGGGCTCAGAGGGTAGATCCCACTTCCAGTACAGCACAGGCCAGGAAGCTAAAGGCCTGCTGCAAAGTCAGATGGGAAGAACTGCAGGACATTCTCCCCACTGCTTCACCTGTGGGGTCAGGCAGGACCACAGATCTTTGGCAAACAATGTGGGCTGTGGAAGGCCCGTGACTATCTTGTGGAAGGGTGAATTTGAATCACCCTTGCAGAAAGGCAGAAATGAGTTCTTTGCTAGTGAGTGGGCCTAGCTGGCTGCCCAGCAGTGTTCTTGCTTCCGTGGAGGGTGGGCTATATCTGAATGTATGTTTAGACACATACCATGTTCTGAGAAAGTGTGCCTCAGGGACTGTCTACTCCAACATTCCCTACAGATTCTAAGACTGAGCCCTGGTCCCAACATCTTAGAAGGGGCCAGTTAAGGGGCGACAGAAACCTGTTGTCAGTCCCTGAAAAAACTCCACATAGTCATGTAAGTGTAACAAGACAGAGATTTTTTTAAACGGTTTCTTTATTTGATAAAGATGTTCATGATGATCATTGTCCTTGAAAATAAATTTCCAAAGAGTCATGGGGCTTATTTTCTCTGTAGTTTAGCATCAAGCAGAGAGAAAAGGCATCGGACCAATAGCTACCCTCTGGGAGCTGACCTGTGCCACCCAGTTGCCAGGAAACCTGCGCCATCCAGACTCACTTGTGCTGAGGACAGCTCCTGGCACGGTGGCACCCCATCCTCACCATTCATATTTTTCTTTCCCACAGTCCCAAATCTGTTCTAGTTAATCAGTGAGGAAAACAGTTTGGGAATAAAACTAAAATGGACATGACTATGCCTGGCCCTCGCCTTTTCTAAGACTGGAAAAGAGTTTTAGATGGCAAGAGGACCCCATCATTGCGCAGACGAGGAAAGGAAAAGGAGGGAGGTGAGATGGCTCACCCAGTGGCACCGCAGGGGTCAGCAGAGCCTGGGAGCCCAGCACTTCATTCCCAGCTCCATCCAGTGGCCACTGCCATACCACGAGGTGCTGCAGGTTTCTTATTTGATTGTATTGAACAAAAACCAGGGTGGGGGTGAGGAGGTAAACACTGACTGTCACATTTTAGGCCTAGAATCCCTACATTCTATATTAGCAGAAGGAACTAAAACTGTTTCCCAAGTAAAAATTAACCAATACACAGATGTGAATATGGATGATGTCTTAGCCTGTTTTGTGTGCTATGAGTATCGCAGACCAGGTAATTTATAACAGACAGAAATTTACTTCCCACAGTTCTGGAGGTTGGAGGGTCCAAGATCAAGGCACCATCAGGTTTGGTGTCTGGTGGAGGCTGTATCCTTTGGAAGGGGGCTAGCAGAAGACCAAGCAAATGAGCCTGCGTGCAGAGGCACTTTTATAAGGGCCTTGATCCCATTCACCAGGAGAAGCCCTCATGCCCCAATCACTTAAGGCCTCATATCTTTATATTATCACACTGCAACACTTGAATTTTGGAGGGGACACATTCAAATCATAGCCAATATTTTGGCTGTGTTTCCTACCCCCACGCCATTCATGAGCCAAGTTAGAATCATTGAGCTTCTGCCCAACCATTGTGATGGATCCTCTCAAAAGACTCCTGCCTGTAATCCCACCACTTTAGGAGGCCAAACTCGGCAGATGGATCATCTGAGGTCAGGAGATCGAGACCATCCTGGCAAACATGGCGAAACCCCGTCTCTACTAAAAATACAAAAATTAGCTGGCCATGGTGGCAGGTGCTTGTAATCCCAGCTACTTGAGAGGCTGAGGCAGGAGAATCTCTTGAACCTAGGAAGTGGAGGTTGCATTGAGCCGAGATCGTGCCATTGCACTCCAGGCTGGGTGACGACAGCGAAACTCCATCTCAAAACAAACAAACAAACAAACAAACAACAACAAAAAACAAAAAAAACCTCACCTCCCTCTCTCACAGCTCTTGTCTCCTTTTGGGCCTAAGGAAAACACCAGTTCCACAGGAGAGGATGAAGGTAAATGGGAGGTGAGACGGCTCTGGAACTGGCCTCCTATGAAGCCACAGTAGCTTAATTCCCTCACGAAGAGACTTCTTCAGCCAACCACGTCTCAGGCTGCACCCACCAATCACAATCCCAGAAAGAAGAGGCAAGGGAGTCTCTGAGACAGGCTGTCCTCAGACCAGGAGCTGAGGTCAGTGGTGCTCTGCAAACTTTCATCCGAACTTTGTCTCAGCCTTCCTTTTAAGCTCCAGGAAAGACTAGAAGTCACAATCTTAGAGGAAATGGACTTGGGTTTTCATTAAATTTCTCCTGTATGGGGCATTGGGCAATGGGCATGTGAGTTCAGCTTCTGACAATGGTGATTCCCATTGCTCTGTTTGAATAGAAGCCACACTTCAGAGGAGAAAGAACAGGGAGTAACGGTGTCTGGATTTCTGAGTCACCCTGGTCAGGATACACCAGGTCAAAGTGCTTACCTTTCAGTCGTTTGGATGATTTACTGCTACCTGACTGGTCTCCCTTGCCTTGATTTTTCCCTGTCTATGTTTACTTTACTCAGAGGAAATACCTATCTCCTTATCTTACCCTAATCAATAGATGTCTTTGGTGGGTCTCCACTGCTTATCCATTCAAACTCCTCACCTCAGAGTTGCAGGTCCTTCATCACACTGGCTCACCGCTCCCTTCACAGGCCTGCTTTCCTGCCAAGCCACATTTCTAAGAGTTCCCTAAACTCAACCTCTCTCTTTCAGCTTTTCCACCCATTGACTTTATTTCAGAATAATTCCCTCACCCAGAGCACCACACTGCTCTTGCTACAAACCTCTCTATCTGCCCAATTCCAGCCATCAAAGCTTACCCCTAATGTCACCCAAAGTCTAACACGGTCATTATCTCAATGGTGATGATGAGGAGAAGGATGTTGGTGCATAGCATGTATTATTATGTACCAGGCCACATGTTAAGTGTATGGGTCTTTTCCTCAAAACAACCCTACAACATAGGTGGTGTTATTATCTCCATTTGACAATGGAAAAGAAACAACCAATGCACAAAGAGGTGACATGACGCTTCACTCCACCATGGATTGTAGTAAGTCATACCACTTTGCATCTTTCCTTCTAAGGGAGCATGAGTGGGGCCCTAGGCCTCTTCTTTCCCACCCCCTGCCTACTGCAGTGCCTGACACATGGTACCTACTGAGTATATTGGGGTCATTTCAGAAGAGCACAAGAATTCAGCTGCTTATTGTGTTTTCTGGCAATTGGCTATTCTCTCATTTGGTGACTTAGTTTTATATTTCATAGATCAATTCTAGGGTGGACAGAGGAGAGTCGTCTGCCACAGGAGAAGGAAGCATCATGTAGGTTCCTGATGGAGACAGGGAGGAAGGCGGGGGGAATCCTTTCTTCTTCTTTGGGATGGGGGCAGTCACTCCATGTGGCCATCTGTGACCCAGGGCAGCGTATCACTGAATGGCTCCAGTTCTTCAAGCCTGGACAGGATTGGCCATAGTTCTTATGGGAGTGAATGGGTAGGGGAGGGTTAAGAGGAATAAAACAAAAGGTTTGGAACTGGTAACTTTGGTGTATATGTGCATGCGTGCATGCGTGTGTGTGTGTGTGTGTGTGTGTGCTGTGTCACAGAATGAACACTAGAGACTCAGGGCTGATTAACTTCACCAATCATACCCCAGAGAGGGGAAAAGCCAATCTCTCTGTGCCCCAGTGCTTTTGTCTATGGTGGGGGGTACAGGGGGTCATGGCTTCCCATGTGGAGCCCAGGCTTCCTGTCCCAGCTGGCAGTGGAATCTGCATTTCCAAGATCACAGAGACCCAGGCTCAAGCTTGGTGTTGCCACTTATAAGTCAAGTGCCCTCTGGCAAGGAACTCACTCGTTCTGAGCCTCAGTTTGCACCTGTGTTAACACTGGGTAACATACCTGTATTTCAGGGTTGGTGTCAGGGCTGGATGAGACAGCATACACAGACCATGGGCATGAGGCCCAGGCTGGGGCTCAGTGAAGAAGAAGGTGGAGTTTCATCTCAGGCTCCCGCAGTCCATGTGAACCCACGTGGACACTGCTCTATGCATATGTGGTGCTTCTCTGCTATGAAGGCCTCAGCCCCTGGGCCCCCTCAGGCCCAGCTTTCCCCAGCAAGTGTTTCTTCTGCTTCAGGAGAAGCCTGCCTTCAGGGGGGCCAAAGCCACATTGTATGCCCACTGGGTTGTCCTTTGCACGGCTTTAAGAAGCAGGATTCTACTCTGTTTCTGATATCCCATAATAAGAAATGATATATTTTGATACTTCTTTGATTTAATGGGTCTTTAGTATGCATGAGCTAGAATTTTGGAGACCATGACTATAATTTGGGGCTTGTAGGTAAGTACAGGTCGGAGGCTGGACATAATTCACCACCTCTGTGTGTCCTTGGGTCTTCCATGTGTCCCACTCATTCTTTGGCGAAGATTGCTTTAGGATGTTCTATTTGCTTCCTTATCTCCATGCCCATCTTCTGAATTCAGGCAAAGAATAATTCCACTTTAAAAGTTGCTTTAAGAAGCCACACTCCATGGATGAGGAAAATGGAGGTCGAAAGAGATTTAAGTAACACACGCAGGTAATTACAGAGGGTGAGTGGCAGATCCAGAGCAGTGAACAGACCCTGAGTTCCCAGAGTAGAATCTTTTTCAGCTCATGTTGCTATTGGCCTGCATCCGTGAGATGTTCCCGTGTCCATATGCTTTCTATACAATTCAATGTTTTTTCTTCAAATTGACTCATATTTTTATTTCAATAAATTTATCTTAAAGGGAAATTTTATATCATGACTTTATGAAAAGGCGGTATCACTTGCCATTAATAGGAAGTTATTAACTAAAGACAATGCAAAATAGTAAATGAAATTTTAACTGTATATTGTTGCCTGGGCAAAGAAAACATGCTGGAAATCCGTTCTCTTTTATTAGAAAGGATGATTGGCAGGTTTCAGGGATGTTAAAGACCTAAGAGGACAAAACTGAAACTGATTCTGGACCTGATTCCAATGCTATCTAATGTCATCAGTGAGAAGAATTTTTCTCCAATACAATCAGTAGTATAATTCTCACACTTGGAGACCACTGCAGTGGACAATGTAGCCACATCAGATCCCCTTGTTTCTTTAGAGGTCAGCAGACTCCTTATCTTTCCTTGCCCAGCAAGCTCCATCAAGAATATTAAACTTAAAAACAGTTCATAGACATTTTGTTTAGTGACCAAATACCCAATGAACGCCTGACTCCCTTTCATTTTCTCCTGTTGAAGAATACATGTTGAATTTAAGCATACATTTTCATAAATTTTCTTATGGACTATTTTTTCACCTCAGAAACAATGTCAAGGTAATTAAATTTTAAATAATAAGTCAGGGAAGTTGTTCTCAGCAATGGAAAATGCTGTGATTTAAATTGCCAATATACAAATACTTTTAGTTCTTGAAAACCACTGCCAACTGTGCCTGCCGGAAGTTATATGCTCAATAGCTTGCTATGATTGATGCAGGCATTAGTCATTAAAAAAAAAAAAAAAAAAAGGCGAACTAAGTAATTTGCATCCAAAGGATGACATCAGTAACACCATGAACTTGTTGTTCTAGAAACTGACCACTAGATGGAGAACTTGCAATTCAAAAATAAAATAACTCAGCCTCTTCGGTGCAAACATTTTACCAAAGGATCTATTGTACTTACAAACCTGCATCTACACAAGCGAGAAGGTACTACTTGCCCTGAAGATGGTATTCTTTTCTTTTCTACCAGACTTTGATATTCCTCTCCCTCTTTCCTCAGGACAGGTCACTTCTCCCCACAGTCGGTGTTTCTGTGTGAGTTCACCTTTAAAACTTTGAGCATGTCATTATTGTATTCCCAGCCCTGTAACTGAGTAGAAAAATGTGTTCCTTAAGATGTGGTCTCTTTCTTCCCCCTGCCTTGACACTACTCACTCCTGAGCACAAGGGCTTCACATCATCAAGTCTCATTCCTGAATGCGAATCCAGTGCAGCCTGCAAGAGCACCTTGATTTGTAGGAAATTTTTTTCTTCTCCATGAATTACACACCATCTTTATTCTCCGCTATGATAACAGCAGTAAATCCTCTTTAAAGTTTTTTTTTAAAGAAATTCCATATCAATGGAGTGGTTGTTCTTTTACCAACTCTTTAAATATGGCTATAATGAGATATATGAGCCCAGTTCTCAGAGTGAGGACAGGATGTAGGAGTGACACCTTCATGCAATAGGGTCTAAAACAATAGAATACATTGAGATCATTGCAGCAAATCAGTGAGTTTATTTGGAAGTTCTAATTTAGGGCTATCTCTTTCCCCCATGGCTAATGGTGTGTATGTGCATGTGTGCATGCATATGTGTGTGTGTGTGCATATGCGCGCATGTGTGTGCGTGTGTGTGTATTGGTGTGGCATAAAGGGAGAGGGCAGAAGAACTGAAACATTTACTTATTTTCTTTCTATATAAATAGGCACGTGAACAAAATCAAGCACAAAAGAGATTCTTTGTGGCTGGGGTTTCCTGGCTGCAGCCCCAGAACCTAAGAACCCAAAGCTCCATTCCCAAGTGGACTCTCCTAATTTGCTAAATAACCTTGGGCAAGTCATTTAACCTTCCCAAACCTCAGCTTCTCCATCTATAAAGGAGGATGCAGAGCGCTGTCTCTTCCCAGCTTCTCCGGGAAGTTGTGAGGATTAATGATAAGAGAAAGGCAGTCAAGGGTCTGGAGTTTCTTTAAGAAAGGTGCTGCTTACCCTTGGATGAGAGTCCTAAAAATAAAAGAATAAACACCAGCAGTCCAGGCCAAAGTCGCAAGGGCTGTGTGCCTTGTGGTTTCCACATTTTCTATTCCTCAAAGAGGGTTGGCGGGGACCAAACAAAACAAAACACCTAATAAAGCCTTTGTCTGACAAAATTCTCACTGGATTTTTATCCGATTACTCTGTGTCTATAGATGAAATAATTTTTAAACGTCCTGAAAAAACTGAAAGGAAAAAATGTCTCTGCCCAAAGACGCCAGGCATTCCTGCCTAGCCCTTCATCGCATGGAGAGGAAAGAACTCCTCTGACAATTAGCCTTCTATTTTGGTGACAGTAATTATCACCATTAGGGGCTTTGCTTTTGCTCTTATGATGAAATATATATTCATGCTGCAGAGGCTCCAATCTGAGGACTATTTGGGCAGAACCCAAAATGCAAGGAAAGGATCGATTTTAACCTATTTTAAAACATTTGATCTAATTTGATATTTCTAGTTTTCAACGGCTTACAGCAAATAGATGAAAATAAATGTCTTGTCACATGTTGTGCTGTGGACTATGCCTTTCGGTTTTCAAAGACTCCTGAAAACAGGAGGAGAATCCTCTATTAGTGTGTCCGATGCCTCAGGATTTTCCAGCTGTCGTTGTTCAAAGGTCTATCTTTTGGAGCCTGGTGGAATGACCAAGTGGATTATTTGCTCTAAAATTCTGTAAGTGATCTGTTTCTGAGTCTTTTGGCTAAAATAATAAAAAGGGATGGGGCAGAGAGGGAAGCAGCAAGCCCACACAAGTATTTGTGGGTGTATATGCATTCTTGTGCATATTTTCAGGCCAGACATATAATTCTGATTATTTGGAGAGGAGGAGTGCTGCTACTAGCCTCCTTTTGAGAAGTCTAATTCTTGTAATGGCCCACTGCATTCATGAAGGCTTTCGTCTCTAAATAATTAATTTGCCTTTATGCAAGCGTATTTGCCTCTTACAAATCCTAAAACACAACACTGAGGACCCAGGCTCAGCAAACCCGCTTTCAAGCACATAAATAATTGCCTTGGAATAATTAACAATTAACCTTGGTAAAAGGAGAGCTAAACATTAGTATACTATATTAATTCAAAACAGATATTAGCTGTTTGGTGTTAGAAAATGTTATAAACCTATATACAGTTATAAACCTACATGGTCAGTAAGTTTAGTTAGCTGGAATATGTTAACTAGTAGTTTTGATGTAAATATTTAACCCATTTGCTTCAATCTATTTCACAAGCATTTATGCAAACTGGCCTTTTTTTTTTTTTTAAATGAAGGCCCTGAAATCAAGAAGAACTGGGATTGAGACTATAAATGGCTTATCAGGGTTCCTCACTCCACCTGTAGCAAAACTCAGCACAGATGGTCTATGACAATGGATGAACAGCATATTCTTCACATGTAAAGAATTTGGGTGTGAAATACACATAAGCAAAATTTCATCCACTGGGCTGTTGGATTCATGGTGGGGAGGGTTTTTTGTAAAGAAATATACTAAGACAGACCGGGCACAGTGACTCACACCTGTAATCCTAGCTACTCAGGTGGCTGAGGCAGGAGAATCACTTGAACCCAGGAGGCCGAGGCTGCAGTGAATTGAGATCACGCCGCTGTACTCCAGCCTTGATGACCAAGTGAGACTCCATCTCAAAAAAATATATACATAATATAGTGACCAGCCTGGCCAATATAGTGAAACTCCATCTCTACTAAAAATACAAAAAAAACAGCCAGGCATGGTGGCACATGCCTGTAGTTTCAGCTACTCAGGAGGCTGAGGCAGGAGAATTGTTTGAACCTGGGAAGCAGAGGTTGCAGTGAGCCGAGATCATGCCACTGCGATCCAACCTGGGCAACAGAGGCAGACTCCATTGTCTCCTCTGTTGAGAGAGCCATGGAACAGATTCTCCCTCAGAGCCTTCAGAAGGAACCAACCCTGCCTACATCTTGATTTTGGACTTCTGGCCTCCTGAACTGTGAAAGAATAAATTTCTGTTGTTTAAGTCAACCAGTTTGTGGTACTTATTGTTACGTCAGCCCTAGCAAACTAACACACAAGGGTGCTACGATATTACCTCTATTTCACGTACAAGAAACTTGCCCAACATAATCTAGTTAGTTGGCAATGGGTCCTGGATTCAAACTCCAGCCTGGTGCCAGGGTCTATATGCTTTTGCCAACACTTTCCAGATCACTGTGCACATGATGTTGCAAATTTGATCCCTTCTCTCTTTAGTCTAAGTTCTATGGGAACAAACATTATGGCCTCATGTCTGTCGGGTGGAGAGACCACACTGTAACACACTCACGTGTGTGTGTGTGTGTGTGTATGTATATATACACGTGTATATATACACACACATATATGTATGTATACACATATGCATGTATGTATATATATGTGTGTGTGTGTATATATATAGAGAGAGAGAGAGCGAGAGAGAGAGAGAGAAATCCTCAGTTTCTAAGCCTTGTCTGTCTCCATTACCATCCTCATCGGGCAACAATATGAAAATGTTGTGCCCACCCTCGTCACTTTACAGTGAGGGGGCAGAAGCCTGGACGGTGTTCTCCGAGCATCATTCTCATTCCCACCCCTGCTGCGCTTTCAGATATTACCTCGTTCCCTTTCAAATCAGCCAACAGAGCTTGAGATAGAGGAGGATAGAGCAAGAGGGCACTCTCACACAGGGAGTTATGGAGTTCCGCTCCATCCCCAGGGTCCCAGAGCCATCAAGCCCTAGTGTCTCCCTGTTATCCTCATAAAACTGACTCCTTCACACCAACTCCTCTGGTCTAAAGTTTGACTTCAACATCAGCTGACATGCTCTTAATCCTCACTGATTTTCTGACATCTTGGGGTTCGCTTTGTCCTAACCTTGTTCCCCCAGCTCAAGTTTGAGTTTACCATTACTGAAGGGATGTATCCGCTGGAAGTATTCCAGGCCATACATTCAAGGAAGAGCAGCTCCACTCATGGCTGGTGCAGCTGACTGAGCCCACTCCCTCCCACAGGCTATCAAACATCTGGCATTGGACCTCCCTCTCTCTGTAGGCCCCTGTCCCCAAAGCTGCATTGGTGCTTGTGATTTTTACTTTAAAAGAAACTTTTTTCCTGGACTCACAAAGGCAGATGATGCCTCTGCTTGCCTCACTTTTGTGTGTGTGTGGTGGTGAGTTTTGTCGTTTCTGCACTTGTTTTGTGATTGTTGATATTATTCTTATGAACTGAAATCCCAGAAGAATGTGTACCAGGCAGGTTCACTAGACTTGTCCTTTGAAAAAGCCCACACAGACTTTTTTCTGCAGAACTTCCTTTCTGCCACTAGATTTAATCATTAAAGATAGCGATGGGGGCGTCAGGGTAAACAGTGACACAAACAAAACTTCTTGTGTTGGGCACATTTCCTTAGCCTCCAAGATTTTTCAACAGGCCGGCTTTCAGGAAACAATTCTGTTAGAATTCTTGGTAAACTCACCACTGTCCTAAATTGCTTTTAGCTGGTTTGTATCAAGAGCAAGGCAAGGAGAGAGGCAGAATAAATTTCCCCTGGATGAGCTGTATCCTAAAGTGGTATTCCCAGCAAGAGTAAGGGACAAGCAGGGAGAGCCAGGAATTGTCAGCATTGATGAATATTAATTATGTATATACCTGGTGCTGGACAGCTAAGGCACAGGAGTGATGATCGGAAAGCAAGGGACAGGGGATTTTGGAAGCATTATAAACGGTTGTGTTAAAATGAGGTAGCTCATGAGCCTGCAAACAAGGTATCAAAAAGGAGAAGGCAGGTGGACTCTCCTAGGACCATAATATTAAGGTATCCCTGGAATAATTGAATTGATGAAGGAAGGAAAGAGTTGAAGACTATGGAAGAAGAAAGCCTTAGCTAGTGGTTTGCCTACTGTAGACAGAGCACTTTTTTGGCTATTTATTTCCTTGCTTTTTTTTTTTTTTTTTGCCAGATTGCATGTTTGAAATTTTCTTTTTTGATCTTTAAATAGTCCTGGGGGAAACACTTATAAGGCAGACAAGATGTTTGCAAACTTTTGTATTTTTCATTAAAAAATAAAAATTACAGAGGAGGTTGTAGACCAGATCAGTTGAAGTGTAATTAGCTAAGCAAATCCACCCTTTCCTCTGCCATGATTATAGTGAGGTCATTCACCTTAGTTTGTCTATCAGCAAATTGCGGATGCTACATTTTACCAACTAGCTGACTTGGTATTTAAAAGGATTTTAAGCATCTCTAAAACTCTATGTTATATTATAATAAGATTTATAGCTCTGTACATTTTGTGCAGTGATAGAAAGTTACTGCTCTGTATCATCATTATTCTGAAATCTTCAGGTCTTTGCAATAATTTAAGACTGTGACAATGAAGGATTTAGCCAAAGAATCTGGCATATTGCTCTTTTCTTATTCTGCATAAGGTTTTGAATTAATGCAATTGAAATTTTAAGAAATAGTGCTTATATTTCTCAATATCAAGTGAAATTATTAAATTTTTATACTTCTGCTGTATTTCTTAACCAGTTATAAGCATTTTAAAACATGCTTTTTCTATTGTTTATCCTAAATAGGCTTTTGTGGCTATTATTAAAGCACCATTGGTCTCATTGACCAGCTGCCATTCAGTATTTACCAATAAGCAGACAGGCATGAAAGGCCAGATTTGCTTACATGACAGTGATTGTGAGGAACATTTGTAGCACTTTTTTTTTTTTTTGAGACAGAGTCTTGCTCTGTTGCCCAGGCTGGAGTGCAGTGCCATGATCTTGGCTCACTGCAACCTCTGCCTCCAGGGTTCAAGAGATTCTCCTGCTTCAGCCTCCCAAGTAGCTGGGACTACAGTTGCGCACCACTACACCCGGCTAATTTTTTGTATTTTTAGTACAGACAGCATTTCACCGTGTTAGCCGGGATGATCTCGATCTCCTGACCTTGTGATCTGCCTGCTTCAGCCTCCCAAAGTGCTGGGGTTACAGGTGTGATCCACCGTGCCCGGCTATGTAGCACATTTGTTTTTAAAGGCAGCTTCACTTCCACTAGAAGGAATAGCTGAGTTTCAGACATTTCTTTAAATTTTATTGTAGTTTTCTGTTACATTCCTAAATAAGATGAAAAAATACTTAGGAAATCCACAGATTTCAATGAAATAATAGTTTTTTGTCTATAATTGAGAAACACAATCTGATAGTTATGCTGACTACCGAACAGGTCAAAGAAGCACTTTTTAAAAGTATCATGTTCTCAGAGGAAGGAAAGTAGCATTTTGTGAATACCTACGATGAGCCCAGGCACTGTGCTAAATGCTTCTCTAAACTGTCAAATAAAATACTATTTACAAAGCCATGGCATGGTGTAGTGGGTCAAATTGTGTCCCTGCCCCCAAAGATATGTTTAAGTCCTAACCCAAATGTGACCTTATTTGGAAATAAGATTTTTGCAGATTTAATTGAGTTAAGATGACACCATAGTGAATCAGAATGAGCCCTGAATTCAATGACTGGTGTCCTTATAAGAGAAAGGCAAAGGAGATTGGACATAGAGGTACACGGGGAAGAAGGTCATGTGATGACAGAGGTGATTGGAGTAGTACACACACAAGCCAAGGGATGCCAAAGATTGCCTGCAACCATCAGGAGCTAGGAGAGAGGCATGGAACAGATTCTCCCTCAGAGCCTTCAGAAGGAACCAACCCTGCCCACATCTTGATTTTGGACTTCTGGCCTCCTGAACTGTGAAAGAATAAATTTCTGTTGTTTAAGTCACCCAGTTTGTGGTACTTATTGTTACATCAGCCCTAGCAAACTAACACACAAGGGTGCTATGATATTACCTCTATTTCACATACAAGAAACTTGCCCAACATAATCTAGTTAGTTGGCAATGGGTCCTGGATTCAAACTCCAGCCTGGTGCCAGGGTCTATATGCTTTTGCCAACACTTTCCAGATCACTGTGCACATGATGTTGCAAGTTTGATCCCTTCTCTCTTTAGTCTAAATTCTATGGAAACAAACATTATGGCCTCATGTCTGTAGGATGGAGAGACCACCCTGCAGCACACCGACCTGTTTTTAGTACTATTAGTAAGGAATACCCTATGGACTGAAGCCAGCTCCTGGCATATCACAGAGTGTCCCTTATGACAGCAAACTGATGTGAAATTATGCATGAAGTGGTCAGATATCTGAAACATACCAACTAGATTAATTTTCCATCTTTGATGAGACCTATAAAGATGTTTGCTGCTGTCACTAACCCTAATTCCTACTGAGTTCCTAGGACAAATAGTAGATCCAGGGAAAATTACTCTTACTTTTAGACATCAGCTGTTTTGCTTTTCAGTTTATATTGCTTTCCCCAAAAGATTTAATTTTTGTTTCCTAAAGCCCATATAAAAAATTAAAATTCAATTAAGGCTTCTGTAACCTATGCATAATATTAGTTTATTTGGAAGCATCTATCCATGAAATAATAAATTGAATGTGGATCTTTTGGTGTTATTAACTTTTCTGCATTTGAATAAATTCAGAATATTTGATTTTGACAAATAAGGAATAATTTTCTAGTTCCAGGAATCATTGCTAGAGGTAGTTGTTTTTCTTCCAAATGAGTGGACTATAGTACAGGGAAGTCAGACCAGGTTGTAAGTAAAACACGAGTAGACTTCGGTGCTGGTGGAGAAGGAAGAGGAGGATCTGGTCCAGAAGAGCTCTCAGGGCTCTGGTTCCTCTCCACCTGGGCAGGGGACAAGTCATGCTGAAGGTGTAGAAGGGCAATAAGGATGGAGCCCTCCTGAAAGCTCTGTGAACTCCAAGACAACCAGGTCCTTTCTTGCCCAACAGTGAGGCTCAGCAGGAACCAGGATGCTCCATCCAAATAAATCCCCAATCATTTAAAAACTTATAGAAAAAGCCACTCATATGTTAACTTCTCAAATATGACATTGGCTGCTAGCTTAAAACTGGTGTATTATAGTCAGGTTGTATCAATAAGCTGTATCTTTCAGGTCATAAGCATCAGTCACTTTAGGAGACAGGCAGGCTACCGAAAAAGAAAGTCTTGGAATAGAGTGGCACTTGCTTGAAGAATCTCATGCTCCACACAAAGGGCTTCACGGGGACCTTACCAGAACAATGGCGGTATCGAATTTTGAATCTTTTATTTTCCAATCTCAACTCATCCTTGTGTGCACTGTAGAATATCTACCAAACACACATTTGACCACACAGTGTCTCCTTTCAGACAGCTTGGCCTAGAGCATCATGTTTCCCCTACTCACCCCACAGTTCTAGCCAAGAGGGCAGGAAGGCATATCCTGGCCTCTTCTTCAGCAGCTGTGGACTAGTCGTTGGCATTGTGAGCAGAGTGTCACTGAACCATTGCTCTAGATCAGGGATATACGCTGTGGAGCAAAGGTGGGAGTGGCAATATGAGTTCCCAGGAAGAGTGATTTCAGAGCAGTGTGGAACCCTGGAATGGGATGAGTGAACTTGGGAACGTTCCAACATGCCCCAGGTGCTTCTGACTGTCCTCTCCCACTAGTAGAGATAAGCATCTCCAGGTAAACAAACACTAGCCTCTTAGTACCTGTATAGTGCAAATGAAAAATAGAAGAACAACAAATTCTTTTTTTGGTCAATATTTCCTTCTTTCACCATTTTGCAGTAAATAGTGGGCAGACAGATGGTTTGCTTCCAGATGCACAGGTATTTCCAAGTGTGATGAGGTGGTAATGTTGTCTGTTTTATTTCTCTCTTCTTAAGTGTTTATATTCTCTTTATTATATCATTCTCCCACCCCCTTGATTCTTGTCTTGTTTCTTTGATTTAGAAAATTGTTTTTGAACTATTAGACAAGTACAGAAAATAATTAAACATCTTTACCCATTTCCAAGAATTAATAAATATTTGTATTTTGTCATATTTCCTTCAGATCTTTTAAAAAGCTTTTGTTGAGGCAGAATTTATATGCTCTACAGTTCACCTATTTAAAGTGTACAATTCAATGGTTTTTGGTATAATATATTCTTTTTTAAAATTATGGTAAAATATATATGACATAAAATTTGCCATTTTAACCATTTTAGGTGTACAATTTAGTGTCATTAATTACATTCATAATATTGTGCAACTACCACCACTATGGTTTTCACCACCAAAATTTGATCATCACCCTAAACAGAAACTTCATAACCATTGAACAAGTTCTCATTCTCCCTTTCCTTTGACCTTGGTAATCTCTAATATACTTTCTGTTTCTATGAATTTGCTTGTTCTAGACATTTCACATAAGTGGAATCATACAATATTCGTTCTTTTGTATCTGGCTTATTTCACTTAGCAAAATGTTTCCAAGGTTCATCCATATTGTAACATGTATCAGAATTTCATTTCTTTTTATGACTAAATAATAGTCCATTGTATGTATAGATCACATTTGAAAAATCCATTCATCAGCTGGTGGACACTTGGGTTGCTTCTATCTTTTGCTATTGTGAATAATCTTATAATGAACATTGGCATATAGTTATCTGTTTGAGTCCCTGCTTTTAGTTCCTTTGGGTATATAATTAGATGTGGAATGGCTGGGTCATGTATAACTCTATGGTTAGCTTTTTGAGGAACTACCGAACTGTCTTTCATAACAGATGTACCATTTCCCCACAAGCAAGGTATGAGAATTCCAATTTCTTCACATCTTTGCCAACACTTATTTTCCATTTTTTGATTTTAGTTTTGGTTGTTGTTGTTGTTGTTACTGTTTTTTAAATAGCCATTTTAGTTGGTGTGAGTGAAGTATCTCATTGTGGTCTTGATTTGCATTTCCTAATGACTAATGATATTAAGCATCTTTTTATGTGTTTATTGGTTGTTTATCTTCTATGATGAAATGTTTATTCAAATTCTTTTCCCTTTTTAAAAAATTTGGGTTGTCTTTTTGTTGTTGCATTATAGGAGTTCTTTGCATGTTCTGAATGCTAAACGCTTATCAGATCATAGTTTCCAAATATTTTATCCCATTCTCTTGGTTATCTTTTCACTGTCTTGATAATGTCATTTGGTGCTTAAGAGTTTTAAATTTTAATGAAGTCCACTTTATCTATTTTTCCTTTTGTTGTTCTTGCTTTTGGTATCCAGAACTTTTTTTAAGGTGAGAAATAAAACACAGCTGGTAAAGATGATGTTCCCTCTGTATTCTTCCCCAATTCAGCTCCCCTTCCACCCCAGAGGCTACCATTATCACAAATTTGATGCAACATTTCCTACCCATGTTTTTATATAATCAATACTTACATATACATAAATCACAAACAACATTCTTTTGTATACTTTTAAAATTATACGTACATTTTATCATTTTTCTTTCTGCTGTTTTTTGAGCCAACATTTGAGACCTATTCATGTTGATCAATATTGACTTAGTTTATTCATTTTTGTGTTTATAATGTAGTCAATCAGATGATTAGGAAGTCATATTCAAAATATTTAGCAACTGGCATGGCTCTGGAACCAACCAACACACATAAACAGCAGTAACTCTGTATCTATGTGTACCTGCACACACCTGGCTGAATACCAGCCCAGCTTCCACACTTTATTTACTCATTCCATTACTGTGAAAATTTAGATTTTTCTCAATTTTTCATGATTATAAATAATACTGCTAGAAATATTCTTGTAGACTTCTCTTCATGCATATGTGTGAGAATTTCTCTAGGATACATACGTAGGCTAGAATTGATGGGTGGTCTGCTACCCACATGTTCTATTTTATTTTCCCTGTTGTATCAGAATTGTGTCTACGGCCTAAAGATTAGGACAAAAAATGTTATGTTCCCAACATTCCATATAACCACTATGAAGTCATGTCATAGCAGTTGTGATCAGCTACTTTCCAGGAGGGCATACTGAGAAGCACCAATGCTAAGAATAGGTTATTCTAATCACTTCCACCCAAGTCAACTTAAGGAGAGAACAGGAAGAAAGGAGGGGGCCTTTGGAGGTAGTACTAAGTTCATGAAGAGAGGATATTCCCTCTCTTCACATAACCACAATATTCACTATAAAAGCCAAGGAAGGAAGACCAAAGATAATCACTGATAAAGGTTTTCTGTGCATCTGTCAGAATCATTCTCCTTCCCTTCCACATATAACTCAGTCAGAGTCTGGTCCTCTTTCATGGGAAATTGGGTGAGAGCCTGGACCTTCAGAGTGCCTGATGCTGCCAGGGTGTGGAGGAGGAGGCAGGAGAGAAGATAGGACTGAGAGAGGGACACCTGCCCTCCCACCATTTAGCATGGCAAATATACCACTGCTGGTTTACATGAGTTGAGAGAACATCAAGGAGCATGCCTGGACTTCAGCCACCTTTGTAGTACTCCACCAGAGTGCCATTCTCTAGGGGAACATCATGCTCTGTCAAGACACTGAGGCAGGGTGGAGGAAGTGAAGGCAGGTTAGATCCCATGTCAGACAATTACTCAGGGGATAAGTTCCCATGGAGCCCTTCAAAGAATCCATACCTGCGCCCCATGAGAGCCCAGCAATTGGATGTTGCCATGTGGAGGAGGACATCAAGAGCTCATTGGCATGGGCCAGAGATGTAGCTAGCACTACAGGAAGAAGATTGCACCCTCACCTAATCACACAGGAAATAACTTTGCTGTTTTCCCTTTTCTCTGGAGACATAGAAAGTTGGTATCTGAGAGTCTGCCAGCTGGGACTCCACCTCCACCGGCTAAGAGAGCCCTAGCAGTAGCTGTAGCCAAGAGAAGGAGGAAAAGAGCTTCGCATCAGATAAGAGATCAATGCTTGGAAACAAACAGGACTGAGTTTTAAACACACCAATAAGCAAAAGGGATAAAAGCTAGAGAATTTGGCCAAAGGTTATTAAGAGAGCTTGTCCTCAGCTGGCAGGGAGACTCAACGTAGTGCAGTTTGGGCATTCGTCAGAGGGAATAAAATCTCATCATGTTTATTATCCAATGAGACTAGACTGCTCAATAAATGAGGGAACCTCTATCAACCAGTAACTGCCCAGGAGCTCTCCAATGGGAGCTAAATTATATTCCCCTCCTCAGGGAATGAGAGTTCCATTGACAATCTGATGGGTGTACAGTGATATCTTTAGTGTCATTTCTACTTGTTTAGATCTTCTTGTTATTCATGAAAAGCATTGATTTAGGGCAAAAACATCAAGAAAACAATCTGACCAAAACCCCAGAAAATTGCCAAAAGAGTCATCATTATATTGGGTTCATTTTTATTTTCACAAAGAGAAATTAGCTTGCCCCAAAATATTAGTGTTGAAGTAGCCAAGAAAACTTACCCAGTTCAATATTTTTCCTTCATCAGAATCCTGGCTTCCTGAGGACCCCTAAAACCTCTTCCTTCCCCCCTTCTACTCCTCTCCTCTCAGTGATGTCAGAGGCATCTGAAGATATGAGCCTGCAGTCCTGGGAGGCTCTACCTCTGGCCTTTTGTTCAGAACGTCTTGCTGGGTGTCCTGCTCTCAATTTTCCACCCATTTGCCTTACCCTGGACCTGCACCTCTGCTAGTGCTTAGCTTCTTCAGATGGGCAACCAGCTGGCCTGCCAGCCTAGTTTTCAGCTGCAGATTTGCCTCCACAACGATGGTTCACAGCTGAAGCCAATGGGCCGGGACTGTGTCTTGCCTTCTCCCCTCTGTCACCAACCCCCAGAGTCCAGTCTCCAGGTATCCTTGGTCCAGGAGGAGGGCTGGGCCCACCTTGAATCCATAGGAAGGGAATTTGAACACATTCTGCCTGCAATCCCGTTGCATTTTGTTTTTAATTTAAATGGATGGATTTGCAGGCTAATTGTTATCCTGCCACCCTCAGCTGACAGGGTGTATCAAGGGAACAGTCCTTGAAGGTAAAAGAGCCGTACAGCTGGATTTAAGTAATAAGACATCTCTCACAAACCTGCACAAGTTGCAGTTTGATGAAAATTACAGTCAAACCTTGTGTTGTAAAGTGCTGTTTACTGGAGGAAAGAAAAAAAATCCTGTAAGATATAGAAATAGTACGTGAGACAAGCTGGCAGGGTGCTCGGAATCATTATGATGTGTAAAGAATTCCTTGACAATGACGGATCACCTCGGGAACATCTGAGCGGGGCCTTTTGTTTATCTTCACTTGCCTTTGCATTTATGTCATGTCTTTCACTTGGGGGTGAGATTTCGTCTTTGAAAGTTGAAACGATTTTTAACTCCAGAAAGGTTTACTCGGTTTTCATGAACTTGTTTTTTTGTGTCCCCCCACCACACATCCCTCTTCTACTTCCCTCTCTCTCCTTATGCCTCTTTTCCTCCCTTCCAGCTGGGGTGTGTCAGTCCTGGATACCAGATGCAAAATGATTAAGCCAGTGCAGTTTTCCAAGTTGGACTCGTTATTGATTAGCACTTCCTAAATCAAACAGAATTGCTGATCGCTATTGCAGGGCATCCACCACTTGCTTGGGATCCAAGTTCTGTTGCAGTGTTTGTGCCTGAGCAGGCATGGGGGTTTTTGATGTGTTCCCCCAACTTAATCACTGCTGTTTCCTGCAAAGGAAGAAGAATGGCAACTTTCATCACCAATTCGTGTTTCTTAAGCTCCGACTGTGTGTGTGGCAGTGTGCAGTCACACAGGGGACTTTGACAATTAGCAGGAGCCACTGTCTTTACTCTCCTTAGCTGCGATAATTAATGCCTTAGGACATTTTTATGATTTGGTATGTGCCTGGCACATGACACATAGTACTGAGAGTGTCAGTTACATATGACTCTCTTAAAAGGATGGAGAATTTAACAGAGGTCATTTTGTCCATTTGATTTGTAGATACATTAGCAGGCAATTTGAAATGTTAGTGAAATAAAATTAGAGAGGTTCTGTTTGCAAATCAGCCACTACCCAGGCATCTGTCCAAGAGTCTGAGGACCAACCTCACTCTTACATCACCCTGTCCCAATATCTGCTCTTGGCGACATATCAGGACACAAGTTGGCAATCTCCATGAATATATATGTGTTTCTTTTCGTCCCTGCACCCTGTCCCCCAGCCTACCCTGGAAAGATACTGGTAAACTTTTAAAAACTTTTATTTTGAACAAACAAACTTAGCTGGGCGTGGTGGCGGGTGCCTGTAATCCCAGCTACTGGGGAGGCTGAGGCAGGAGAATCCCTTAAACCTACGAGGCAGAGGTTATAGTGAGCTGAGATCACACCATTGCACTCCAGCCTGGGTGTCAAGAGCGAAACTCCATCTCAAAAAAACAAAAACAAAAACAAAACAAAAAAACCCCAACTTTTATTTTTAGATAATTCCAAATTTAAAGAAAATTACAAGACTAATAAAAAGAACTCCTATATACCTTTTATATATCTTCACCAACTGTTATCATTTTGCTCCATTTCATTATCTCCCTCCCTCTTTCTTTATCTGCCCCCACCACACACATACACACACTCTTCTATAATTGCTTTTCTTAACCATGTGAAAGTAAGTTGTGTACAACGATTCTCCTTGTCCCTAAATACTTTAATGTATATGACCTAAGGGGAAGAATGTTCTTTTACATGACCACAGTATTATAAATTCCATTTAACATTGGCACAATGCTATTATGTAAATTTAGCCCATATTCAAATTTTGTCAACCCTACTGTTATGGACTGAATTGTGTCTGCTTAAATTCATAAATTGAAGCCCTATCCCCCAGTGTAAGGGTACTTGGGGAGGGGGGCCTTTGGGAGGTCATGAGGGTAGGGTCCGGGTCTGATGGGCTTAGTGCCCTTGTAAGAGGAGACACAAGAGTGCTTTCTCTGTCTCTTCCTGCCATGCAGAGACACAGCTAGAAGGTGGCTGTCTGCAAGTCAGGAAGAGATCGTTCACCAGACAAGACCTGCTGGTACCCTGATCTTGGATTTCTAGACTCCAGAACTGTGAGAAAATAAAATTTCTGTTGTTTAAGCAACCCAGACTGTGGTATTTTGTTCTGGCAGCCAGAGCTGACTAATACATGTTCCAATAATGTCCTTTATAATATTTTCTCCAGCCCTATCAAGATCTAATCATGAATCATGCATTACATTTACTTATCATGTCTCTTTAGTCTCCTTTAATCTGGAACAGTTCCTCAGCCTTTTACTATTTTGTTGTTTATGACACTGGCATCTTTGAAGACCACAGGTCAGTTATTTTGTATATTATCCCTCAGTTTGGGTTTGTCTGATGTTTCTCATGATTAGATTTGGGTTGTACATTTTGAGCAGGAATACTTACATAAGTAGAATTATGTCCATCTTAATGCGTCATATCGAGACGCATGATATCAGTTTGTCTCATTTTCAGCCGTTACCTAAGCTAAGCTTTTGTTAAAAGTTTGTAAACTCACTGTTGAAAAAGCTGTCAGAATAGGTGGCTAGTATGCAGTGTTGAAGACCTTGAAACCCAGCTCTAAGGATTAAAGAACAATTAGCAACATGTGATTTTGTGTCTGACACTTGATATTGACCAAATATGCCTAAAAGTGATCTCCTTTGCTCCTAACAGCAGCACAAATCCAATAGTTCACAAATTAGAACATTTTGAGTGTGACTAATGGTTTAGGAACATTTCACTTTTCACTTTCTCTTTCATCTTTCTCTCCATTCACATGTACTGAGAATTATTATTATTATTATTAAACCTGGGCTTTATCTTCCTTATCTATAAAACAAAGAGGTTGGTGTTGATGATTGATAAAGTTCTCGGTTCTTCCCAGTATCTACCATTCTTAATAACACAGGCAGAGCACCTGGAATTTGTGAAATATATAGCCTGGAATTTAGGAAATAGAAAAATACCCTTGCAAGAAAGAAATGATGGGGAAGAGCTTTGCCTCAATGTTCAGCATCCAGGAAGGGAAGGTTTTGAATAAAAGGTTGCCTCAACACAATTTAGAACCATTCTTACATGTTTCTCTGCTTTTTTGGCCACTGGACTATTTCATGAGAGATGGCTCTTATGCTTGGGAGGGCATAGAAGTTCTCACTTTATGAAATTTTTAAAGTTGCTACTTCTGGAACATAGACAATTTTTAAAAATCTAAGTTATTTTCTACATTCTTATTGGAGCTGACCTGAAATGCCCTCTATGTCTTCTACTTGGAGAAATATTTGATGTTTAATTTTTCCTTGTTCATTTGGTGTGCTAATGTTTCTCCTTGATATAAAAACGTTGGTTTATTAATTTTAAATTGAACCTGAACTGCTATCCAAGGTTCATGCCAGACTTTCTAGGTGTTTGTTGGGAGACAGCTGGCAAATGGGCTGTTTCCAAATGACTGCCTGGTTTCCAGATAAAGAAGAATTCTACTAAATTTTAGAATAGCCTCAGCTCAGAGCCAAGAGGAGGGATAAGGAAGGAGAACTACTTGGCTCAGAAGACATTCTGAAAAAACTTCAGTGTGTCACTGAAAATGGAGCAGAGAGACAATGCTGGGCATTTGTGCAAACTCATTGCCTCTGTAGAACTTTAAAAACAGACCTTCCACATAATCGCATTACAGATAAGTAAACTGAAGTCCAAGGAGTTGTCTTGTTCAGTATCAAACAGCTAGTAATAATATTAGCTACCATTTTCTAAGGATCTACTATGTGCCTTGCACTTTACATATATTGTCTTTAATTCTCACAGCACCCCATGATAAATTATGACTCTTATTTAGACATTAAAAATCAGAATGAGCAAAGTTAAATAACTTGTCCCTGCTTATCCAGCTAGTACGTAGCAGAGCCTGGTCTCAAACCCAGGCCTGTCAGATATTCAACTCCCTGCATGTTCTTGCACTACATCATTGACAAGGAGAGGCTAGCCAGAATGCCTATGTATTCTTTCTTCCTATCTCTTACTGTCCTGTGAGAGATATGTGGAACTTGTGTGAATGGATGCTATTTGAATTCTTCAAATGGATTTACCCTGTAAGAGCACTTATTATGTATTGTTTTTATTTATTTAATTTCCTGTCTGCCCTCATCCTGACCATAAGTCCTCTAAGGCAAGAATCATGGCTTTTGTCCACAGTTAAACTTCGTGCACCAGCACAGTGCCTAGAACATAGAAGGTGTTCAATAAATGCTCATTGGGAAGAAAGAAAGAAGGGAAAGAGGGAGAGGAAGAAAGGAGAATAAGAGAGAAAGAGAGAGAATGGAAGGAGGAAATAAAGGAAGAAAACTGTAGACAAAACAAGCAGAGCTCTCACTTGGTAAGATTATTAAGGCTTACCTGCTTGTTGCAAATCGCAGAGGAATGTAATTTAGTGATTTCTCAACACACACACACACACACACACACACAATTACATTTTGGTTTTATCTACGACCAAGAAAATTGCAAACAACCTAATTACTCAAAAATTGGTGGATGAATAAGTAAATTAGGTGCATCTACTCAATGAAAGAATATGCAAATATTAAAAAATAATTGTTAGAAAGACTAGACAGAAACACAGGAAAATGTATTGGTTAGGATAGGTTTAGTGGTTTAAAAGGAAACAGAATACTAAAATGTAGAGATATGCAGATGAATAAAGACAAAGAGTGCATACATAGATAAGAGTTTTATCTTATGCTTCTTTAAATCCATAGGGCCAAATATAATGTCGGGCACACCATTAAGGTAAAAAATAAAAATAATCATGATTTATTGAGCATTTTATGCTGATTTCCAATATGGAGTAACAGGAACTGGATTTACCCTACTGCTTTATACCACTAATGAAACAAACAAAATATATGGAAAAATGATTTTCAGAGATCAGGAAACAGGCTGCATAGTATAACAATCCCTGAGAACAGGGAAACGAACAAGGTGAACCCTATGACTGCCCCAGCTTATTGCCTGGAGAGAGTTTTCAGGCTACTCCGCAGGGAGAGGGAATCCAGACAGAACCTCGAGGTCTCTCTGAGTTGAGGAGATGAGCTGAGAATTAAGGACGGCCAAAGCAACTCTAACTGGACTGAGTTACTAAGAGGAGAGAGCTGCGCAGAGAAAGGACACCTAGAGGTCTGCAGGTAGTCCCCTTTGAGTCTTCCAGTGAGGGCTGATCAGTGTATGCAAGTGAAGAAACTATCGCGGGCAAGGAAAGAACTACTGGAAAGGAACAGACCAGGATTATTAATTCATGCTCTCATGGAAAGCCACAGTGGAAAGACCTTGCAAGGATTCTATTTTTATTTTTTGAAAAGCATAACAAATTTATTTAACAAATTTGGGAAGATTTTGTTTGTTTGTTTTTAGTAGAGACAGGTTTTCACCATGTTGGCCAGGCTGGTTGTGAACTCTAGCCTCAAGCGATCTGATCCGCCTGCCTTGGCCTCCCAAAGTACTGGGATTACAGGTGTGAGCCACCATGCCTGGCCTATTTAACAAAGTTTTATGTGACATGGGAGCCTTCAGAAATGAAGACCCAAAGACACCCAGGAAAAAGTCTACTTTTATGCTAAGTTTGACAAAAGAAGTGGATAGCTGTGGGGAAACGTGATTGGACAAAAGGAGTATGAGCTAATGGTAATCAATTGAAGGGAACTCAGCAAGGCCTGTCTGTTCAGATTTTACTTGGCCTCTCTGTGTAACATTCCTTCCCCTGGGTATGGGGAAGAACTCTCTGGAATGAAGGTCTTGTGATGTACTTTTGGGAGAAGTAGGTCAGAGTATGACCTTTCTAAGTTTTATAGCTTGCTCTGGAGGAGAGGAGTTCTAGTTTCTATGACCTACCTTAGGAGAGAAGAATTCAGGTTTCTATGACACGCCTTGGGGGAGAAAGGGAGTGGGAGAGAGGAGGGCCAGAGAAGGTCAGAGAGACCTTAGACAAAGATTTTTAAACAATTATAACTACAGCCCATAAGTTCAAAGAGTTAGAGAAAAGCATAAGCAAGTTAAGTAGAGGAAGATAGAAAAATATGTAATTTGAACTACTAGAGATGAAAACTAAAATGTCTTGTAGGGCAAATACATTGAACAGAATCAACAGCAGACTAGACACTGGTAAGGTAAAGATTAGAGAACTTGAGGACATAGAAATAGGAACTCTCCAAAATAAAACACAGGGAGACAAAAGACTAAACTAAAAGTAATATAGCATTAGCAAACAGTGAGACAACTTCAAGGAAACTGAAAAACATGTAATTGGAGTTTCGGAAGGAGAGGTAGAGATAAAAAAAATGATGAAATAATGAATGCTTCTAAATTATAAACTATAAACTGGCAGATCCAAGAAGCTCAGTTGACTTTCAAACCCAAGATATTTGGGTTTGAAGGAGGGATAAGGAAGGAGAACTACTTGGCTCAGAAGACATTCTGAAAAAACTTCAGTGTGTCACTGAAAATGGAGCAGAAAAACAATGCTGGGCATTTGTGCAAACTCATTGCCTCTGTAGAACTGTACACCAAATCACCTAATAATCGAATTGCTTTAAAATAATGATAAAGAGAGAGTCTTCAAAGCAGCCAGAGGAAAAAAGACCTACTGTATACAAAGGAATGAAGATAAGAATGACAGCAAACTTCCCATCAGAAATAATGCAGGCCAGAAGACAGTGGATCACAGCAATCCATACCAAGAGATAAAAGTCAATCTAAAATCCTATGCCCAGAAATAGTATCTTTTATAAATGAAGATGAAATAAAGACTTTTTCAGACATACAAAAGCTGATGGAGTTCATTACAAGGAGATCTGCTCTATTAAAATATCAAAGGTAATCTTTCAGGCAGAAGGAAAATCATACCAGATGAAAATTTACATGTACAAAAACAAATAAAGAACACAGAAATTCATTAGTATGTGGGCAGAAAAAGCATAGGGTGTTTTTTTCTTCTTTTTTCCTGAGCATTTACTGTGTACCAGACACTCTAGTAGTTGTTTTGCATACAAAACTCATCTTTAAGTTAACCCTGGAAAGTGAGACTAAATGAGCTGAAGGTTACACATCCTAATTAGTGTTAAGGTCAGGATTGGTAGCCAAGAATTATTCCAAAACACATAGCAGATTCAATAAGCAGATGTTTGAGAATTTGAATAAATGCCTTAGCAAAAATCAAGCCTGAAATATTTGACTTTCAAACATAAGACTATAGAATCTGACAGCCTCCAAGAAAAGTCCTGAATATTTTTTTTAAGTTTCTGAATAAAATTTCCCAGGGAAGTAAGAGCACGCATAAAAGTAACTAAAATTAACACTTGTTTATAGTTTATAGTATAAGATGGTGGACTGAGCACTCACTGCAACACATGCCCTCCCCCTCCCACATACCCTGCCAAAAAACGCTAAGGAGTATCAGTGGACCCTCATAGAGAAACTAACAGTATCTGTATGAAAAAATATAAAGGTTAGGTAGCAATGCAAGAAGCTACCATCTTGGTAAGAAATCTATTGCAGAAAAAAAAAATGGGTGCACAACCAAGAAGCATCAGCATTTGAGGAAAGTCAGTGTCATGAAAGAAAAGAGCAGGAATAGATGCAAAAAAAAAATAAGTTAAAAAAGCTACATAGAAAGAAACACAGTTAAAGCAGTCAGAAGAGAAATTTAAAATAATTAGATTAAAAATCTCCAGTGAGATAAAGAAAGAATTGCATCTGTGTGCCGGGCACGGTGGCTCATGCCTATAGTCCCAGCACTTCAGGAGGCCGAGGTGGGCAGATCACGAGGTCAGGAGATTGAGACCATCCTGGCTAACACGGTGAAACCCCGTCTCTACTAAAAATACAAAAAATTAGCTTGGCGTGGTGGCGGGCGCCTGTAGTCCCAGCTACTCAGGAGTCTGAGGCAGGAGAATGGTGTGAACCCGGGAGGCAGAGCTCGCAGTGAGCCAAGATAGCGCCACTGCACTCCAGCCTGGGCGACAGAGCGAGACTCCATCTCAAAAAAAAAAAAAAAAAAAAAGTATTGCATCTGTGAAACAGGAAAAAGAATTGCATCTGTGAAACAAGAAGAAGAGATTATAAAACAAGAATAAGATGTCATGAGGAAGAATGAATTAGCAGTCTTGGAAAGAAAACTCCTAATTTACAGGGAGGCAAAACTGTTCAGGTGTCAAAGGGTCATGTTTTTCAATTTTCTAATGGGAAAAACTGACTGCTGTGGTAGCTATGGTCAACTTATGAAAGACCTGAAAACTATAGAGTAAAAACAGTCAAGTTTCATCAGAATCAAATTACTAAGGAGACTCCTACAGAGATTTTCTTGTTAACCATTTTTCTCCCCACTTTTATTTAGTGTAAGGGGAAAAGGCTGTCATAGTAAGTGATTTTTCCAAGAGTGTAGTGTTCTCTTTAATAACTGACAGAATATGGCAGGAGAGACACACAGACTGTTGGCCCATGGCATCATGGGCCCACATAGCTGATTTGGTCTGTGCAGTAACAATGGTTAGGAGTGAAATGATGTGTTGAATAGTTCCATGTTGTCCTTAACCCTCTTGTTATGATGGACCATGCAAATTAATGCCTGTGAAGGAACAAGCAAATGAAAGACTTCCTAGAATTTTAATGAGCCCTCAAATAAAGGCTTTTGAGGAGGTCATTTCATCTCTCACAAATTAGCAAGAAGAAAAACAAACACAATGGTGAAAAGCACTAAAGATTCAGATTAAGCAGCTGGATTTAAACATGCTGAGACACAAGACAGGCAGGGCTTTGAATTGCTATTGGCTCTGAAGCAAGAACTTTCTCTCATCTGTGCTGAACAAACATCACCCAGGATGCGGGGAGCTGGAGCCAGTTGTGTGATCATGGGAATAACCCCAGAATGCCAATGGCAACCTGACTGTAAGGGTAGGCAATGAGGCATGTGTAATCCAGGCAACAATACTTCGGTACACTGACATGGCCCAGAATCTCCAAGGCTTATTGGACCTCACTTCTTGCCTGCTGTTCTTGAAAGGATTTTGATAAAGTTTCAGCAACTTGATAAAGGATTATCCAAAAACCTGTGGAAGCTTTCTTTGTATTTAAGTCAGATTGGATAAATTTTTTATTAAAATAAAACAATTTTTTTGAAGAACTATTGATAGATCATTTTAGGAATCTGTAAACAAGTTTTGTCTATGTAGTCTTATTAAATGATGATATTAAAGACGTCATCATGGCTGCATAATGATCATCATTCTAACTATTCTAAATAACAGGAGTAAGAAATAAGAAGAAATGGGCAAAATTCAATTTTTTTAATCTGGCTTGCAAAATACTGCTTCTTGTAAAAGGCTCAAAGGAAAAAAGGGTCTTGTAAACCAATAATTTGGTCAATGCTATATGTCTTTCTTGGAAATTCAAAATTCTGATTCAAATATTAAGGACCCTTCCTGAGAAGGTCTACAGTAAAGAAATTGTAAACTTTGTGAAGCCTAGAACTTTTGAAGCTTATTTGTTCATAGATCTATTTGTCTGCCCGTTTATCCATCCATCCATCCATCTGTCTATTTATATATGATTATATTTCATGAAACTACTGTTCCACAGAGCACTCTTTGGAAAACATGATACACTAGACATACTTTAAATCACTTCTTCCCATTTCTGTGAAGCTTTCCTCAACTCCTCAACCAGAATGACCGATACGGTCCTCTGCATTCCAATAGGACTTTCCACAAATCACTTATAGGATGCATAATGAGATTAAATGAAAGTGTGAGGAATGACTTTGATGACTATAATAGCTAATAGACTATGTGTGTCTTCTCAGACTACACACTCCTCTAGGCATGAAATATTTTCTTATTTATTTTATATTCAGAGCACATAGTGGATTGTTAAGTATTTGTTCAATCGTGTGGCCTGTGGGTGAGCCAGGCATAGCTACCTATTTGTTGGAGAAACCCTATTAACTCATCAAATACGGAAATAAAAATATTTTCCTCATTTCTTTATAATAGTTTTATAGAGAAACAGGTTGGTATGTTTTGCTTAAGCCCATCCTTACTTGTCTGAAACAACAGAGGATGCAGGCAGCAGGCACAAGGAAGGGTGAGAAAGGTATACATTGAAACCCCAGATAATTCTCTCACTGCAACAGAGGTAAGAGAATCTCTTCCCCACTAGACATTTTAACAAAGGTACTTTGGTTACAAGGGACAGCAACTGGTTTAAGTGAGCTTCAGTTTTTAAAAAAGAGCTATGGAAATGATATAGATTAAGAGGAATCACATAGAGTCTAAGTTACACTAAGTTTAGCTGGACTGTTAAGTCTTTAGGTTACAGCTCTTGCTTCTTTCTTGGTCTACACAGTCTCTCATTTTCACTTTTCCCTGCAGAAGGTCCATTCTCTTGCAGACTGCCTTTGTCTGCAGGGCTTATAGTTTCTGCTTCCTCACGACTTCAGCTCACACTTAGGCCAGAGTCAACTTTGGCCCTGAGTCTGTGACTTCTGAGATCTCAGGCACATCACTCTTTGATTACTGTATCTGTATCTGTTCATTCAAACTGTAAGGAAAAATCTGGCTGAACCCAACCAATGTTTTGGTTGCCCTTAAGTTAGCCACCTACCCTTGGTCTGATCAGCTGTGGCTTGGTCATGTAGTATGAAGGAGTGATCCCCCACATGTGTGAACAGGGAAGTTTGAGTGAGAAGAGAGGTCAAGCATTGCTGGAAAATTGACATGTCAGCCCCATTTCACCACCACACATGCTATACCTGCCAGGCACAGTCACTATAGAGATGCTCATGAATATCAATGTGGATTAATTTAGTCTCTTTTAAGATTTATACCCTTACTTCTCAGGAAGAAGTGAAATAGCAAAGTCTTATAGTACTTAAAAGGCAACAGACAAGATAAGGTTTGAAGTAAGCAGGACCACTGGTATTCATCAAATGAAATAATTAGCCATTAAGTAACAAAAGTTAACATAGCATAAGAAAGTATTATTTTATGCATATTTTTGTTTTTTCAACATCCACTCCAGTTGCTTAAGATGAGTTGACAAAAGAATTTTGGCTAAAACAGAAGGCTTTTTCCACATACCTAGGATTCTCTGAGTGGTCTGTCTAAAATAATGCACAGTGCGGTTCAGGTTCCTAAAAAGTTACCTCCCATTATCCCATAAATTCGTTTTGAGCACTTTCAAAGTATATGTATTGGTTAAAACAAAATTCTATATTTTTTCTTTAATATTGATTCCTTTTTGACACCAACAAAATTTTTTTAAACCCTTTGTTCTATATAAGTTTTTAAATGACAGAATTTTTGGGTTTTAGTGTTAAAAGAATCTTAGAACCATCTAATTCAGGAGTCCCAACCACCAGTTTCCATCCCCTAATTTTAAAGCCAGTCATGGGATCTATAAGCTACTTTTAGTGTTTTTAAATAAGCTTAACAACAATCAACATTTATCCCTAATAAAACACAGGAGCTAACACACCAGTTTTCCTTGCTTTAGGCTTAAACTTTGTTTGTTCAATGATAACACTGGCAGTTTTACATTAATCAGAGAATCTGATGGGCAGGGATTATCAGAGGAATCCATTCTTTTTTTCTTCTTGGATTCGTCTATCAGTCCTCAGGAAAAAAACTTCTGCTAACTTCAACTCTCCTACAGAAAGCTGTGGAGGCAGCTTCCACCCCTCCTTCCATTCCCTTACTTACCCCTCTTCACAGAAAGAGACGAGAGAGAAATCTGCTTGATGAGGGTGGCCTGATGTTCCCGGGCCTCATCTCTCTGTCGAGCAGGGTTAGTGCATTAAATGTTGTCTCATTGAAGGCTGGATCTCTTGTCACAGCTTCCTTCTGGAGCTGCCTATGCTTACTCCAAGAGGTACATTGAGCAGTCTCATTGTCCTCTGGCTTCCCTGAAGGTCACTGGCCAAGGCTGGAGTGGCAGTGGAGGTGGCAAGTGAGGATGGCCCCACAATTCCCAGCACCCAGTGAGCCTCTCAGCTGTTTTCTAAGATAGATAAAGGATAGCATTTGATGCCCACTCAACTTAGTACTTTGCATTTACACAGGATTAGTCAAAGTGTGGAGAAGAAAAGTAATCTGTAGAAGGATTTAAGCACCAGGTCCCTTCTCTAAACTTCTGACAATATCTTCAATTTATTTAATTGGGGGGGATGTTATTAACACAAATGAAATTTGATATAGTTTTTTAAAAAAATATATCCATTTGGGAAGAAGGGTGTGTTAGGACGTTATTGGATTAGAATAAAGAAGTACCAGAGACTGGGTAAGTTATAAAGAAAAGAGGTTTAATTGCCTCATGGTTCTGCAGGCTGTACAGAAAGCATAGCAGCATCTGCTTCTGGGGAGGCCTCAGGAAGCTTACAATCATGCCAGAAGGCAAAGTGGGTGCAGGCACATCACATAGTAAAAGCAAGAACAAGAGTGAGAGAGAGGGGAGTTGCCACACTTTTAAACAACCAGGTCTTGTGAGAACTTGCTCACTATCATGAGAAACAGCACCAAGGGGATGGTACTAAACCATTCATGAAAGCCACCCCCATGATCCAATCACCTTCCACTAAGTCCCACCTCCAACAATGGGGATTACAATTCAACATGAGGTTTGAGTGGGGACACAGATACAAACTATATCCAGGGGGCTTAAAAGGTAGTCATTGATAATAAAAGTTTGGAAAACACCAATCTAGTCTAATTCGTTCATTTTTCAGGCCAGAAAGCTGAGATCCGGGACATTTAAGTCTAAAGAAGTCACATTTCTGGGGAGCAGTAGAAGAGAGCCCTATCTGGAGCCCAGATCTCTTGGCCACCTCTGTGGGGTCTCTTTCCACCCCATTACCCTGTCTGAAATCCAACTAGTGAATTAGGTCAGAAGGATCTTGGGATTTAACATTGTTTGAGCTGATGATTCTGATCACTACTCTATGAGAGGAAATGTGGGAGTGGGACTCTCTTGAATGCAGCAGTTTGTAACTTTGGCAGTTTATAAGATCTACTTGCTGAACTTTAAAAAAATTCCAATGTCCAGGCCACATCCCAGGCCAATTAAATGAGAACACAGGAGGTGGGACTCAGGCACTATTATTTTTAAAAGCTCGCCAGGTGATTTTAATGTGCAGCCAAGTAGAGAAGAACTGCCCTTACATTTTTCTCAGTAAAGACAGATGCAAAGGTTTTGATTAAGAATCACCGTAACCTCAGCCACCCAGAGGGCAATTAGGAAGCACTTCAAATTAACTTGACTCCCTCTAGCACAATGCCTTATGCATAGAGGTGATCAATAAATATTTGTTGCTGTAGGAAGATATGACACTTAAGCATCAGCTTTGACTTAAACAAACCACCCAAAATAAGAGAGACCCTTTACTGAAATTTTAAGAGAATTTGGGTTGGTGAGGCAGACTGGAGCCTGTTCTCTTGAACACAACCTTTATGTAGAACAAAAAACCTCATTCACTCTGTGGGAGCCCAGAATTTGTACCTGAAATCTACAAAGACCAGACAGGAACTAAATT